>NC_000002.12:59887321-60190352 GCF_000001405.40 Homo sapiens
TCAATTTGGAAATGAGTCAAGCAGCATTCTAATACAGTAGTTTAAGACATAGTATGCTAATCTAAAACTTAACACCTAAAATAATGAAAATTAAACCACATGAGCTCTCTCTAGCTCTCTCTCTCTCTCTCCCTCTCTCCCTCTCTAATAGGGAAAGGGTGGTGCTCAGAACACACCTGAAAAGTTGGAACATGCCTGGGGAAGAGTATAAAAAGCTTAAGCCACAGAGGAGGAAAAGTGGGAGGCAAAGTAAACACAGGACGACGGGGCAGAAATGACAGGCACACCTCAGAGACTTTGCCCAGGGCTCGGGGGATTCTAGCCAGAGAACATGAAAAACAACAGGAAATTGGAAAAGCCAGACCTGAGCAAAGGAAAACTGGAATATGACTAGGTACATGGAATTCTGTAAACTCTTCAATATCTAGGGGTGCAATTTGGACAGTAACACTCTCTAAAAATCAAATTGCTCCTTTTGTTGTTGTTTGGTTGGTTGGTTGGTTGATGGAGCTTTCAAATAGAATTTGTACCTGTGCTGCCTCTGTGTTTTTGCTCATGATCAGCCAGCCTTTCCCGGGGCTGCCTAATAACCCAAACAGCCCCGGTCATAACCACTTAGAGGCAAAGAGTACATTTTTGTACGTCTTTCCCAGGGAGATCTACACCTCTTTTTAGCTCGGAATAGCTACCTAGGTAGACTGTCTTTGTTTCCAAAATGTCAGTGTCCTTTTCTTCTAAGTTTTCTTTCTTCTTGCCTACTTTCTAATTTTCTTTCTGTCTTTCCTTCCCCTGCATCACTACCTCTGTCTTCAGCTACTGAAACCTTCACAGATTTAAAGATCAGAGTGACTTTCACTCAACGGTCTTTCCTGTCTAACCCACAGGGGGGAAGCCCCAGGTCACAAAAGACAATCACCACAACAAGGTAGAAGGCCTGGAGCAGAGTCCCCTTGATAAACAGCACCCGTCTCAAAAGCTTCCTCACCATTTGCCACAGAGCAAACCTGTGCTTTTAAGCGGCCTCTAAATGTGCTTTATTCCATTTACTTGTTGTGAGCTGTTTTGCTCTACTGGCTAAATAATGTGTGCTTTAAAATGTTGTGTAAATACATATTTAAAAGATAGCTTGTAATACTTCCCAGGGACTCATTGCAATTAGGGCTCAAAGTGAGGAGAAGTTTACAGAAGCTGAATTTTGGCACATTTCTTGCCAAAAGGGACTAAGCATGTTAGTTATGTTGTCTCCTGAATAAAAGACAGAAAAAGAGTGCTTGCGAGAGCAAGGGCAATGTAGGTAGGAAAAGGTGAGAGAAAAAACATGAAAACAGAAATGTTACTCAACAAGGGGAGTGAAGTTTCTAGCAAGAGGAGAAAAAGAAATGCAGACCTGGGCAAAATTAAATGGTAGTTATTCTTAAAGACATAAAATTTGGAAAAAAGGTCTTGAAGGGAAGTAGGAATTTAGAGCATGTTAGGGTAGAAATAGCTCTGTACATTTTTCTTCTAAGTTAAGTGATGTTTCCCTGTGCCCTGGTCAGAGGCTTCTCTCACACATGAGCCTGGCAGGACAGCTGAAAAACTTCCATACCCTTTGGTTCTGCTGGCTCTGTCACGAGTCTGCACAAGACTACTGTGTATAAACCTGGACCTCAAGGTCAAACTGTGATATCTTATAATTTCCAATTATTTCCCAATTTGGATAACCTTTATTGTTATTCCTTGCAATCATGAATTAATTAATTTTTAAAAAGCCATTGGCTGCAAAGAATATTAAGCAATAAAATTTCAAAAGAGCCCAGATAAAAACTAACTGCTAAAGCCGTAGGTAGTCAGGACCCTCTAAAATAGTGGGTTGTACTGGGTATGAGAAGGAAATAAATATACATATAGGGCAATATGCTTTAAATCACACTTTTAAAAATGGGTACATGAATATAATAAACAGCTTGAACTACAATCTTATATTCAGTCTTGACTAGTTTTCTACCTAGATTATTTGGGGGAATGCAGGTTTTAAGTAAGCTGCTAAATGCAGGGTAGTTCTAGCAAACAGAAGTATCAAGTTCTTACAGACTAGGAATTCGCCAATGGGATCCGGGAATAAATCTCGTCCCCTGGTTGGGAAACATAGCAGGCGATGATTAAGAATACTTTGCAAAGGAGCAAACAGATTTTTAGGTCACGTGACTGTAGAGATGTCACCGTTTAATAAAATGACAAAATCTATCTATCACATAGGCATGAACACAGAACAATATAAAGAGGTTAACAGAAATTGATGGCATCCAAGGTTTAATTTTACACTGAATCGGAGTCTTTGGTGATTGAAATAGACAAAGATGTATAGGGTTATCTTGTTGAAGAGGCTGCGCTAATTACTGGCACTTGTCATTTCTCCATAGCTTTATCTAAGTCAAGAAGGCTAACTAGCTCCTTTTTCCCCAGTAGCGCATTGTTTGTTCAGGAGCTTTTGCTGAGGAAGTCTTTTTTTCATAACTGCACCTCATTATTAACAGGTTCATAAATAAATGAGTCCTAATATTTTTCTCCGTTAGCATTTATGATAGGGACATTTGGTCTACAAAAGATTACACTTGTCTTTAATAAAAATAGGCACTTATACATGAAGCCTATTAGGCCCTTGTTACTCTGGAGGAGGAGGAAAGGGGAGGATCTGGAGTTACATAAAATAATAATACTAACCCGGTGTGCTGGCAGCTTTGTAAATAAAGAATATTTAATGGAGCTTCATGACTTTCCCCCAGCCACTAACTCTTCAACCTTCTCTTCTAACCTCCAACCCCTGCATGATGTGAAGACAAAGCCAGTAAGTATTAAGCACACATTTTCTACATGACTAGCACTGTGCTAAGCATTGCAAAAGATATAACATTGTATGTGTTGTAAAACACAGTGACTATCCTTGAAGAACTTCCAGTCTGGTGTGAGACCCAAAAAAACCAGTTCCGGGAACTGCCCAATTCATGTAGAGCTGCTGGTGTAGGGCTTCCACAATCTGTAGGATTTAGAATAAACAAAATTTGTATTGGCTGGGGTAACTTTAAACAGTTGCTTTAAAGTGCTAGAGTTTGTGGGAGCCTTCACAGTTGTTTGAAAATTTAAATAAATAGGAGGCTGAAAACATTCCAGGTTGGGAAATCCAAATGGAAAAAGTCACAGAGGCATGTAAGAGAGGAGCATACAGGGGCAAAGGAACAGAAAAGTCTGCCTGGAATGAAAAACTTGTCCTGAGAAGTTTCCATGATTACTGTGGGATATAATGTTGAATATGTATTAGTCCATTCTCATGCTGCTATAAAGAAATACCTGAGACTGGATAATTTGTAAAGGAAAGAGATTTAATTGACATAGTTGTGCATGGCTGGGGAGGCCTCAGGAATCTTACAATCATGGCAGAAGGGGATACAAACATGTCTTTCTTCACATGGCAGGAGGAAAGAGAGTGAGTGCTGAGTAAAGGGGGAAAGGCCCGTTATAAAACCATCAGACCTCGTGAGAACTAACACACTATCACAGAAACAGCACGGGGGTAACCATCTCATGATTCAAGTGCCTCCCACCAGGTCATGTGGGAATTATGAAAACTACAATTCGAGATGAGATTTGGGTGGGGACACAGCCAAATCACATCAAATATCCACCTTGAAGGTCATGATGGGAGGTTGGAACTTGATCTTTCAACATGGAATCATTTTAGCTCATAATTAGATGAATGCCACAGTAAGCAGGGCATTTAATGAAACAGTAGCTAAGCAAGAGACATCTCAGAGAGTAAATACCACCATCCAGACATAAGAGGACCCGACAGCTGTATCCGTAATAAAGTGAAAGGCTTAGAACCCAAGAGACATTGCAAAAGATGTCTCAACATGACGTGATGGCCCTTGGGATGAGCATTGAAGAGACAAGCAAGGCACTGGTGAGGATAAAAAGACTGGAGAGGAGAGACTGGGATGGCAAGTTAAACCCTGGGAGAAAAAAAACAAAATAAAACCAGATCTAGTTGTAGGCATGTTAAATTAGAGATTACAACACGCTGAAACTGTACAAACATAGGTTGGTGGTATAGATCAGACTATGGGCAACACTGGAAGTCATAAGTGCACCTGAGTTCAGAAATGGTAAGAATGTTCAGAGGAAGGAGTGGGGAGACAGGGACAAAGCCTTGGTTGAGACCCATAGTTTTTGGGCAGAAGAAGTTCATGTGTAAACCATGGGTCAGTCATCCTAGAAGCAGATTCTAAGGAGCATCACGGGTGCTGCCAAAGGAAGGAGGTGGAGCTACAAGAGAACAGGAAAGCCAGTACACAGAGCCCAGAGGGGTTCCACAGGAGATGATAAGGACTCAAATGTGTGAAACCAAGGCCACAGCCGGGGACAACAGGCAGACACAGGTGAGTGGCTTGCAAAGGAAGGCAGAGTCCTGGGCCATAGCCTAGGACACCTTAAGTACTCCTGGCTTCCTTTCCTGTGCCCTGCTAAACAAGACGAGATTTGAGTGAGCAGCACTGTGGCTTAAAGGGCCAAGGGCAGACAGAAGGGACAAAGAAACCAGAGAATGAACTGAACATGTGGAACACCTCAAAGCTCTGCAGCCATTCCCCGTACAAGTGCCATCATTATTTTGTTCTGCACCACTCCAGTTAGTTATAAAAATCTATGGTTCCAAATGTTTCTGCATGTGTGTGTGTGTGTAACTTTAATACCAAATAAGACAATGCACCTCAAAACCAGTATATGGCACTTGTTACAAAACACCAAACACTAAGAATATAAATACTCCTTATATTTCATTAGAGCTAAAGTATTAACATTTATTAGTTGACTCCATGACACTTTAGGTAAGTCCTTTGTTATAGGGGTAAAAACTTGGAATGTCTGTCTGCCTATTTGAGAAAAAGGTAGCCCATCTTCAAAAAGTAACCAGTGAAACGTGTTTTATCAGGACTTTGCCTGAATGGGGGCGGGGTGAGGAGTGGGGTCTGAAATATATCCATGTACCTAACCATTTTCCTGGCACTCCTCAAATTTCTAGAAGGTTTTTGAAAACATATATGTTTTTAAAGGCACCCTTCCTGCTTGAGAACATCCATTTTGTACTTGTGTCCCTCACATTTGCACATGAAAAAAATCCATTACTGTGTATACAAATGCCAAATTGCAACGCAAATAGGCATTTGTGTGCCCAATTACCCATTTTGTGTGTTTGCAAAACGGATGTGCTGGGCAAATTCTGCAGGTGTGAGTTGGTAGCCTGCTGAAAATTTGGCTCCCACGGAGTCAGCACCAAATAAGGTGATGTCTCCTGACAGCGTGGCTGAAGGGAGAAACTCTATTTCAGGGACGGCCCTTCAAGGTGGTAACAGGTGTAGACAGCAAACAGACTATCCTTGCAGAGAGGAAGGCAAAAATAAATCAATCTAAAAGTAAAAGAACTTCAGAGCTACAATTGATGATGATCAGTGTGTCCTAGAAGCACTAAGGGTTTTCCCATGTGTGACTCTAAAGCCCTTAGTGCCCAACTTTTAAATGAGAACCCCTATTCTTTTTTTTTTTTTTTTTTTTTTTTTTTGAGACGGAGTCTCGCTCTGTCGCCCAGGCTGGAGTGCAGTGGCGGGATCTCGGCTCACTGCAAGCTCCGCCTCCCGGGAGAACCCCTATTCTTTTTAAAAAGTTAGTGTTGTCATAAGAACACAACGTGAGATCTACCCTTTTAATAAATTTTTAATTGTGGAATACTATATTGTTAACTATAGGTACAATGTTATACAGCAGATCTCTAGAACTTCTTCATCTCAAACTGATATTTAGGCCCTTTGATTAACCAGTCCCCATTTTCCCTTCCCCGGAGCCCCTGGAAACCATCATTTCGCTTTTTGATTCTATGAATTTAATTGTGTTCGATTCCTCATATTCCTCAGTATTTGTCCACCTGTCACTGGCTTATTTCACTTAGCATAACGTCCTCAAGATCCACCCATGTTGTTGCATATTGCAGAATGTCTTTTTTAAAGCTGAATAATATTCCATTGTATGTATATGCCACAGTTTCTTTATCCATTATCTGTTCGTGGACATTTAGGTTGTTCCTACATCCTGGCTATTGTGAATAGTGCTGCAATGAACATGGGCATGCAGAGATCCTGATTTCAGCTCTTTTGAATAAATACCCAAAAGTAGAATTGCTAGATCATGTGGCAGCTCTATTTTTAATTTTTTGAGGAACCACCATACTGTTTTCCATAGTGGCTGTACCATTTTGCATTCTCACCAACAGTGAACTTGGAAACCCTATTCTTCAAAGCATATTTTGTATCTTTTTAAAGAATGGCTCTCACTGTATGACAGACATCCTAGCAAGCACTCAGAGTATCCTGGTAAATCCCAAAGCTTTACCTGGTTGATGTGCAAGCCTGTTGCCACCTACATGCCCCTCATCACACCTTTCTCTATCAGAATTCTCAGGCAGTTGAAGACTAAGAACAATCTCTCCACCTACTCGATTCTCCTGCAGCCAGATGCCACCTGTGTGAGTCATTGCCATTCCTTCCCAACATCCATGATAATCTCAACAAAATTTCTGCCCAAAACAATAATAAGAAACCTATAAGGAAATCATACACAGCAAAGATAAATTGTCCTTCATTCGCTCATGTGTTTGTTTTTAGCTTCTGAGATAAGTCAAGCCCAAAAATGGTATATCAATGTTTTTTGGCAAATTTATTTTCTAGTCCACAAATTCCTAACTTCATTTGATTTTTTAAATGAGGTGATTTGTCAAAAATAAAATTAGATAAAATTCTACTTTCATTGGGTGCCTGACTATACCAAAGTCATTTAAATGCCATTGTTGTCATCATATACATTTCACTTCTAACCTTCTTTTTTTGTATCCAACAGAACTTTAGCTTAAAAAGAAAATCAGAGCAAAATATAGGCAACCTGCTTAATCATAAAAGTACAACTTCCTTTAGCATGTTAGTAATTCTCAAAATTGCCTTAGATATTTGCTAGATATCAGAAATGGGTAATGTAGTATTTTAAGTGGCAGAAATGCATTAGTGCTATGTAAGTACATGATCCTTAATGTACTAATCTCGGCAATATGTGTAATGAGGACTTTCAGTAACACTTATTTTAAGCGTCCTCTGAGAAATGCTAATTTACAATGAAACACCTATGGAAGTACATGTGACATCTACATGAATACCAAATGAATTCATTTTGATCAATGCTATTACAATGAATATAAAATGAATTCACAATGATAGGACATTTAAAGTATTACCAAATTTTCTTTTAATATTACATGTGCTATGGAGATTAGCATATGTTAAGAATTAGATTTAATATATATACATATATACACACACACACATAAATATATATATATATACTTATACACATACATACATACACCAAAAATATATGTTCACAGTAATCACCTCATTAGGAAGTACCCTTTAAAAAAGTATTCTATTATTATGCACACACGCACACTAAACTTTTATATACAAAATGCTTATGTTACATTTTAAAAATTGCATACTGGATATTAACAAACATAAGATTTGCATTATAAAAGCAAGTGTCAAACAAATATTTGTAGATTTTATATTTGACAAAAGATATTTTCTAATCTAAATCCTGAGATTTCCTGACTCTTTCATGAAGGCAATGCTTGATAAATTGATTTGGATCTGTTAAAACTCACTGGTGGCTTTTGTGGCTAGACAGAGATAATCAATGATGGATGGACAGATGGATAGATGGGTAGATGAATGGTTGAATAATTGTGATTAGTATGATATTGAAATATGATCTCTAAGAGACTGAAGTTTTTATTTAGAGTTTCTAAGAAGCCAGAATTTGTAGGAAATGTGTGACACATTCATTTTTGATGATCAGTCTATTCCTTTTTGATGACAAACTAAGGCCCACAAACAGTGTGTGCTCCTTAACCTTAACTTAGACTGGCCCACATTGCAGGTGATGCAACCACATATCAATCAACAAGGTTTGACCTTGAAGGGAGTCTCTGGTCCATTTAGAATCTCAAGTAGCTAATATGGGCGGGACAACATTGGTCTCCCAGATGAAACCAACAAGAGTTCATGCTGTGGTCTATATCCCATCTCAAATCACAGGAGTTCTCAGATGCACACATCAAATTTCTGTCAATGCTGTGCATGATCTGCACACCTAAACTCAAATAATAATCGGCTCCTATCAATTTGTATCAGTTTCTACCTTCTCAGCATCACTCATGCTTTTTCTTCTCTTCCTCTTTACTACCACAACCCTGTCAGAACCTCATTCTCTCTTGCCTGGGTATTTGCAAGAGGCTCATAACTGATCTGTCTCCCTGCTTCCCTGCCTCCAATTAATCCTGCACACTGCCAGCCAGATTATCTTTCTAACAAGCACACAGGGCCAGGTGAATCGTCTACTCAAAATTTCTTAATGGCTCCCCCAATCTACAGGATTCAAACCAAATGTCTAGTTTGACAAGGGGTATATAAGGCTCAGCCAACCAGTTCAGCTGCATCTTCCTCCACTATTTCCTACATGCACTAAATTATGGTCTTCCATGTTTGGTGTCTTTCTGCATGGGTCTTTCTGCCTGGCATGTCTTCCCCTTGCCTGCCTACCTGAAAAACCTACTCGTTCTTTGAATTTCAGCTCAGAAGTTTCTTCTTCCATGAGTCCCTCCTTGTTCCCTTGCTGCCATCTGAATAATTGACTCCACTATAGTACTTTCACACAAAATTTGTCTTCTGGTAGCATGTCCACAGAGGAACTAGACTATAAAATCTTGAGCCAAGAACAATATTTTATTTGTCTTTGTCTCCCAAGCCATTGACCAATATCTAATACATTAATGCTTATCCAATGGAGGCTGAGTAAATAGACTTGTCTTCTAAAGATTCTATTATCCTTTCTGTTGTCATTCTTCAAGCAAACGTTCAGAAATTTGCACTCACAAATTGCTCAGTAAGCACCATTCCCACTTCAATGGATTCGGTGAGCACATTTCTAAGTATGTGTGGGCAAAAGTATGAGCTTTAAACTCCAAGTCATTCTCTACCATCCCCAATACCTCCTGGGAAATCAAATGACTATAACATTAACCTAAAAATAAAAATAGTTAATTTAGTAATTACCTGCTTTCTGTTGGGAATGGTACTAATTGATTTATTTATATTACTTCATGGCACTCTTACAATTGCCACATGATATCACTGTTACTATCCCCATTTAGCAGATGAATACCTCAGGGTAGGGAGAGGTTAGATGACTTGATCAAGGCCACAGAAATGGCAACTGGGGAATTCAAACACAGGCTTGGCTGACTCAAGTCCTGGCTTGTTACCTGACACCATCACTTTTCCTAGCTGTGCCAAAGCTTCTACAGTTTCTGCTTAGAGAAACTAACAACTCCAGGGAGGTGATTCCACAGTTTGATGCGCAAGTTCAAAAGTCAAAATGAGTCCCTCACTCAGCCATCATTCACTTCACATTCCACAAAGGGAACTTTCTTTTGCCGTAGAATTTTGGATTAAACTCTTCTCACATAAGAATTGGCATCTTGATAATTGAAAGATTAAGTCTGATGGTTTGACTCATTCTGGTGGATTTTATTATTTCCGGGGCAAAGCCTTGCTGCCCATATTTTTTTGAACTGATTTTCAAATGATTTGCACATTCTTCTGGTACCAGTTTCACTTTCTGCTCTGAGAGAAAGAGCTCATAAATCAGACATGGTGGCTTCTGGTCTTTACTTGATTTTTGTAATTGGGTTTTTGTTTTTGCTTGGTCTTGAATGCATCCCAGGTTTCAAGAACCAGGCTCTTGAAATGAACTGCTGACTTTGAGCTTGAACAGTATTTTATAAGAGAGAAGAAGAAACCAAAAACCAAAATGTTTGCTAGTTTCAAATGAACTTAGCTTCCAGCCAAGTTCAGATAGAGGTGGGGGCTCACCACCAGAACTACAGGGACACCTCTCTTGAAGCACATATGGCTTAAAACTCTAAGGTCACTGCAGTGGAAGACTCAAAAATAACTTTGGTACTGGCCAGGAAAAAAAAAAAAAAAGTAAACCTCCAAAAAAGGAATTGTCACTTTTGATTTGGTATTTTGTCTAGGCTGAAAGAAGATATTTGTGCTACAAGATTCAAGTCCTGATTATTTTTATCCACTTCCAAACTGCCAGGAAACTCCCAACTCAAACATTACCTTCACTGAGATGGTGTCCTCTAATTCCATATCCTAAATACATAACAATGTTTGTTTCCTGGTTCCCACATTACTTCAGATGACCGTCATCTTACCCTTCACAGCACAGTATAATTAGATACTCATATAAAACTCTGAAGCCACTGAGGACAGGGACTGTGTTTTATTTACTGTGTCCCTATTACCTGGTACATAGAATAGGAGTCAGCAAGCGTGCTTCTATAAAGAGCCAGCTAGTACACCTTTTAGGCTTTGTGGACACTATGGTCTTGTCATAACAACTCAGCTTCTGTTGTAGTACAAAAGCACCTATAGACAATATGAAAATGAATGAGCCTGGTTGGATTCCAAAACTTTATTTACAAAACCATGTGGTGGACCAGATTTGACCTTGGGCTATAGTTTGCCAACTTCTGACATACATCATCCAACAAAAAACCAAAAAAAAAAAAAAAAAAAAGGGAGGGAGAGAAAGAGGAAAAGAAGCGGGGAACAGGGGAAGAAGGAAGGGAAGGAGAGATTGAGGAAAAGGTGGAGAGCAAGAATAAACCCAGAAATAAGGCAAGAATGAGACAAAATGCGATATGCTTCCCAGATGGTAAAGAGCTATTCCTAGTGAGTTTCTCTTCAGCAAAGCATTTAGTCCATGCGAAACAAATCTAATTAGAATCCTCCTATTATATTTCACATCTTATTCTCTACATGTAAATCTTCCAAACAGTTTCTCTCTTTTGGCAAATCATTATTTCACATTTATTAAGACAAAGTATGGTTGAAGGGCTCTGTTGCTGGCTTATAACTACAGCCCATCTACAGGTGTCATATTTTATGCACTGAAAAGAGAGTATTGTTCTGCCACTCTCTATGCAGGAACTATGAATGCCTGGAAACAAATGACTTTTGACTGCTGATCAGAACCACACTTTAATCAGTTACTGGTCTGTGATCAATAATTAATCATGCTATTCTGTCTAGGTAATAAATAATGGGGAAAATAGCAATGAATATATAGTTGGCCAGATTCTCCCTCGGGCGAAACAGGAAAGGGCCAGCATGAAAGTCTGCCTGGATAACCTTGTAGATTCTCAATGTGCAGCTTTAGTTGAAATTCTGGGAGGGTTAGGGCTGTTAGTAGGGAAAGGGGATTGTTATTTTCTACCCCTCCTCCTAGGCCCCTCAGGGCTAATAATTCCTACTTGGATCAAATGTCTCTGTGCTAAGACAACTGAAAAGGGGGTCAGGAAGAGCGGTGATGCTATGGGATAGACACAAGACAGTTCCACCATCGAAGGACTTCCTTGGAGGTAGAGGCAATCAGGTGGCAACAGAAGTACAGTCACACCTTGCTTGATGCTGTCATGATTATAGGTCAGAAATTGTGTGTAAGCTGCAACTTTATACAGGTACTTTGAATCCTATGGCAGTGCCCAGGGACTTTTCCATTTAAAAGTTTTATGATGGAATATTTTATAAAGAGTACAGTTGCCTTAGTTTTTGTTGCTGTCTAACAAATTACCACAGATTAAGTGCCTTAAAATAGTATACATTAATTATTTTACAGTTTCTGCAGGTCAGGGGTCTGAGCACATTAGCTCGGTTCTCTACTTAGGGTTTCATGGAGCTGCAATCACGGGGTCAGTGAGGGTGTGAGATTGGGGTCCTCTTTTAAAGTTCACCTGGTCGTTGGCAGAATTCAGTTCCTTGTGGCTGTATGACTGAGAGTCCTGGCTTCTTACTGGCTGTTACCACATGCCCTTACCTTTTTAGCCAACTTTTAAGTAGCGGCATAGGGATGGAGAAAAGATGCATGGAGGGGAATTGCTATCACAGTTCATGTAGATAGTATTCTTCAGTGCTATTAGAGATTATTAAAGAACACTTAAAAGAATTGCTTGAGATTTCTCCCTGAGCAAAAAGTCTAGGTGATAGTTTACATTATGGGATGCCACCCTATCATCATGCTAGATTTATAGGTTCGAGGCTTTTCTCATGCTTTTATAAAAGTATGCTAATGTAGATGGAATCATCCTGCATTTAGATTGCAGCAATATTTTTGATATAAAAGTTATGGTGCTTTTAATGAGACTCTCTAAGTTGTCTTTTATTCTATCTGGGTTAGCATAAGAAAAGCGTCATTTGTACTGTGATATTAGCAAATTGCCCACACAATTTAAATAACCTGCTTTGAGTCAGGTGTTTTCTTTTTATTGAGTTGTTTCTCCTGAAGACTTCAGCCTTCCTACATTTTGAGAACATGCAGCCAACCACATGATTAGCCTTCCTAATAAAGCGTGGCACCTGCCAAGCCTGGGTCTGCCTCTCTTGGTCTAACAGGAGCCTCGCCAGAATAGCCCATACTGGCCTCTCAGGTGCAGCCAGGCCTGCAAATCACCAGTGACACCACTTGAAAGGACAGAAAGAGGCCTCAGACTCTAAAGGACAGAAAGCAGCCTCAGACTCATGGACAAAATGTGGTAAAGAAAATTCTTTAAGACTAATTTTTAGCTATATTGGAAGCAAGTGCATAAAGGAAAAGCAATTTCTTATGTACCTAATAATCATCTCTCTTCCTATCTACTCATCTATCAATATGTTTCCCATCTTCTTTGCTGTAACTCTAAAGGACTCATTCCCAGGTTTTGCAAATAGAAATCTGAACCCTCTTTAAATCTGCCATTTTGGGCCCCAGTTACCTTAGAACTGCACCTTTCACAAACAAGGCTTTTATCAGTTGTTCCCTTTCAATGTGATCATTGAATTAAGGTACAGTGGTCTAAGGGTAGGTTTCCCCAAACCTTGAGAGAAGTGTCTCATGATGGGATTACCCTATTCATATGTCATATTAGACATATGGTCTTTGAAAAGCCAGGGAAGCTGAAAGAGGTCTTAGAGCAGATGTTTGAAATCCATGAAAGCAGCTGAGTAAATGCAACTGCTAAAATGCTCAGCACCCCAACCTCTCCTGTGGGCAAGGGAGCTTCTGAATGGCTGGGAAGCCTCACCAAAATCTCTGAAAAACAAAGGCATTATTTACCTCTTATGAAAGGAACATGACCTTAGATAGGGCAGTATCAAGTCACTTTTACCTCTAAGAAAGGTGAAAAGTTAATAAGAAGCCCTGTTTCACCCCAAACGTTAAATGAGTAAGTATCTACCAGGTACCACCTTCAGCTGATGGGGGACTAGGTAGAAGAAGGCAGGCACACACATGTACACATGTGCTGCACACCACACAGAAGCACCAACATGAGAGAAAGAGACTTGGCTTAGTGGCCACCCTGACTGGCTGCCTTCGCTGAATTGGAGAGGACTTGCAGCCACTTCAGAAGAGGGTACACAGCCAACGCAAACCAAACACAATCTGCTTCTTTGTGAATTGCAAGCAATTCCCAACTGCCTGAGCTAATGGTACAGAGCAGTAGAGCAGATAACCCAATACGGTGGATAATCTCAAAATCATTTTCCATTTGGCTTGTGGAATGAATTAAATGATTTGTTTCAGCTTCAGCAGATTTACCTTCCTAATTATGTTTTTTGTTAGGCTAGAAACATTCAACATTGCAGGATGTTGCCAGGGATTTTTTAAAAGTGCAGCAGATAATGGCCATGTGAGAGATCAGCACAGGGGTCACTGGGGGTCACTGATATCTATTGAGTGCCAAGTATGTGTGAGTCACCGAAAGGGGCAGCAATGATGAAAGACATGTCTCCTGCTATCAGGGCTGTAATGTAGTAAACACCACCAGATCTAGAGTTATAAAAATATACCTTAAAAATATTTGGATATTGCTGGGCACAGTGGCTCATGCTTGTAATCCCAGCACTTTGGGAGGCCAGGACGGGTGGATCACCTGAGGTCAGGAGTTCGAGACCAGCCTGGCCAACATGGTGAAACCTGCTCTCTACTAAAAAAAAAAAAAAATCAGCTGGGTGAGGTGGAGCACACCTGTAGTCCCAGCTCCTCGAGAGGCTAAGGCAGGAGAATCACTTGAACCCAGGAGGCAGCAGTTGCAGTGAACCGAGATTGCACCACTGCACTCCAGCCTGGGTAATAGAGTGAGACTCTGTCTCAAAAAAAGAAAAAAAAAATGGTTATATAAATGGCATGTAGAACACATAAGTTTTCTTTACTTGAGATTTCTCTAGATGTTCTATCAATGTTTGTTGAATAAATGAATGGATGGATGAACAAGGTATATTTGGAAAGAAGCCAAATAAATAGTTCTGACAGTGAGCATTCCTGGAAGGCAAAGAAAAGGCAACTTGCTCTTCACAAGAGTGGTCAGGAAAGGTGTCCCCCTAAACCAGAGGCTCCTAGAAAGCAGGTTGCATGCTCCTCAGGGTTTTGCATAGGTGGAGAACATGTTAGATTCTCTGCCCACCCTGCCCTGCCTTCTTCCCTTGGGTTAATCCTCATTATCTTTTAGGTCTCAACTCAACACTGCCTCCTCAAGGAAATCTTTCCAACCCTGGACCATAGCAGTCCCTAGGAATATGCTTTCCTAATACCCTGTATTTCACTTTCTAAGCGTGTCCCCCAACCTGAAGTAAAAACTTATCTTAGCAATATTTGTGGAAAGTTTGCCTCCTCTGATACAATGTAAGCTGCATGGTGACAGGGACTATAGTCTCTTCTTAATATCACTGTATTTCCAACACTTAAAACAGCACTGGCATAATAAATACTTGTTATGGAACAATGTATCTAACTTAGCACTAAAGTCAGGAAAGAAGTATTTAATTGAGCTCTAAGAAATGGGTAGAAAATACTTAATTGGAGAAAAGAAAAGTAGGAATTCTAGGAAAGGGAGTCTGCCTTTACAGTCATGTAGAGATAAAAATAAATAGGAGGACCTAATGAGATCATTAGTAGCCTGCTTCATTAAATTCTAATAAGGGTTAGAAATTATTTTATAAAACAACAACAAAAATATTAGCTACCATTCATTGTTTCCTATAAGCTATTTTAATGGAATACCTCATCTACTCCCATTGCAAACCTGTGAAATGGCTATTACCCTTATTTTACAAGGAGGACACTGAGGCTTACAGAATTTAAGGTCACTTGGTAAATATATGGTGGAGCCACTATTTGAATCCAAGCATATTTATTGATATGACTCCAAGGCCCATGATTTTAGCCACTATGCAAACAAGGTACTGCATTTTAAAACTGTTTTTTATAAATGATAAAGTGCTTGGCAGCTATAATGTGTGCAGATACAGACACATACAGTCAAACACTCAAAATGACAGACTAGCTGGCTAGCTAGCTAACTAACTAGCTAGGTAACTAACTAAGGAATCCAATTTGTCTCAATAACTAAATACATCTCCATTGTATTTGGTTATGTAAACCTTGTACTGCATGAGTGGAGAAAACCCAAAGTACTTCATTATCTAAAAGACAGAAAATCTGGGTATCTTTGGGCCAAAATAAATGCCCAAATAAATAAGTGACAGTGGAAACAGCCATGCATTTTGTCTCCAACTAACTGGTTTAATGTTGCTGTTGTTTTTTGTTTGTTTTTTTCTTTTCTTTTCTTTTCTTTTCTGCCAAGGCTTAAAGCTACACAACAAATATTAAGATCAATGTGGCCCTTCTCAGTAAGTTCAAGGCTGATTGGTCCAACAAAAAGTGACTATTAGAATAGTATTGATGCAAATGTGAAAACCCCCGTATGGCAAGAAGTGTCAAGGTTTGGTGTGATTCGGTTTTTGTTTTTGTTGTTTTGGTGTAATGAAGTATCCACCTCTAGACTGTAAGCTGCAAGGAGAGAGAGTCCAGGTCTGCTTTTTCACATTTATATCCCTGGTGCCAACACAATACAAAGCACACAACCAGCTCACAATTATGGAATGAAAAACTGAATGTTTAAGATTCAGTTAATTTTAATTGTAAAAGGTTAAAAGGGCATTGAAAGCCCTGGACCCCATATTTATAGTCCTTGTAATTGCCTGTCCTAGAACTAAGAAATACAGGACATTTTAGAAGGCAGTGTCAACTACGTTTGGCTAAATTTGGATTATTTAAAAAAAATTTTAGTCACTGAGAAAGCATTTATCCCACACTGCAATAACAAATAAATATAACAAAAAATGAACTAAATATTTTTTTCCTTCGCAGTCACCTATCTTAGCACCCCACTGATACATCCCAAATGGCAGCTCCTAGACCATCGTTGACTCTCAACTAATATTTCCTATTATTGTTATTAATAGAAATCCATAAGTTTAAATTTTCTCTCAGGGGACCTCAGTGGACTTTCATTTTACAATAATGAGGATTTGAAAATGATTTATTTTAATACATCTCAAAAATACGCTGTTGAAAATAATAAAACTTCTATTTGTTGTAATGATAGCCATTACCTCTCACACAGGTATGCCAGGGCAGAACACAGATTTTTTTTGTGTTTAGCAGATCCTGGAGGTTTTCTAAGAGCTGAGTGCAAACCACAGAAAAACAAATAAGTCACCATCTCAGGAAGCATTCCTCAGATATTCTGGTTTTTCAGACAGGTGGAATTATTCCCTACTAATTTATACACCAATGAAACTGGCCGGTTGGCAAGCCCACAATTAATGTGAATGCCAAGTGGGAAGGCAGCTTTGTTTCATCTCAGAGAACACTTCGCTGAACAGCAGCCTCCCCAGATGAAAATACATGCAATGTCTCTCTCTTTAAACTTGCAGCGGACGCTGGCGTTTCTTCATCTCTATTCACTCTATCATTATGATGCATTATACAATGTAATGATGTAATACATCGGAAAGCCGAAACGTGCGTGCCTTGCCAAAAATAATAATAAGAAAACTATACAATTATTTTCTGCTATGAAAGCCACTATCACTATCATTTCATCCTTCCCCAGCCAAAATGAAAGCTTCCCTAATGGCTCAGAGTCTCTTTATGTTTGTGAATTGAACATGAATGAGAAAAGTAGGAAGTCACCTTGTCTGTACCGAGTCAGAACTTTTAAAAGATGTAAACAAATTTGTCACTGAGCATGGCAGGCTGGCTCTAGGATCTGCTCCAGCCATATTTCCGATGGTGTGATTCCTGGTGTGATTCTAAATGTTACCAAGCCTTTATTTGTTAATAACAAATTTCCTAAAAAGGGTCTGCCTTTTCATGTTTCATTAACATTAACCTACAATCACAAGCCACTGTTCTGGGCAGGAAGCACATTTCAGGGAAAAGTCACCGTCTGCTGGTAGTTGTATTCGTGGCTGATTAAATCAAAAAATCAAAGTAATAAAACCTCAGGAAAAAAGCCAACTAATTGCTACATTTCCCCTCCCCCTTACTGAACGCTATTTTGAGTTACAGGAGCAGAAAATTGTTTTAAGAATCAGATATTTTTAATGCATCATAAGAAAATATTCCCGAAAGATTGCAATATTGAGCAGAATTTTTTTTTTTCATCCAATTCCTCCTGGTTTTTCCCCTCCTTTCTTCCCCTCCCCAAGCGCCCTTCCTGCTCCCATGGATTTTCTGGATAGATTTCTATAGCATATCTAATGCTTTTCTTCATTATTACCAGGGATCAACCCCTTATAAATAGGACCAAACCAAAGGAAGGAAGCTACATCCTTGACCGTCCAGCTTGCTGGCAGGAGCTCTGTCAATTTGGATTGCAGCGATATTTCAAAATGATATTTTCAGCGCTGTTATTATAATCATAATTGGGAAGTGGTTGATTAGATGGAGGCCAGAGACAAATTTTAAGGGAACACAGGGAACTGAGCAGGGGCAGACTGCCGTCCACTGCATTCCGTCTCCAGTTTGGAGAAAACTGCCTTGACAGAGCTCACTCACAAAACCCAGCCACAGATCATAAAGCTCCTAAGTAGGCTGGCCACCCGCTTTATGCTGAAAATTTGTGGGATGCCATTTTTTTTTGCCTGGCAAAATTAGTAGGAATGCTTAACGTAATTAATTTTTATACTAAACACGTGTTGTTGTTTTTTTTTTTAATGTACAATTACCAAACCATCGCAACCACAGCACAGCACAATCAGATGTGCCTGAAAACACATAATTGACATAAAGGACGTGCAGGAAAATAACGTGAAAACATAAAATAAATGGTTATTGCTATTTAAAATCTGCATTTAAAGAGTGGAATTATTCATAATTATGCATTATTAGCTAATAATTGGGTGGAAGCATACAGGGCATATCTTGTTTATTATTGCTGTTGCTGCTATTGTTACTGTTATTATTATTTTCTGTGGAAAATTTTACCAACCTGAGATCGTTTTGAAGAATTCCCAGTGATTACTCAGTGCATACAGTCTGTAGACTGTTTTGCATTATTCACTCACCACCGAAACATAGTCACCTCTGGGGAAGGCCCTAGAAAATCCCAAACATCTCATAAAAACATACCAGCAGGTGTAAGGCATGTTTCTTCAGCCAAAAGAAAGCCAAAGAGGGAAGGAAAGTAAAGAAGGGTAGATGCTTCATGCAGGGAAAAAAAAAAAAAAAAAAAAAGCCTAGAGCAAAAAGCCAAAGTATACTCAGTTACACTGATTCAAGCATTATTCAGCACATCATGCCTTTCTTCATTCTCCCACTTCTTCTCTCCCCGCCAGAAACAAAAGATGGATAAGACACACATGGTGACTAGGTTTTTAGTGCCTATTGATGATCAATAGCTATGTATAATATAAATTGTGTTTGTGTCACAGAGGGTCAACAGACGGCAAGCTTTGCAGAATTCAGCACTTTCAGGCCTCAGGCTTCAACACTCCAGTATGGCAGCCTGATGCTACCCACCTAAGGTCTTTTACTTTGGGGAATGTGTCAAGTGTCCTGTGATCAGACTCCCAGGCGAGCAAGCCACGAAGGCTAAATTACAGTGCAGAAAACAGAAGTGATGTCCTCCAAGAGTTGGAACAACCAGTTGGAAGGTGGAAATTTTCCTGATACAACCAGTTTCTTGGTCGACGTGAGGTGGAATAACTTAAATGATAAATTTTTTGTGTCTTGCCCCACATTTTGGTGTCACATAGATTGTTAAAGGAGCAACATGTGGAAAAGAAAGTGACCAAAGTGGTTACGACAAGAAGAGATAGAGGGCAAAAAAGAATAATTTTGGCTAATTACTCACATCTAAATTTATGTTACACATTAAGAAAAACAGCTTGATAAATCAAATCCATTCACTCCATGTACTTATTAAATAAGTATTGATTGATTGACTACTATATATCCTATGCCATTCTAGGCCCTGGAGATTCAGTGACTAAAACAGACAGAAACTTCTGCCTTCAGAGAGTTGACATCATATGTGTGGTGGGCAGTTGGGGGTTGGAGGGAAAGGCAACAAGCAAATAGTTAAGATCTGTAGTAGGCCAAATGGGTATGTACTTTGAAGACAAATAAAGCCCAGAAAAGAAGACAGAAAGTATGTGCAGAGTGGAAGGTTATGCAACCTTAAGTAAGATGGTCAGTGAAGACATCTCCCAGAGGGCAATATCTGAGTAAAGACTATTGCGATTAAAACTCAGTCGACTATTTGAATGAGCTTTTCTTTTCTTCTTTTTGAACAGAGATGATCAGACTGATCTAACAATCTGTTGAAAACATAACCTTAGTAAATCACTTAAAGAATTCCGGCTGGGAGCAGTGGCTCCCGCCTGTAATCCCAGCACTTTTGAGAGGCCGAGGCAGGCAGATCACGAGGTCAGGAGATCGAGACCATCCTGGCTAACATGGTGAAACCCCGTCTCTACTAAAATACAAAAAATTAGCCGGGTGTGGTGGCGGGCGCCTGTAGTCCCAGCTACTTGGGAGGTTGAGGCAAGAGAATGGCGTGAACCCAGGAGGCAGAGCTTGCAGTGAGCCGAGATCGCACCACTGCACTCCAGCCTGGGTGACAGAGCGAGACTCCGTCTCAAAAACAAAACAAAACAAAACAAACAAACACACACACAAAAAACAAGAATTCCAAGAAAGATTTGCATGGAGTGGAGCCCCTATATAATAATACATGTTCAAGTCGACAGGTTTCCTCTGTATAGAGGAAAACACAAATTTTTACTCACAAATTTTTACTCAGAATAATTCCAGCTGTATTTCTCTCTTTGTTTTAAACACAAATAACTTGGTCTGCACTCAGCAAAGTAAAAAACAACATAAAGCGAAATGGAAAGAAATGAGTAAAACTGTGAGGAGGGATCAGGTCTTTGCAAGGGGACGAATAACCAGTTTGGCCAGATTTATCTTTATGAGCTGTATGCTTTCTAGGCATTTAGACTTAAGAAAGAAGAGCAGTAAGCATATCTATAGTGACCATATTTCCAGAGTCACAATTTAGAACTCATGACCTAATAAAGAATTATTTTTCTGATTTGCGAATTCACTTATATAAAAAGCCTTTCAAATATAAAATGTAAAATCTTTTTGGTTCTCGTTATTTTTAAAAATGCCTTTCTTGAAAAGAATATAGTTATATAACTAAAAATATATAGTTCATTAACACACATACATATCTGTATCAGTAAATATAATATTTGAAAGTCTGAAGTTGGAATAGACTCCAGAAACCCAGAATCTATGGTCCTTGTGCTACACATACCAATGCATATAGTATACATTGATCAAAGTCCACATAATCTATACTACCCTAGTAGAAAATGTACTTCTTTTCAAGGTACACACAGTTCCTGGACTCTTCATATTGTATTTATTTACTTAAATAAGGAATCTTAGTAATAAGTAATAAGATAAGCCTCAGGCTTATCCCTCCTGCCCCACAACACACACACCCAAGCACCCATGCATCCAGCCCGAGTAGGAAGTAGCAGGGATCACTTCCTCACGGAGGCTCTACCCCAACTCAGTGTGGGAGGGATAAAGCCAGTGCTAATGATAAACCAGAAGAATGCAAATCCACTTAAGGTGTTAGGGAAGGAGCCAGCAGGAATACAGGAGGAATCCCAGGAACTGTTGCTCCCCACATCCCAGGGAGCATCTCAGGGCACTTTCTCCCTGAGTACCTAGGCCAAAGAAGGGACTGAGGCAAATGTCCTTCCTCAGTGACAATGTATATGGGATGAAAGAGGGATCCTCCATTACCACCTCTATTTTTGTTGTTGATGATGTTTATTGAGACTTTCTCACAGCCAGACCCTGACTTAGATCAGAATTGTCATGTTGAGGAAGAGAATTACATGTCATACCTAGATTCCCCTGTTGGCCTCTCTCTCCCCTCTGTTACTGTCCTACTTGTACATCCAGGGCCCCTGCTCTCTGCCACCTTTGTTTATCTCTTTCATCAAGGCCTTGCTATCAACTGCTTATGCCTTGGTGTGAATGGAAATTAATGAGCAACTTCCAGGGAAATTTGCAACTAACATCTCTTTTCTATGACTGAAAGAAATAAAAGCACTGCCTCCCATGGCAAGAGTTCCAGGATTCTCTGTGGATGTTGTCCTGGGGTCTAGACATCTTTGAAATATATTTCAACTATTCCACTTGGGCACCCACCTCCAAGTGAACTTGAGATCTGTTTAGCCTTTGACAACTGGGCGGATATTTTCTCAAGATACATAGAAAACAAAGACAGAAATGATTTGCACAAATACACCTGTTCTTTAACCAGAAACACCATCTTCTTTAAATAGTTTTAAAGACAAGTAAAACTAATTTGATATGCACAGAAAGGGTACGTTTTCAGCAGACTGAAAAACATGAAGTTGCTCATTCTTCTCAGACACGTGGCTGCTTCCTGTCTCTGTATCTTACCCCACGCCCTTTGCTCATGATGAGCTTCCATGAAACTGAATGTAATTGATACATTGCTGAGGATTTTCTCACCTAAACTTTCATTGCCTTCTGCTGGTATGCACAGGGCAGGGGTGGGTGGCTAGGGAGAAGTGTAGAGCCATCCTAAGCATTCCCCTTCCCTGGAGAATCTATTCAGTGATGATTTGGAAATGTGGCTTTTTTCACTCAAGCACCTCATGGCTTTGGAGCTTGATTTGATCAAGAATGTTAATTATGCTTCTCTTTAACATGATTTATAGGACATTAGTGACAGCAGGGGAGTGTTTACTCTGTGCAGGTAAGATACCGCAGTCCAGGGGCTGCCTCTGATTTCCATGTAATTAGGAAAATTTGGCCCACACAGGGGCCTAATAAGATTGCCACTCTCTTTCCCTACCAAAAATGCAGAACAAGTCACTATCTTGCACTAACTCATATGTTGCCTCTCCAGTTTCCAGTAATTTTTTTAACTATAAAATTAAAGAAAATCAAAGAAAAATTGCATTCATATGGACATGTCATCTGTGAGTAGCTTTGCACAGGCAAACGGGGTTAGTTGCTAGCAACTACAGGTCTCCTCTAAATTAAAATCAGGTTAATATTTCCTTTCTGCCCTTTGGGCATGAGGTATAAGTTTCCCCCATATATACAAAGCCTTGTTTTGTGTATGAGGGTATATTTGTGTGACCGTGTATGTACATTTCTGTATACTTTATAAATAGACTTGGGGAGGAAGAGCATTGCTTTAATGCCTGTGAAACCAGTCTGTGGAAGGTTCCCTCTTCCATTGGTGAAATGATTAAAAATCTGACATGAAAAGACCTAAGGGCCTAAAGATGGATAATGAACACAGAACTAGTAAAGGTTTACACATTTTTGTGCCTCCCCTGTAACAATCACAGGTGCAGTCATTAAATGGTTACACACTTTTCCTATCTCTCACATATAAGCTCATAGGTAACCACATTTAGATACATCTCTTCCTCCATCTGTGCAAACCTCTTTCAGAAACACAGCCCCTCAATTAAGAGCTTCCGCCAACCTATACTTTTTGTGCCTGTAACATATGCCTTGATGTGGCTTCTAGGAAACTTATGTGCATTTTTATGCTGTTACAGCATCAAGCATCTACACAGTATAAACAAGGATATAACCAGTCTGCAGATAAATTCTGAACCCATTTTAAGGATGCACAGCAAAAGGATTTTACAGTGATTCTGGTGAGAAGGGACAGAAATTACAAAGGAGAAGTAGAAGTCTTCCTTCTTTTTTTTAATCAGAGTGCCTTTGTGTGAGGGTACACCAAGCTTTGACGTGAGCGATGTTTAGGTTTGCGTTGCGAGCAAGAGTAAATTCAGTTTGTGCAACAATCTATATGTGTATGGGAAGAGAATTTTTAAAAATACAATAAAATGTTATCTCTGATTAGAAAAGAAAGATGAATTCTCCTGCTAAACCAGGTAACCCTAAAAGCGTGTTAACATGAAATACTAAATAAAATGCTACTCATCTATAATAAATCTTATTACACATTTTGGCAATTTTACTACTAACATAGTGAAGGTTTCAAGCAATGTTTGAAAATAGAAATCTTAAATTGAATCATTGTTGCATGAATATATGCAAAATATTCATTTCTAGCACTGTGAGGGTTGAGTGCTTTTAAATTGGAGAAATCACTCATGACTTCACCTTTTCATGCAAGATAAAGTTGTATGTGGTAACATCATTACAATGTCATGAAAGGAGTGGAAATCATACAACAGTCCTGCCTAAAGCTAATATACAAAAAAAGGGCTTCAATATTTTTCAATATTGTTCAATATTTAAAGGTGCAGTGCAGGGCTTTAAATATATTTAAGAAAAATCATTAGGCTTTGGATGTCAGTGAGGCCTTTACTGAGCTCAGAGACTAATAAAATCATTGATGAGATCTCTTTAATATTTAACGGAATTCATGTCTTAGGTAGTCGCGTATTTTCCACTCCTGTCTCTGCAGATGGGGCTAAATACAGATTTTTTAAAAAAAGATTTATGAGAAAGTGATTATAGATTTTCTTAACTATAGCACTAAAATAAAACTATTTACTCAATATACTGTCATAACAAGAGAAAAAGCATTATGACATTTTAATAGGATTTCCTATCACTTCTTTAACAGAAGACAGCTTCAAAAGTAGCTGATACATTTACACACACTAACAATCAGGGAATTCAATCAGTGAAAACAAATGAGCAGATTTTCAAATGAGTTGCCGAACCATGAATCATCAATAGAGGGTTAGGAGGATTGTGAGAAACTGTGATTTTAAAAAAATATATTGAGGACAACAATTATTGTTTTGCTCATGGATTTCTTTTTTTTTTTCCTAAACAGTTATTTTTAAAAATTAGGAGCCAAAGTCCAGACTCAAAATTCTATGTCTTGTGTGTGAGCACGCATGTGTATGTGTGTATGCATGCTCACTGAAATGAGAATAGCTCTCCTTCAATTATATTATTTGTGTAGAGTTAATCTCTGGGAGAATATCAGTCTCACTAAGGTAAAGTAAGGCATTCACAGGCTCAACTTTAAACCCTGTTTATGTGTGAAATTGATAGCTCCATTTCTGTTATCAAGTCACCAGTCCAGCACTTTAAAGTCATGGTCTGCAAAATAAAATTGTCTCCCTTTTGAATGCCAACCCCTAAAACCAAATATTCCCATTTATTAAAATAAAAATGTAAATTTATAAATTATCATCCTATTTTTATGTAAAAGCATTCTGGAAAGTACCACATACCATTGTCACATGGCAAACAGCCCTCCCCATCATTGGCTGTTGCTAGGCTACCAGGAAATGGAATGGACCATTGCCAATGATGAATTAACTGATGAGCCAGGATGACAGTAATCTTTGTCACTGGATGCAGTAGCTGTCTGAGCCCTGTCATTTTCTGCATTTCATGTTAAACAGATATACCTAGATTGTAAAACAATACAAAGAAGAATCTGAAAAGAAAGAAGTAAACTTTGACAATCAGAGGGCGGTAGCTTTTTATATAACACACAAGGCTTATTACCTTCCCTGAAGAATGCAATCCAACATTCATTAGCTTTTCTTTTTTAAATTAAAATCTGTGAGCAAATGAAACTTTGTTCTACATCAATAAAGCAGATTCAAAGGGATGCATACTGGGAAGCACTCTGTAATCTGTCTATACAAAGCCAAAACATCCAGCTGTAATATGAAAAAAATCACAAAATAATCAGGATGTTTGGTCCATGATGTTAACCATTGGGATATGTGCATATGTGAGAGTGTCTTTATTTGGTGAATTGTACAGACAAAGATGACTGACCAAATCTTAGTGTTTGGACTTTTTAGACTTTATAGGCACAAATAACTGTAGGGATTGAAATACTCAGTGAATAATGTCATGTCTACACACAACAAAAGATTTTTTCCATCTGGAAGAAACTGACTAATTCAATCACATCGATTTTTTTCATGAATTATCAATGAAAATATTGAAGGGATTAGTGGTTTAGTTCTCCTTGGAGTTTCACCCTCAGACTAGTCATAAACTCTTCCAAGACAGAGGACAGGGACTTAGAGGTTCTGAACAGTTGAGTTCAAGGAAAGATAGAAGTAAAGCAAATGTATGCTTAGAGGTGTGAGCATGCATCATAGCAGGAATTGCTTGGATAGAAGTGGAAAAAATTGCTGGCCCAATGAAGGCAAGCGGGTGTTGAGGACACTAGCACAGTGAGACACTACCAGCCAGGAAATTATACTGCAAACAAACATGGCTTGACCTAAAGCAGGAAGACTGATTTTCATAAGCTACACAAGAAAATCTGCCTTATTATATTTTCAAAGAGTGAGAGGGAAAGAATAAAGAAGGAAGACCCAGCAGTGGAACTTTTGACACTGGGAGTATTTAATGATCAAGATCATAAGGGAGAAATAGTATTGAGGGAGAGGCAACATCAGGTAGAGTCAATTTGGCATTAAAAATGATGTCTTGCCCAACCATTTCTATATCTAGTTTTTTCCCCAAAATAGTCCTGGGGACAAAGCTCCATATCTGGATTGACATTTGTGCTGACACCATATCCCCTCTAGAAATCTGAGGAATGGCACACTAATCAGGTGTCCTTCTCCTGCTTGACTATGCAGTAACTTACTCATTATGAAATGAACTAGTTCTCTTAGATATACAAAGTGGATGTGAGCAGATGAGTGTGAGTTTGCATATGTGTGTGAGTGTGTATGCGTGTGTGTGTGGGTGTGTGTAGTTTCAGTGGTTTTAAGACAAAGGATTTGCCAATGAGAAAGGAACTCTGGGATCTCGTTAGTCCCTGCATTAGTGAAAAGATGAATGGCAAGGGGTTCTTTGGACCTAATACTTCATAGCACTCAAGGCCTGTTCTGCTCTTTTTTAACGTGTGGATTTTTGAAATGATAGATCATAACTATAGGCCCAATGCATGTGAATGTGGATTGTATGCACTTAATATTTCAGGAGAAGTGTATGCAACCTAATCCAATCACTCTTAAAAATGTGGAAAATGGAAATGCATAAAGAAAGCTGCTGGCATAAAAGAGAATAAAGAAGAAATATTGATGAAGCTCTGTATGGATTAGGCAAAATATATTCATGTAGCATTTGAATATATACGTATATGTATATATATATTCTGATATATGTATGTTTATATTCATTTAATATATATGTACACATATACACATGTATGTATACTAGATAATCAATGTATTAAAACAAATCAAATCAGAAAGTTTATGTTTTGAAGTTAAAATAGCGACCTGTCTTCCACTGTGGATTTTTGTTACCTCCTTTGTAAGGATCTAGAGAATTAAAGGAGATCTTTAATGAGATCATAACCAATACCTCAAAAATATTAGCAAATATTGGAGAAGTGTCCTAGCTAGTGAATAAAAGTATTGATTCTGGAGATCTGAGTATCCAGGTATAAATTTCAACTCTGCCACTATTTAACCTCTTAGTCTCAACCAAGTGACTTAACCCCTTCTTGCTCCTGTTTTTTCATTATAAAATAAGGGGGCTGGGTGATAGCAATAGTACTTACTACTGGATGAGTTAATATTATTTTTGAACCACTTATAACAGCACCTGGCACATAATAAGAATGATAGAAGTGTTTGTTAAATAAATATGCATGTGCATGGTATTTGTCCAGGAAGTATTATGAAAGAAGGTTTTGAAATTGTCTTTCTTATAAAAAGCAGAACATTTCATCTTAATGGTTTCATGCTGGTAAACTCTTAACCCACAGCCCAGTGTGGATGTAGGCTGATTCTTGGTCCTTAGTAACTTAGTTCTCTGGACCTAGAGTAGGAAGGTTGCACCCCCTTGGGTCTGCTTCCCTGACACCAGGGTCCTCTCCAACTACCTGTCTCCTGGGAATAAATAGCTAGTCATCTTAGCTGCCCTAGATTGTCCTCCTCATCTTTTTCACTCCAGTTTATGGCTTAGCATTAAGATTTTTGGAAAGAAAGAGAGGCAGAGAAAAAGGGACAGAGAAACTTTTCCCAAAAAACAGTGAGAAACACTGGATGGAATATGTTATGGTGGGTAGGAAAAAAAAAAAAAAAACGGAGAGACCCCGGACCAAGGACAAAAACAAACACAAAAACCATTCAGCCAGCACCTGGCCATAAAATGGCTGAGACTTGAGACAAGGAGGGAAAGGGAGACAGAATAACTCTTGTGAACAAGAAAGCAAAGTCGTGGCGCCGTGGCCACATTGTCCCATTGCATGTCCCACACAACATCTATTCATTCAACCATGTTTACTGAGTACCTGAGAAGATCCCCAAAATGTGATCAAAATATTCAAAAATCCTTGCCCTTATAGAGCTTACACTCCATAGAGGAAGAAGCAACATAAAAAATAACCAAACAAGTAAATTATGTGATGCATTAAGTGATAACAAGGACTAAAGGAGGAAAGAAGACTAGAGGGTTAGGAGTGGATGGGTGCAGCCAGGGGCCTCATATGCCACCAGAGTCTGGCACTACACAGCCCGCAGGGGAAGAGGGTTTGTTCTTAGACCACTTATCTAATCACTTTCTGATTATTAGATTTTTACCCACATTCTCCCATTATGAGCTCTCCTATGACAGCCTCCTGCCTTGCCTCTCCCCTCACATAAAACCACTGGTCTTGTATGGAGAAAGAAAGATAAACCCAGAGTCTTTTGATTCTTGATTCCACCCCGAAGGACCAGATTCTGCTTCTCACATCCTCCCACGGGGATAATTCCTGGAACACAGCATCACAGGAAACCCCGATGCCAAGTTTCTCTTCTCCAGAAGAGCCTTTTGCCTCGGTCTTCCATAGTGCCTATTGTCTGATGAGCTGCTTATTGTCATCTATGGGGCCCCTTTAGCAGAGAAAAAGGCCATTGAAAACACAGATGAGCATTTCCAAACAGGGAAGGAGTGTGCCTCTTCTCTTCCACTCCCCTTCTTCAACAGATTATACACAAGCTTCTTAGCATGCCCTCCACAGTCTCCTTTTAGAGCTTTCTTCTCTTCCTTGGTCTTGTTTCCCATCTTTTTCTCCTTGTCTTCAAAGCCTCATAGTAGTGGATGGTTTGGGATGCCTCATCAGGTTTGAGATGAAAGGACTGAGGAAAAGAATGTAAGTACGGCTGGAAGGGAATGATCACAAAGGGAGGCCACCTGAGCCATGCTGTGAACTTTTTTTTTTTTCTTTTTCTTTTTGAGACAGGGTCTCACTCTGTCTCCCAGGTTGTAGTGCAGTGGTGCAATCACCAATCACTGCTCACCAGAGTCTTGACCTCCAGGGCTCAGATGATCCTCCTACCTCAGCCTCCAGGGTAACTAAGACTGCAGGAACCTACCACCATGCCTGGCTAATTTTTTGTATTTTTTGTAAAGAAGAGGTTTTGCCATGTTGCCCAGGCTGGTCCCAGACTTCTGGGCTCAAGCAAGCTGCCTGCCTCCCAGAGTGCTGGGATTACAGGTGTGAGCCACTGTGTCTGGCATTTGGCCATGCTCTTTATTCACATTTCATGATCTGTGACTCTAGGCAAGTTACTTAACCTCTCTGAATGTCAGTTTCTTCATCTATAAAATTAGGTGAAAATACTACCTCAAAAAAACCTGGTTTTAAGAATTAAATGAATAATCCAGGTTAAGCATTTAGAACAGTGTCTGGTCAATGCTTACTTTAAAATGGAGTTATTTTTGTTGTTGTTTACATGGCCCTGAATGGAAAAAGGACTCAGAATAACAAGCCTTCAAAGGAAAAGAAAATGGAAGCCAGTGGCTCTTTCAAGTGATTTTGTTGCTGTATGATTACAGTCAAGCTTGGGTTCATTACATTTTTATATTTTACCTAGTGGAGCAATTTGATAGTCTGCATGAAAATGGCAATCTTTCAGCATCACCCCAAGGTTAAGTCCCTTAGAGAGACCAAGGACTGAAGCAGTAGGGACAAAATATAATGCTTTTAAATAGTTTTCAGAAGATGGGGAAAACACAAAGGTGTTTTTTGCTAGTACTGTCTTTTCAGCAGAACTAGAACACAGCCTTCAAGCTCCTATAGACATGCCTGACTCCAACTGGAGGGTGAAGCACTTTTAGAGGGAAATCAGCCCCTTATAAGCCCTGAGACACATACTTCAGGGGCCAGCGACCTGTGCAAAAAGCACCTTTTGGAAAAGAAAATATGCAAATAGGATATTAGAAATGGGATCATATTTCTTACCTAATAGGCCATACTGGTCATCCTGTGATGGGCATAATAATTCTGCTTGGAACTTTAAAATGAAAGAAAGAAACTTGGTATCTCAGCCTGTTCAAATACAGATGCTTTCATCTCATGAGAGTGAATTGACTGCCTTAGTACATCTGAAGTCTGGCGAAATAGCGATTGAACTGAGTGAAGGGGTTATGAACGAGCAGACCATAATGGTGCCCCCAGGAGGAGAAGAAGGGGGCCCCAGGTACTGAGAGAAGGTGCCCTCCAATAGGTCTTTCCCCAATTATTGATTATAATATAACCTTTTCTCAGCAAATCAGAGAAATCTACTCAGCATTATTAGAAGTCTCTATTATGATCTAAAAACAGCCTGATAGAAATAGCTATATAGTTAACCGAATATTCAGTGGCCTTCAATATTTTGGAGTGATAATCACAAAGCCAACAATAGCTGGTGGTGACCATGTCTACACATGAAAATCGCATGCATTACAGTGGAGAAAAGTGCTTCTTCAGTGTCTTCTAGAGCAGATAGGAGTGGAAGAATATTTGGCTGAATTCACCTTTTTCTTTTCTCTGGATTCCATCAAATGGATTTGTGTTTGGGAACAGAAATACAAGCTTCCAAGAAACAGTTTGTAATTTCAGCCCAGAAAGAATGAAGATTCTTGTCTTCAGATCTCAGATTAGGTACTTCTGCTTCCCTGGTGCTCTGTAGAAGTATCGCTATCTAAATATGTCCAGTACACAGTTTTCTACATGAGAGTTTTGTTTTTCTCTCTTAAGTGTAGCAACTTAAAATTCATCCTTGTACATAGTCAAGTCCATTTTTTTCCTCCCCATGTAGTCCTTACTACAACTGATACTAGAGATACAAACCCCTCTGCCCTTAATCCTGTTCTTAGGAAACAAGCCCAGTGTTCTGAAAGCAGCAGCCCAGCACACATGACCTCTCCTCTCCCCCTTGTTTCCCCATAACACTGCTTAGATGAGGAGTAGACATGGGTGCTGCAGCAGATTCTTTCTCCCAGGAGTCCTAAACAGGAAAAGCAGAATCTGCATTTCTTTAGCATAAGGAATGTGAGCTGAAAAGTCATATAGATTTGCAGGCTAAGGCCACCATTTGAAAGCAGCCATGATGAGCCATGTATAAACCGGTATGTACACAGAGAAACTCACCTTTAGAGAGAGGAGAATAAACCATAGAAACAACGAGCAGCAGAGAGGAGGGATGATGGGATAAGAGAGAGGAACGAGTAGTTACCCATTTCCCCATTTCTGTGAGGCAAAGCTCAGTATATATGGATTTCATGAATACCCGCGAAACCTTCTAATAACACCTATTCTTTTTAGCTTATTCATGTAGGTTCTCTTCTTTATACCAAATAATTCCTAAAACAAATGGTAAGTAGTATGTAGACACATCATGGCACAGACACTTCAGTATATCTTGTGATGGTTCAAAGGTATCATATTAGAATTTCAGGACATTAGTGTTGGGTAAGTATAGACAACATAGGAGTTCAGAAGATGAAGGACTCATATTACAGAGAAAATTCTATGGCTATCTGTGGGCTAGGCATTGAACAGCTCAGGGAAGGGGTTGTCTTCCCAGTATTATTGCATGAAAAGTTGGCAAGCCTGTCAATGCACGTAGGTACCATAGTGATAAGCGCTACGTAAACCCAGAGAGGGAGATTAAAATCACCAAGGATGATGAATGCTAATTGCTATCTTCATTTGTAGTACAACTGGCTTTAGAGAACAAAGTTAAGTATCCCCTGATCCCTGGAGGCAGCCCTCTAGATGGGACTGAAAGAACATTACAAAGGCCTTTACATAGACGAAGGATGGGGGAAGCATGCTCTTGCCTATCATAAAGGAACTCCTTCTGATTTCCTAATCATCCCGTCAAAAAACAGATGGACGTCTGACATGTGTGCGTAAAATGAATGGATATGCCTGTATGAATATCCATAAGTGAATATGGTATGGATTTAATTGTCAACATTCATTGAACAAACATTTAGAGTATAGGAGATTTCATTCTGCACTCTGCCACTTTATTAGCAGTATGGCTAAGTTTTCCTATCAGTAAAATTGGTATAATAATACCAACTCCATTGAGTAGGTGTGAGGTTTAAATGACATAATTTTAGGTACATAGTAGGTACTGAAAAATGTGCCATGAAATTTTACTACATAGCATGTACTTTTACAGGTTAACTATTAATAAAATCCTAATGTAATTACTTGAATATAATACTAGATGGAACCTTCTTAAAAGAATTCCTTCCTGTGCTATCAAATGTTTCACTCTGATATATTTATTGATATTCACATTACAACATCTACAAAAACCTGGAATGCCTTAAACAAGCAGAATGTAAGGAAAGAGCCTAGGCCTTCCTGCCTACCCACCTACCCATCTACCTAATAGTAAACGGCTTCCACGTTCTTGCCATTATGCAATTGTCTGGAAATACCTGAACCATTGCAAAGTCCATGTGGTTTGAATATCACATGAGTGCTAATCAAACTAACTATATTATGCTAACAAATGATGCCCAACTGGCACTTAATAAGCTCTTCTAATCACCTTTCTACTTTAGGTCATACCGAAATAGTGTCTTCCTGCTTCCTCAGGCCCCTTTGCTGTAACCAGAAACCACTGTCTCACACCTTACTGTATACTATAGATATCATCTCAACACTGCTCCCCTTTCTCACATTTTTCCCACCTTCAACAACTAGCTGTTTTCTACTTTTCCTCTCAAAAACACTACACCAAGATATAAATAATATGATTGACCCTTCTTAAAAAATCCATCCCAATATTTTTTAAAACTAGGAAAAGATGATCATTCTATGCTGAATTGAGCAGTTAACTCAGTCAACATTTTCCCAGTAGCACTCTCTTGCTGTGCACAGACAAAATGAGCCCTCATCACTTCTCTCTCACCCACCTCCCACTCCAGCCTCTCCAAAGACTGTGTATGAGATCATTCCCTAAGGATCTTCCTTCATTAAAAAGGCAACGTGGAGTTTCCAGTAAGAAGCTTCTCTTCGACAGCAGACCAGAATGTTAGCAAGAGAACCCTACAAGATGTGCACACACATATAGCAGTGGTTTAAAGGATAACAGCTTTGCGTTGGGCACAGGTCAGGGAACTTTGGTATGGAGAACAGGTGGGCTACCTGACAACCAGCAGGCAGCCTTGCTTTTGACTACCGCCATTTTAAATCAGGATGTTTGGCAAATCATTAGTGTCTGCTAGTTATTAAACAGAGGAAAGTTCAAAAGCCCACGCATGTTTTTCTCCCAGCTTCCCAGGTGGTAGCTGTTTCAAGCAGCAACCTTTTCACTTTGTGCAGCAAGACTTGTAAACTTCCTGTGGCTAAAACCGTGTTTTCTAACCGGGTGCCTGCAACAGAGCCACAGCCTCACAAGACTTGCAAAACCCATATGTAAATCTCTGTCTAAGGAGTTGCCATTCCCTCTTCTTGCAAGTTTATTGTTGAAATTACTGAAATGTACACAAATGACTGCATTTGAAGGTGAAATTTGGTGGAAAAATAAAGATATAATAGGATTCTTTCTTAAATAATTTCCTGGTGCGATGTCTGTCTAAAAAAATGAAGTAAAATTATATGATGTCAAAAAATCATGTTTCAAAATGATTGACAACATGTGAATGTTTTGCATTGTGAAATGAGGTGGAAAATTTTAATTGCATGATGGGAGGACATAATATTTATTAGAACCTTGTAACTACAGAGGATTGCAATGAAGAGGACACAATTTTAAATTTGGCGTTAATATGTCAAGTCTAAGTCTTAAATGAACATGCAGGAGTAAAATTCTTTATCAAAGCCTTTTCTTAGAGTGTATGATTAAGTTTTCAGATTCTAATAACTAAACAGGATCGACGTGTGGGGCACGTCCACATCCTGACAAAGAGGCTCATTAGTCTGCATTCGTACTCCATGTTGAACAGTGTTACCACACACCACATGCCTAGGTCAGAGAGAAACAGAGTTGATCTCATGCAGGGCTCACAGGAGAGGTGATGGTGTAGCTGGAGGCCTGGGATTGTAAAGAATGCAGAGAATGAGGAAAAGAACTGTAAATGAAACAGAGGGCTGAGAAAAAGATACAGAAAGTATAAGAAACTATATGAGAAAGTGGCAAAACAAAAATCTAGATCCAATTTACCTTTAACTAAACTGTGAATGCAAATGACTCAGCCAAGGGTGGTAAATGGCATCTACATTTGTTGGTCAACTTGTCAGCTTCTAAAACCAGAACAAGCCACAAATGATAAATGTGGCTGAGTTCCTTCTTAATGGCTCCATAACCCTCTATGCCTTGATAAAAGGAAATGAGGACTCTGCTTCCCCACAGGAGAAAAACAGTACTAAGGTCAAGGCAGAAACACATCCTCAGACCCCACCCTCCCATCTGACTCTCCCATACATCAATAGATTTATTGATCAGATTAGGAACCGTAGGTTCACTGGCTTTCCTCCCATCCTGCCCCAAATTCTACCACTCAAAGAAATTTTACCTCTCATTCTATAATAGTTGCAGCAACTAAAACTCAAAAGGGGATTTTTTTTTTTGAGGGAGGAGGCATTGCTGGAGATGCCTAAAACTGCCAGCATCAACAATATTATTAAGATTATAAGAAAAGAGAAACATAAAGAAAAGTTGTTCCTGCCACCAAGCAGGAGAATGATAGGGAAGCATTTTTCTTTCTCCCGCTCTCTGCGATTGATACTGGTGCTGCTTCACATGAATATGGCAAGGACGTAAATCATTGAGTTGGAAATCCTAGAGGGTCAGTGAATGGGTCTGTAACTAGTGGAGCAGAAGAGGTCAGAAATTAAAATGGTTAGCAATGAGCAATAAGAAATCTGAGAAAGGCTTAAAGAGGACTCGGAAATAGATACTTTATGGCCTCTTTCTTGCAGAATTGAAGAGATGAGCTGGGAATAAAAGAACAAAGATTTGGCCAAGAAAATAGAAAGTCACCATCTTGTGATCAATTTTTTTTTCACAGCTCTATGTTTGGTGTTTCCTACTTATCCCAATACCACAGATACTTGAAAACCAAACATCTAATAATATACATACAAACATACCCCTTCTATTACAGTTTTTTGCTTTCCTAGATCTGATTACTGAATGAAAAATTTCTACCTGATACAAACAATATTTTTCATTAAGCCTCTGCATTTATTTGTTAGCCAAAATAATTTTTTTAGTAGTAAGAGTAAATTGTTCCACAAAATTAATACCTCATCTCATGTACATAATGCAAAGCCCAAGATATTTAAAATGCCTCTTTCCCCTCCCAGAGAACAGAATTTAAGTATTATGGATTCAAAACTTCACAGGTTCCTTTATGCAAGCCACTGAAGACTTATCTTCCACCTGCTCATATTGTTTGCCGCATTCCGATCAGAGAGGGAATTTGCGTCTCTGAACCAACAGATATAAAGTGCACGAGAACATCACAAAGTAATTACAAGTTTATGACATCATCTTAATATTACAAGGGAGAGAATGAAAGACCCAAGAGAAACTTGTGATTTCCCTTTTGGGAAAACATTAATGGATGCTTACAATCTGTTTTCTTTTGTTTTGATGTTACAACCAATAATACACTTTTATGTCTATAAATAAAGACTAAAGTTGAATAAATCCAACAAACCCCTGAGCCTGCAGCTTGGAATCTTGATTCACATTCAAGGCCAAGATTTATGAGTCACTTGCAGAGAATAAGTTGAAGCTGCAAGATTTGGGGGGAAATTATTCCACATGGCGATTATTTGGGGGAGTGATTATGCATGCACACCTGATCACGGTGTCACCTGCTCCAGCTCGTCCGACATGATAAAACATGGCAATTTTCTCTATTTCCCTTTGCTTGCACAACAGAAACTGATGTGCACAACCTCACGCCATTCATTTTTAGATGTGCCTTCTTGTCAGAGGCATCCCTCTATTCCCACTTGAGTGCTGACTTCTGGAGGCGTTGTGTGCTGATTTATGTAAATGCCTTGATGACTGGAAAGGGAAATGAGAAACACCAACACTAATGACCAATAGTAGAAAAAACCAGCTTTACAGATAGATATTTCCTATCCTCATATGATGGGCTGTTTTCTCGGACATTTACCACCTCCACCCCCACCATCCACATGCTCACTTTACAAGTTTTAAATTACAGTTGAGGCCATTGGGAAAGTTCTCTTGGGCTTTCTCGCCCAATTCTGCTCTATAGGGATGTCTTCAGAACAGGGAGGGCTTTCTTCTCTTTCGGGAGAGTTCCCTGAGTGTGCTACCTCCCCTTAAATACCTGCAACACTGGCCGTGATGGGGCCTCACCACCTCCCCAGGCAGTTCACTTCAGTGCCTAATTGCCCTTACTGGGAAGAGATTTTTCCTAATGTCTCCTAACCGACATTTTCCCCTTTCCTTAGTTTCAAGCCGTTACTTCTTATTAGACCATTCTCAACTACTGCAAGCAATCCTCTCCTTTCCTTAAAATTATTATTGCTCAAATATTTGTAGACAGTTAGCATAGCCTTCCATCTCGCCAACTCCTTTTCCCGAAAGCTTTAAATGTTATGTTCCTTTAACCTTTCTTTATAGGTCATCTCTTCTAATCTTTTTATCTTTTTTGTCACCCTTCTCTGGGTTCTCTCTAATTTACAGTATTGATGTTCTCTTTATAATGAGGTGCCCCAAACAGTATGCTGTGCTCCATAAGTGGCTGCCAGGAGAGGCATAATTACAGGAACTCCATTTTCCTATAAGCAACACCCCCAGCCCCCACCACCCCTGCCGTATATGCTGTGGGCCTCTGTAGAGCATTTGTCTTTTTCACAGCTGCACTACATTATCTAAATACACTATCAGTCCCAATTCCTTCTCCCATTTGTCTCGTGAAGACACATTCACCTAATCTGGTGTTTTTCTTTTCTTACTATGCATCCCAGTCCCCAAACCAGGATGGTTCACAACTTGAATCCAAAACTCCTTGGTCAATTAAAAAAGAAGGCTGTAACTCCTTCTGTTATCGAGCCTCGGGTTTATAATAAACTAGATACAGGTAATTGTTAGCTGTGACCCTTTTATTTACAACACCATCGGATTGGTTTTATTTTTACAGCATTGTTAGAGATTAAGAGCAAAGCTTCTGTCTTCATCACATTGGCTTTACTGTGGGTTAGGACCTACAGTGCCCCACTTCATTTCCTGAGACCCAAGCAATGAGCACAGAGTCATTTCTAGTAAGTTCTGACTCTGATTAAAAAACAATCTTTATGAAATAGAAGCTAATAAAATTGCTTTCCTAATTACCCTGAGCTAGTTCATTTCCCAGCAAATATAATAAAATAGAGTTACTTGGCTCCGATTCACAAAATCTGAACCCAAGCTCATTATTAAGGCATTTAGCAGGGAAAAAAGCATGTGTGCATAAGATGCTGTCCCATCAAGCAGAATGCAAGAAACCTTTTGAAGTTGAGACCTTTGAAGTTTGAAGTTATTGCTGCATTTTTTTTTAAATGCAGGTATTTCTGCTAGGAAAAAAAATACATTGGAGTCATTTATATTAATGGAGCAGAGTGCCTATACTAGCGTAATCATTGGAAGAGGTTTTTTGTTGAGAACAGCAAATCTTTATTTAAGAAAAATATCTAGATCCTTTTACATTGTACTTGTTAATCTGTGGGGCTATTATACACAGCAGCAAGACTTTTACGCAACAGAATAGAGTAAGTAACTCATGTCCCAAGGCTATTTCTGCCATGACTTATGCCACTCACAAATCTCTTTCATCTATTTAAAGCATGAGATTCTGATGACTATAAATGTATGAAAATGTTTGGGGATTGTTTTATTTTCCTCTAAATGTCCTATTATTCATTAACATGGACATGATTTGCTAATATTTCTAATGCAGTCATGAATACTCCACTAACAGAGGTTTAAAATGCTCCATTCCCAGGGGGAAAAATACAATTACTAAAATTAAGAAGAGCATATCTATTAACTAAAGGGGTGATATTTATATGGCAGAATCAGGTGGCCAAAGAATGAAATCTTTCTTCTGTCTGGCAAGATGACACATCGTGTCATTTTATGTGATGTCGCCAATAGAGTCGCAGCTCTGGGTAACCATCACACTAAAGTAAATACAGCCAGGACTGATTCACAAAAAGAGCCAAGTCCCCATAGCCAGTAATAGGGATGCTAAAGTCTTATTTTCTCTTCTTTGGGTATTTGCCTGAAACCAATCTCTTAGCACTCAGTCTTGCAAATCTGAAATGGGGAAAGAAATTGCCTCTGTCTTCTACCAGGGAGTGCAGCTCTTCTTGGGAAAATTTGTGAAATTCCACCCCCTGGGCAAAAACCATGGCTTTTTGTCAATATGCCCCGGGTGGAAATCTGACATTTCCATAATGATATGACAGATTTCCATCTGGGAAAACTGCCTTCTGTTTTCACAATGAATTTGAAGCAAGAATGAAAAATCTTTCACTTTGTCTATAAAACTATTTAGAAGAAAAATATCTGTATTTCTCCTACCTTGAAATAATAGAGTGGGTATTAAATGACAAAAACCTGTAACTATTTTAAGTTCAATCAAATCATCAGCAATACTTAAAAAGAAAAAGAAGAAGGGAACTACGTGGAGAATAAATCCTTCCGGACAAATTTGTTACTGTTTCTTGATTGTTGCTAGCAGATGAAAGGAGTAATGTGTATCCAGCAATAAGTGAATATGCATAGATGGTATACAGCTGGAATTCAGGAAAAGATTGACAGAGGGCATCAGGAAGTCTATTTTGTGAAACTGGTTCTAATTGATTTGGATGGGAGTATTGTCATATGGATTGAAAATTTGCTGAAAGATGATAAACAAAGGGTAGCAATGAATGGAGAGCAAAGGGGATGACATTGGGGTTAATGTGAGTTTTGATCTCATTTCTTATTTTTCAGAAATGCAACAGGAGAGGAACAACCTGGAAAAATATGGAATACGCAAATGTACTAAATGAAGGGTGCTACAGTTGCCGATGAGAACTGAAAACCTGAATTTTCTTAGAGAAGTGGGAGGTGAGGTCTGTGGAGAAAGGAGAGTATAAACATAAAATGGGCTTAGAGACGCTGGAGCCAGAACATTATAGGGGTAACTATCAAATACACAAAATGATTGAGCAGCTCCCTGGCTTTTGAAAATTCATCCCCTCTGAATAGTTTGAATTGCTGCTTGTTTTGTTTTGTTTGCCAGGGTTAGGGTGGGGTGCATTCTCCCTGGCCCTCCTCTTCTTGAAGCTGTGAAGTCCCTGACTGAGAACCAGGGAATCCAGGGCGGGTTGGGTTTTCTTTTTTCTGTGCAAAGTTAATTATCTCGAACTCTCTGAGAAATTTAGATTTTTCTTTAATCCGTTAAGAAAAACAAATCTTGTATTTTTGTATTTTCTTCCCACCCACTCGAGAAGCCCATGAGCTGCTGTGGTCATTTTTTGTCGTTAATGTGGCTTGTTGACGTTTTTAGTGAAACCTGTAGAGTAAGACTATCCTGGGAGCTTGAAAAGCAACCAACCAATTGAAAGTAAACACAAAAGAGGAGGGAATTTTAGAAAAAAATCAAAGGTGAAAGGAGTGGAGGAACTGATTTGCTCCGAAAGGAAAGTGTGTCCCGATGATTAACACCAGGTCGGCATGCTGAGAGAAAAACGACACAGACGCAGTGAGCGCGCGGCATCCGGTTTGCCGGCACATCCTAATGAGCACGATGGTCAAATGCCCTGGGTTTGCCATATGTTGTGGCCATATGCATATCTGGTGAACCAGATGCCCTGCTTTTTTTTCCCCATATTGCGCCATTTTTCTCACAGCATAAAGACATGGCTTAAGTGAGAAGCAGGAGGGGGTAGGGGGTAGGCAATGATAGCTTGTTATTCCAAAAGGTTGTAGGACAGAAAGCATCGGTAAATCCATCCCTGCTCTAATTCCATTCTCTAATTCCATTCTCAAATATTTGATAAGCACCTACTAGAAGAGTTTAGATCAAATCAGGGTAACAAATTTTTCTTGGGTTATTAAGGAAAGTTTAGAGGTACTCTTTGCAACTGTCATAATTTCTGTCAGAAAGCTCTCTAGTCATTTGGTTAAGAGGATTGGACACAGTTTGCCATTTCTAATGCTCATAAGCAGTCTAAGGATTACCATGGGACCATTTATGCATGGCAATCGTTCAAACTGTTTCCTTCACCTGGGGGACTCTTTCTTTTTTCCATTTCTACTTATTCTTCAATGTTCACTCATTCATTCATTCATTTATTAAGTACTTTTGACTGCCTTCTAAATTCATCTGGCACCATTCAAGACCCTGGGGATACCATAATGAGCAAAAACGACACAGTCTCTACCCTCAAGGAGCTTATAATCTAGTGGCACAGATGTTAATCAAATAATAAAATAATGCATCGTTACAACTGGGAGACATGCCATCAAGGCAAAGTACCAGGAACCATGAAAGTGTGAACTAGGAAGACTAGGCCTAGTCTGGAACAACAAGTATGGGTCAGCTTGATGGCACCTCCTGACAAGGACACCTTTCTGATTCTGCAAGCCCAATATGCACGTGTTTCTCTCTCTCTCTCTCTCTTCCCCTTTCCCCACCCCACCCAACTGACCCCCGTCTCTCTCTCTCTCAGAATCCTATAGCACATTGTTAAGCTCTTAACAGAGTTCATTTGTGTTATTTACAAATTTTCTCTGACTTTCCTAATCCTCAACAACATACTTCACATCACCCACCTTTGCATTCTTAACAGTGCTTTCCCTACTCAATAAATATTAGTTGAAGTGCATTGACATCTCAATGACTCATCAACAGAGAAGAGAAATATGACTAGTATAAAATGTCAGATAATCCAAAAATCTCATGGCTAAATTTTACCATGTCTCAGGCTCACAGCACTACCTTGGTACCTATCAAAGTTTCTGTTCATTTGTCCATGTATCCATCTTCTCCATTAGCATGTGAGTTCTGGAGAGAGGGGATTGGTTCTTCATGAAGGGAGTCAGGTTTAAGCTGAGTTTAGAAGATAAATATATGGACGAGTCTCGTACAGTGTTTGGCACTTAGTGGATTCTTAAGACATGCTTATGAAACAAGTTCCTCAAGATATAAGTGAAATAATTTTCACTCCCAGTTAGGTGTCCTCCCTCTTAATGCTTGCCCTAGGCCTTTTGCCTTCCAAATGCCTCACTGTTTTGGGGCACATAATGGGTAATCAACAGATACTTACTGATTTAGAGGTCGAACCTGGACCTCAGCAGTGCACCACTTCAGGGGACACCATTCTCACTGTGGTCTATGGAAATGGGGCTTCCCTAGAGCACCGTGTAGACTAGTGTGGATAGTGTCCCTGCAGTTGGGAAACACAGAGGCACCAAGTTCAAACTTCTCATCTCACAGAGAAAAAGAGTTAAGGGAACTCCCTCAATTTCAACAAGCTTGTGGCATAAATGCAGTTATTCTTCTGACTCTCCAGTCACTACAACTAGTTGGCTTGTAGGTTTAAAATAAAATTGAATTTAAAATTATTTATTTTGAGCATCTCTTGACTTTCCTTGAAGGGAGTCTAGCCACCCTAGAGTACCAAGACAGTAAGGCTTGGAATGCCTACTTAACTGAATTTCTGTTGTGAACCAGAGTCAACATACTTATAAATCATCCCTATAAGTAGTCCCTTACATGTGGCAATTACCCCAAGACCAGTAGTAAAAAGCCTGATTTTTTTTTCTTTAGCCAAATACCTCCTGAAAAAATAGACAGAGAAATTGACTAAGGAAAATGACTAAAGGCTTGACTTAGGTATGATCCAGATATATTTATATACATTGCTTTTTAGAGACATGATCTACCTATGTTGCCCAGACTGGAATGCAGGAATGCAATGGCTATTCATAGGCATGATCATAGCTCACTGTAACCTCAAACTTTCAGCCTCAAGGGATCCTCCCACCCCTGCCTCCCAAGTAGCTAGGACTACAGGCACATGCCACCATGTCTGGCTTTATATTTATCTTTGTTCATCCCCATCATAGAATCAGCAAACAGAAGGGTATGTACTCAGGTAGCGTAGCAGGTGGCCACTTCAGGTCTCCTCTGAAGTCTTGGGTTTATGAGCAATGGCCTCTGAATAAGATTTCCTACTCAGAATGTGAGAGAAACAATAACCAAAGCCTCAAAACAAAGAGAATGAGTCTATTTACAGAAAAGCACAAGTTGTATAATGTGGTATTTTTTGAATTTTTGAAGGAAACTAAAATTAGAGTAAGTACAATCAGGTTTTCATTCCACCTTAAATCCCCAAGAAGATGTTTCCTTTTCTTCAGGTCTGAGTTCAGGGTGACATCCCAGCCCCATCCCATTAAGCCCAAGTGAAGACACAATCCAGGCCTCTGTGTCTTCTGTTCCCTCCTTCAATCCTGCAAGGAAAAGTTTCCTTAGTGAACAGGACTCTGCAGATCAAGTATTGACCCTACCCTTGGCAGATTCTAAAATGAGGCCTCTGTATATCTATATCCTTCAGGTACTTGCAAAACATGAGAGAGGCCGCATTTGATTTTCAGTAAATGGGTCATTTTTCAATTCCTAATTTAGAAAACTCATTCTTAGTATTTTCCTGCTCTGAGGATCTGGCAGGGGGGTGGATCAGGGGAATGTCAGCAGAAATATGATTCGATAAGTTTAAAAACATACTTAAATTATTGTGTTCTATTTTTTAAGTCCTTCCATGATGCATCTATGTAACTGAGTTGGTTTCTGAACACTTTCATTTGGTTTCTTAATTGGACATTTTACAGATCTTGTGGTACATGTTCAATATGTCTAGGGAGAAAAATCTAACTAGCCAATAACATCAAAATAGGACTGGAACCAGGAGAGAATCTCTTCCACCTGCACTCTTCCTGTTCTACTTTGCTGTACTTTTGTGTGTCTGTGAGTAGGGGTGAGGGGGTGAGGGTAAAAAAGGGTAAAGACCCAGGCTCTACACCAGCAAAATAAATTAGGGAACTGAGGCAGCTAGTGCAATAATTGAGTTCAAAAAAATTGGGTGACCTGAATTTTGCAGACTAAGTCTAATAAGCACTCTTACCTGCTAATGGTTCTATTCTCCATGCCCTTGTCATTTTGGGATTTCTAAGTCAGCTCTCTTTAGACTGAGAGTTTAGGTTTGGGATCAGGTTGTTAACAATGTAGTCATTGCATGTGGAGTAGAAGAAGGGGAAAGAGATGCCTTTCCCTCCATGGACAGAGCCAAGAAATCCAAACAGCCAAAGTGCTGCAAAGAAATAAAGAGGATGTTTCTAATATGGAGCTCGACAAACGCAAATGGCCAGTTTTAGTTATGTTGCCTGTTGGCAGGCAGTACTGGTGCCTAGCATTGTACCAAATGCAGCACATGAGTACACACTGTCACCTGGAGAAAGGAAGTGAAAGCAAGTCAGGGTCCCAGCAGGAAACAGAGTTGTCTCCCGATGATTTGAACAAAGAGACTTTAATGAAGGGGCTGCTAACAGAGGAGTGAGTAGAGTCAAGAAAACAAACAAGGGAGGAGGAATGGGCAGAGAAGCACATAGAGACTTCGGTTAATGGAGGCCCCAGGACTGATGGAACAGGGGTAGGAAATAGTGTCCTGAGACTAGTGAGAGCTGCACCAAGGGAGAGGGACCAGGAAGCAGGAGCTGGAGTGATGCAGAGATGCCACTGCCTTCAGAGGTGTGCCCTTAAGGAAGGGGGAAAGTGGGAACACCCACCTTCTCTTTGCTCCTTCACTCTAGTCCCTGCCAGCATATTCCATTGGCCAAATCCACGCCGGAGCCAGGGTCAGCCTCCTGGGACGCAGAGAAGTGTGTAAAGGATGTAGTATGGATTCGGGGGTGGGAAACAAATGAAGAATAACTGGCTCCATCAGCAACATTCTTTAGATCATGGTACATTGAGCAATGGCTGGTGCTTCCACCTACTTCAGGTGTGCCCCCTACATTTTCTGTCAACCGTGTCTACATGACCCTCATCCAGCACTGTGCCAGCTCCACATCCAGCCTTCACAGTCTCCTCCTTATTCCATGTCTCTCCTTCAAAAGCCAGTCTTTGTCAAGCCTCGTCTGACCTATTGTCCTCTCTTAAGTCTCAATTCTCCTTACTCTCATAGCTCTTAGCAAACTATAAAGCCTGCTATGAGCAGTTGATAATTATTCACTAATTCTGTATTTTTTATTCACCAAATGATTAGTTATTGAGATTTATTAGGTACCAGGCATTATACTCCCTGCTGAGGACACAATGGTGTGTAAAAAGGACAGACTGCCTCCCCTCTGGAGCTTTCAGTCAAGTAAGATAAAGAATGGTGAATGGAATCATCATAAAAATACACGTGACTGCAAACTTTCTTGAGTGCTATAAATAAAAAGTGCAAAGTGCCTTAAGACTGTATGGCAGGCAGTCTGTAGGTTGTGAATGACTTTCTGAAAGAGTGAGGCCTGATTTGAGAGGGGAACGCTGAATCACTGAGTTAGAATTCACTAGACAAATGAAAGGTTGGGGAAGAGATGGAGAGTGGGGCTGCCAGTGGAAATAGCACGTGCAAAGACCCTGAGGTAGGCAGAGTTGTGTTGTTTTTTGATGAACTAATGGGAGACCCATGGGGTGGGCCCTGGCAAGCCAGGCAGAGCCAGCTCAGTAAAGCAGGAGCCCCACTTGAACAGAACCATGGCCATATTTGACCAAACTTCTAGAAACTTAAAGTTCTGCAGAGAATAAACATAAGGCTTCAGCCTTTTTAAATGCAATCCATGTTTCACCACTGAAGCCTTATAAAGATCACATTAATTCTCTCCAAATCGCCTTTCCAACAGTCATTGATTTGCTGAATTTTGTTAAACAGCCCATTTCCCAAGGCAGAGAAAATATTGAATCGACAGGTCTCTGAGATATAGTATTCTGTGAGCTCCTTATATTACCTGATTATCCAAATAACTGGGAGTCCAAAGGACTGAAGTTGTTTGAAAGAATAATTAAGAATTTAATCTTACTGTGTTTTCCTTATCTAGTTTTTATTTGTTTGCTTGTGGGCTCTTTTGGTTAGTTTGGTTTAAAGTTTGTTTCTGCATTTAATCATGAAACAAATTTTGTAAATGAGGCACAGGAGTGAGACGTAGTGGACTTTTGAAAGGTATCAGGGATAAGTAAGGGAAGATAAGAGTAGTGGATGATACACTCTTGTTCACTGCCTTGTTTTCCCTGAGCTCCAAAGATCACAGTCAACTTCTCAAACCAAAGCTGTTTATTACCTCATACTCCCTCTGCTGGTCTCAGGCTCTCAGAACCCAGGTGTTTAGAGAGGTGAGTCTCTCCAAATTCTGCCCACACCTTTCCGGCACTTCCAGGAGGCCTCCCTACCCTAATCCTCAACGTCGAGTACCTAGAAAACTGGAATTCTCCTTTCTCTGAACCCCCGAAGGTGGGCTGTCTTTGCCACTTGATGTAGCACTTAATTGCAAATCCTCTGTGCTCTCTTTTTAAAACAAATATCTCCCCTTTGACCAGTTCATAAGTTTCTCCAGGTCACTTACCATAGCTCAGGCTTTTCCCGAACCCGAAAAAACCCAGCTCAAAACTGGACAAAATCGTGGTGAGTTAACCATAAAAATGAATGATGTGGTGAGTCTGAAAAAAATTAGCAATTGAGAATAAAAAGCATAGCCATGTCCAACCTTTTTAAAAAGAAGACATAACAGATAACATATTGTACAATTATCTTTGTCTTCAGATGTTCAATTAACATCTCTAGGCTAACAATTTTTTTTAGCTGGAAAAGACATTCCATTCTTCCTTCTCCTCCCTTTCAGGTACTTTTTCCTACTTCTAATGGAAAGACTCAAAACTTTTTGATCAAGAGCGTATATATAAACACAGCATGCACGCATATACATGCATGCCTGCACACACATATGCACACACACACACACACACACCCCTCTAAACTCTTTTTTCCTTTAAAAGGCAAAGCTCCTTTTAAACATAATGAACATTCCATGTCCAGGAGAAGACCACAGCAGCACACCAGACCAGCCAGATGGAATGGGCTCCCATTTCTCTGGGGTGGAGCCCCTTCATGCTTTCTGTCCTCACCCCAACACCTCAGGTTATGGTTTCTTTTTTGCTGATACAAGCTCTGGAGGTGTCCCCATGGAGACATAAAGAGGCTTCTGGTTTCTACTTAATAAGGAAACCTGAAAATATACAAGACCCTAAATGCATGGCCTCTGAGAGAATTTTCCCATGGGCCACATCCAGGTGTAAGAAATAATTAGGAAGGGTACAACTGTACTTGTATTAAATTTGATATTACATTTACATGCGTGCAAAACACTGGCCCATTCTCAGCCCAACTTTTTAAATTATGTCTGTTTGTTTTTCTTTTTCACCTATACAATGCTAATGCAATGGTTTTGTGCTCTGTACTTTACTGAGTTTGTTCACATCATTTTTTTGCTTGATCTTCAAAATATCCTTGGACAGCAGGCATGTGAAAGACGATAAGTGGCTTGCCCAAGGTCATATAGCTCATTAGTGGCACCACCAAGGCTAGAATATTAATAGTCATCTTTACCCAACTGCCTATCTTAATGCATATCTCTAATGCCAGAAATATAAATTACAAAGTATGGGACAGCTGAGTCAAGGAGAGAATATATCCAAGCCTTTCGAGAGCCAACAATACCCCTTGCAAACATCCAAATCATCACTAAGCTTCATGGTTAGAATCCCTTTCCAATTGGAGTGTTCCTATCCTCGTGGCACGAATCACGGTACTTTCTATTTTTCTGATTTTCCAAAAGAACTGAAAAAGGAAGGGATGCTTATAAAGTACTTGGAAAGCCCTAAGTCATAAGTGCCATGCTAATGATGTCAGCATCCATTGCAAGGTAGACTGTTTTATATCAAGCAATTGTAAATACTGGTGGCATCTGTAATCTCCAACAAGAGCAACTTATGGGTTCTGTTCTCAACTTTGATTTTGACTTGTTTCTGGGCCAGTAACTTAGATCCCTACCCTTACCTTAATGCACTTTTTATAGTTTAATTTCCTTTATGTGGCACTGTTTGGAGTTGGAATTTTTTTTAAAGCTATATGACTCAATTGAAATCAGATTTTCCGTAAAGAAATCAAGCAGATCACAGAGGCGTCCAATCTGAAAACTCTGCCCCATCGCCTGTGGTCATTCCACAGAGAATCATATTTCCCCTTTTTACCCTTTTGTGTATACCTGAATGATTTGTTTGCCTCAGCTTTACGATGCTGCAGTACTGGGGTTGATGAATAAAGCCTCCTGAAAACACATAGAATGTACCAGTATCACCCACAAAAGCTTTGTAGGTGGGACATTTATTTCAGTCTCTATTTAGTCCTTTCTGGTAATACTGGCTCTCCTTCCTTCCATGATTAGGGCTGCCGAAATATGAACATAGACAGAGGAACCTCTAAGGAATCTGTTCATTGCACACAGGGCCAGCATGCAGTACTTATGAAGTGGCTATAGTGCCTCTTTCCCAGTGATTTCTCTGATGTGGCCATAGCATGAAATTCTCAGGAAGAGCTTCATTTTTGGAAAGAGGACGAGGCAGAGAGAACCCCCAGAGAAGGTGATCAGGAAGAAGAGAAAGCGCAGAGGGAACAATAGGTCCTGCCTCTTCCTACCTAACTGACCTTGGGAAAATTACTTAATCTCTATGGGATTATCTCTTTTCTTTTCATCTGTAAAGTGGGAAATACTCTAGAAACCACCTCATAGCATTTCTGTGTGTATCGAATGAATAACATATAAGCAGAGAACCTAGGGTTCTGTGGGGTGCCCAAGCTAGCTTTGGCAATGATAATGCTACTGCAGGGGCAGCTCCAGGACCACAACTGGTTGGGGAAGCAATGGAGAAGATCAATATAGAGAGGCAAGAGCATGCCAGGGACAAGCTCTGCTTCCATGACATTGCCTAGGGGGAGCTCTGGGTATGCTCGGCTCTCAGTGATGAATTAATGAGTTAATGAGATCAGACATGCTGTATATACACCATGTTCCTTTTTCTTTAAAGGTTCCATGAGTGGACCAAGGCTGGTGGAAAAAAAATTTTTTCTAATATCATTTGCAGTAAATGTCTACCATGCTGTACATTCAGTTATTTCAAGGGGAAGGAAAGAGCTGTAAGACAATAGATAAGTTATGGATTAACAAGTGAGAAGTTTATGTTATTTTTCCTTGAGTAAGATACCTGTATTTACTGCATCATTTTAAGAAATCCTGTCTCTGGGATAAAAATGTCTTGGCTCTTGAGTTGGAAATGAGGAGAGGGTATGAGGAGGAGTGAGAATTCTTAGAATTAATCTTATTTAAAGAACAAAGCCATGTTTAATTGCTCTTATTATTTTTGAATGAAGATCCTCACAAATCTTTCAGTGACTCATTGATGGTTACAGATATTGCTATGAATTTTCTGCATATGTGCAAGTTTCAGGAGAACACAAAAAATTCAAAAGGTACAATGCCCTTTCTCCTCTCCTCCATCTCCATTTTTAAAAAAATCCCTAGGCTGAAGATACAATAAATTGTACCTATTATACAGAAAAGGGACATTTTATTTTAACTTTTGTTTGTCTTTTTTAGAGTCGAATTGCACTACTGTACTTTAAAATCTGGCAACAGGTTTCTGATACTCGATATAACAACCTCAGTATATTAATTAGCTTTCAAGACCCCTAAGTAATGAAAATCTAGTCACTCAAGGTCACAGTTTGACTTATTTACAATTGACAAATAACTTGGCAAACTCTGCACTGAGCCACTCCATACAATAGAAAATATATTGTCACTCAACTTAACAAAAGAATCTTTCTTTGCCATCTCACTACAATGGCCCTGCAAATGAACATCGCCTGAATAAGATCCTAACCACATTTTCACTCTCATTAACCACAGTAGGGTAGCACACAATTTGCCTGGCTCCTGCTTAGACCACTGTGCACCATTTTAGTAGCAGCAGTTTGATGGGTTTTATGGCAGGTGATATATGGAGTGGGAGTTTCGGGAGTCGTAAACAGAAGGCACTGTGTATCACAATGTGGTTTAGGGATATAATGACTGTGTTGTAAAGCAAGGGATGACAATACTGCACTAGGCTTGGGGTACTGAACCAATAGACCAAACAGCTCAACATAACTCAAGTAAGAATGAAAAAATCCTAGGAAGGAGTGTGTGTGTGTGTCTCTGTGTGTGTGCGTGCCTTCTTCTAGCTTTCATTAATTACTTCTGATGAATTTGAATAAGAGATACTAAAACTGAAATAAATCTGCGTCTCTCTGGGAAAATACAACATTTCTCTTTCCTTCTAGAGCAATCTATTTCTGCCTCCTCTGTCCAACCCTTAACCACTTTCATTGGCAGAATAATTAGGTAAACAGCTAGTCCTGGTACAAGGAAAAAAATAGTAGAAATTTAGGAAGATTGATGCAGAGGAGAAAATATTACCAAAATAAACTTTCTTTCCTTTCTAGGAGAACTCATCTCCTATGGCAGGGAGTCAAATTATGTCTGACCTAACAGCTACCCCTTCTGACCAGAGAGCAGAAAGAGTTTGCAGGGTTGTAGCCAGTCTCAGGGTCCCCACTACTGACATCCCTGGGTGTCCTGGATCTGATTGTCTCTAAGTCACTTGAAGTCACTGTCCCCCGGAAGACTCTGGCGTCCACCAAAAAGAGAAGAGCAACATGTGATCTTCAAAGAAAACAATGTTGGACCCACAAATGAGGACTTGTGGCTACTCACTTGCTGTGTGACCTTGGCCATCTCAAGAAACTTCTCTGAGTTTCCCTTTCCTTTTGGCATACTATCCTATCTTCCTGACTTATGGTGGCAATCACACCAGGTAGTAGTTTGCAATTGGAAAGCAATAAGCCAGTATAAATCATCATTCTTATCATCATCATGTCATCACCATCAGTATCACAGCAGCATAATGTGCGGAGATATTATTATGTGTTTTGTTCTAACTGTATTTCCCCCTCCTTGGTTCCCAATGAGTAGCCAAGTCCTTTGCATTCCTCACTTTAGAGGAGGATTTTAAAAGTTGAAAGTAGAAGTTGCCTGCAGAGAAGTCCCTACCAGGCTTTTTCTTCTAAAAGTTTGCACTCCTTGAAGCACAGGGAAAGAAAAAAATGCCTTTGAATTTGGAGATTCCCCAAGACTGAGAAGGTGGCCTGTAGGTTTAGAGAGAAGTTAGAATCTAGGTCGCTTGCAATGCCATGCAGAGGCTATAGGCCTCTGGGCTGGGTGTTGGCATAATGAAATTAAAGAGGCTTAGCCTAGACAGGAAGGCCCCCAGCCTTGGCAAAAGCATGGTGCTGAGGAAGCACTGCATTCACGAGTTCAAGGAGCCAATGCAGATTAGGGTGAGCAGCACCCAGGGTGGACTGATACCAGAGGGCCTCAGGAACTGTCTTCACCCCTACCCTTTACCAAAAAGAGTGAGGCAGCATTTCTCATCGACCTGAGCTAAACAGACTTAATTGATTTAAATAAAATAATGTCACACATCTGCATTTGTGGCACACCTCAGACCTACTTTGCTATAACCTTGGATAATTGGATCAAGATGGGCAGTAGACATCAACCAAGGTTTAAATTATATAGTACTAGTCCACAGTAACACTCCCATCTTTATTTAGTTCACATTTGCAAATTACTCCTTTGAAGATTTGACACAACTGAGGACACTCAAAAATAATACACCACGCCCTCAGGAAATCCCAAAAAGGAATTACAAGAACAAAGACAGCACCTCTAGAAAGAGTTCCAGCCTCCCAGGGGAAGCGCTAGGAGAACACCTTCCTTTGAAATGCTGAAGTTCCAATGCACTTTTAAAAAAATCCCCCTAGCATTCCCTCATCCACATCCACCCTTTTTATTTGCAGGACCAGAATGGAGACAGGTCCTGCTGCACCTCAGCCCACCCTGAGGCTCATGTCCTGATGCCAGACTCCAGCCAGGCATGTAGCACAGTCTATGTGGGTCTGCTGAAGCTGTCACTTCATTTCCTCCTTTCTCCTTAACAAGGAAATGACTGACCCACGTGTACCACATATCTATTTATCAGCAGATCATAAGCCCAGTCTTCTGAGATCTTGTGACAGGTCCCATTAGCTATGAGCTACGCAATAATGTGTGTAATCAGTTGTTAATGGCAATATGCTATTCTGTGATAACTGGGCCATTAGTGAGTGTCAGTGCTACCTCAAGCAGGCAGTCCTCCATCTGACTGATACCTGGCTTTAGGGATGCTGAATGCTCATTTCCATTTGTGATGATTCTCCTGCAGGTAAGGGGTAGGGTGAGTGTCTTCCTAAATTACCCATTCTGGATACCTCGTGCCCCTTTAAAATTTCTGTTTCAGACCTCTATAGTAAAAAGACTCTTGGGAATTTGGGTTATAAGTAGAAATAATATACCATTTGAAATGATATACAAAGTCCAAAAGCAAATACACAGGTCCCTCTGACCCTCAAGGTACCTTCAGTCACAACAAGATAACCAACACTTTGGGAACAATGCTAAAATTCCAAGTCCTCCTAAAGGCAGATCTTCTCAATACCATTCCACATAAAAATGCCTTATAAGGGTTTAGCTATAGAAGTTTCTTTTTCTTTCTTTCTTTATTTTTCTTTCTTTTTTTTTTTTTTTTTTTTTGGCTATGGAGAAACTGGAAACTTCAACAAGAAGTCACAGAGTTTACAGTTACACACACACACACATACTCTACACTTCTCTACCACCCAAAACTTGGGTCAGATTCTCCGTGCTCATTTCAAAACTTCCTCGGCTTCCTTTATATATGCTTTCCATCTCATTTCATTTAAGAACCAAGGGCAAAAAGTTCCAAAATCCTCAGGCACATGGGAAATGTGCAAAACTCCACCTTAGTACATTTTCCTTTCATGCTCACCACAAAACCTGTGCCCATCACCCAAACAGAGCAGGCTCCAACCTCAGCCTAAACTCAGTGGCTTTGGAAGTGTTTGCTAGCCTAGAACTTCATAGGTCAGAATTTGATTTATTTGGGAAAGGAAGATTTCACTGAACCTAGAAATCTGTCAGCCATATCCAGCCGATGCCCAGGTGATTTACATCCATGCAACAGCCCAGCACTGCCTAACAAAGGCCCTCGAGTTTTTACTGCTGCTTCCATAAAAAGGAAATTTAGCACTAAGGACTTGCCAAAGGGTCATCACATGTTGTTGGAGAGAAATAAAGAATGAGATGTTTGTAAAGTGCAGGGAGAAAGTATAAGGTTCAGCTTACACAATCCCTCCAGTTCTGGCTGCCAGGAAACCGGGGCCTGGGTCTATCCTTTCCAAAAATGCCACTTCCTCAGAGTCACTGAGGAAACAGAGGTACACCCAGGCCTTGGAGGGGTAATTCCTTACCAATCTTAGCATCCTAGGGAAATGACAACAACCCTGGTCCAATCTCACCCCAGAAGAGAAAGCTTGGGTTTGGCGTGTCAAAACATGGCAGGAGTGGGATGGAGAGGCTAAACTTCTGATCATGAATGGCCTAAAACATCAAGATACAGTGTTCAAGTTCCTCTCCCAAGGAGAGGTCCTATACCAACCTCAATGGATACTGGACATCCCAGCACAACTGTGTAACAGTAAAATGGTAGAGAAGATGAGAATGTGGGGAATTGCTTCTCCCTGGGCAGCACTTCAGGGACTCATTCATTCAGGGAAAAACTCTCAGGGTCCACTAAATGCAACACTCTGCACTGAGGATGCAGAGATGAACCAACCGAATGCCACCTCTACACTCCCAAACCCTGTAGAAGAATGAAGACCCCTCCTGACTTGAGGGGTTAGCCCAAGGGATGGGTCTGTTTAGGGAAAATCTGAGCCATGCCCAGATAAGAGGACTGAGCTGTTGATGCCTCCTGATGAGCCAGTACTGTTATACAATCCCATGCCCTGATTCTGCTGTAGTCTCTGCTGTTCATTAATGTGCCCATTCACTCATGCATGCATGCATTTAGTCAGTCAATGAATACTTATTTGGCGCCTAGTATATTCTAAACAGCATATTATACTCTAGAGATATAATGTCGAGCAAATGAAAACATGATTCTTGCTTTAATAGAGCTTATTAACCAATGATTTGCAAGTAAATAAGGAATTTCAACTTTGTAAGTGCCACAGTGGAGAAACCGATGGTGCTCTACAAGGGCCTAAAACAGAAAGGGAAGACTGACCTGATCAGGAGATTGGGAATAATTTCCCTGATGCTTGACTTGTGATTGGGAGGATGAACTGTTAGGTAGATCAAAGGAGGGGGAAGAGTGCCCCAGGCAAAGGCAACAGCAGTCACAAGAGCTGGGTGCATTGTGCTGGGGACTAGGGACTGAAGGAAGGCCAGTGATGCTGAAGCACAGCACAGAGATCCTGGCAAAAGACATGGCAGTAGGACATGTAGAGTTTGGCCACACTCAATAAGGAATTTCAGTTTTGTCCTAAGAATCATGAAAAGTTTTTTGGGCTGACATATGATCATATTGATTTTTTTAAAAGTCCCTCTGGATGCAGGATGAAAAAAAAGAAAGGATGGAAGCAGTATGAAAGCAGAGATATCACTTTGGGGTCTTTTCCAGTCCAAGCAAAAGATGATTTGGGGTGGTGAAGTGTGGAGCTGAAGGTGGAAATGAAGAAAAAAGTAAATGCTTTGAGAGGTAAAAGCAAGGATTGGAATACATGGAGTGACAGGTTGTCGAAATGACCTCTAGATTTTTGGTTTGATTTCCTGGAAAGACAGCTGGCCAAACCACAGTCTACCTTGTGGTCATGATCTGTGTTCACCACCACGTCTCGGCTTGCCTGACCCTTTTTCAACCTGTCTCTGCTCAGTTTCTTGCCTTCAACCTCAGCAATGAACTCATTGGTCTCAATCTCAACTCACTGGAGCAGGTGTTCTTCTGATGCTCTTCAGTGATTCACCTGGCTGCACATACCATGATGTCTGCAGGCCTCTTGCTTGGGTTCTGTGAGCATCTCTCATCACCACCTCTCCTCTCCCACCTCGACTTCAACTGACCAGATCTCTCCAGCTTGAGTTGCTCTACAATTGCCCCCTACCATCTTGGCCTATGACAGAAGGAAAGATGCTCATCCCTGGCTACTTGCAAAGCCTTATCCTTGGTAGATAATATTGTGCTTTCAGGGCTGGGCAAAATTGAGTTACCTCTCACTTACACAGTAATGGAGGAATCGGTAATGACACTATTCATTGAACTACTGTTTACTGAATTTATGTACTGTGCATAGTTTAAACATTTTTAACTTCACAATAATGCCATGAAGAAAATATTATTACTCCTGTTTACAGATGAGGAAACTGAGGCACAAATAAGTGATTAGCCCAAGGTCACATGGCTAATAATGGAAAAAGTGAGTTTCAGCCCAGGCAGTCTGACTCTGAAGCTATTTCTCTTAGTCAGTATCCTCTAGTGCTTGAGACAGATTCCAATCTGCCTGACGCATGTGCTCAGGCACTCCCATACTCTCAAGGCTGGCTATAGGTCTTGAACCCCTCTGGGTCCAGCCATATTACCATAGTTACAAAACAGGAATCATCAAGTGACTCCCAGAAATAAAGCCTTTCATGTGCAGAATCAAAAGTTGAGAGTCTTTTGTTTCTAATTAATTTCTACTGTCCTCGGATATCAGCCTTTGCTATGGTTATCTCTAACTTTCTTTGGGAAACTCGATCTCATTAGTAAGGGGGGCTATGAAATAATGTGAAGCTGTTTGTTTCTCACACTAAATAACCTCACACGATTGCACATTTTAGTTGGCTTATCTATTTATTGACTCCCTCTCACCCTCACCTCTTAGTTTTCACACCTCAAGGCTACCACCCACTGTATTTCTCAAAACTTCCTTTCCCTCGTGGAATTCACTGATATTAATCTGTTGTTCCCAATTGGAAAAAATTAGGAGATTTTCCAGGAAGAAACATACTACTCTGAATAAGAGGACAGCTGCCTTCTTTGTTGTATTTTGTATTTTGTATAATAAATCATGTCAAATTGGGGTAGTTCTCCACTCCAACAGTATAAAATGCATAAGCTTGAGGACATCTAGTCATCTTGCATATTAGGTTATTTTTAATATTAATAAAAATGGCAAATACTTATTTCACATTCTACAATATGCTAGACATTTTGATGGGCACTTTGTAGTCACTGACTTAATTATTGTAACAACCCTATTTTCTAGATATAATTAATATTATTTTATAAACAAGGAACACTTAAAAATTGGAAGAACTTTATGGAGTAACAGAGATCTGGATATGCTCATAGGCCAATCAAATGACAATTGAGACTAATTTGGAAGCTATATTAGCTAGATTGTAGGATTCAGCAAATAAGTGAGTATGTTAATGTTATTAGGAACCCATATCTTTAATATAAGAATAAAAGAATGACATAAATAAAATCAAATAAGTTAATTAAAAACTTGTAAGCTTACATCTGAATGATACAGCTAGATAGATAGACAGATTCACAGACACGGCTGAAAAGCAATGATGGCTCAAAAGATGAACATCCCCAGAACTCAGATCTACTTATGAACCCAACTGTTTAAAAATAGAACCAGAGTTCCTTAGAGAAATTATAATATATTATAATATAATATAATATAAATATATTGTAATATAATATAAATAATATATATTTATATATAAATATATAGTAAATATTATACTATAAATTATACTATATAGTATATAATACTAATAGATTTTTATTATACTATTAGTATACTATATATCATATGTTATATAGTATATATACTATATATTATATATAATCTATACATATACTACATATAATCTATATATACAGTATATATAATATATAATATATAATAAAGCATATATATTATCTATTATATATATTGTATATATAATATAGATATATACTAGGAGTAAGTCGGATATTTCTCAGTTACAGAAATCTAAAGAAACATCATTACCAAATGCAATGCATAAACCTTGATTGAATCCTGGTACCAAAATTTTACTAGCTATAAATAACACCTTGGAAGCTTAAGGAATTATTCTAAGATATGGTAATGGTAATATGATTATTTAAAAGGACATTCTCATTTTTAGGAGGTACATTCAGAAGTATTTAGAGTGAAGTGTCATGACATCTGCAACTTACTTTCAATTAATTTAGTAAATATATGTGTGTGTCTGTGTGTGTGTGTGTGTGGTGTGTGTGTGTGTTTCTGTAGATATTTACAGATAGGGCAAGTAACGATTTTTGAAACTTTGTGGTCACTGTACAATTCTTCCAACTTTTCTATATGCTTGAAAATGTTCATAATAAAAAGATAGGGGAAAACTCTTCCTCAGATCTCACCCCAAAGCAACCTGACAAGTCAGTCTGCTTCCAACGGTGGTCTTATCTCTAAAATAACATGATCAACTCTCTGAAAGACTGGAGAGAGTTATTATGGTACCACTAAGGATTGGGCATAGTTGAAGAAAAACTTTCTTATACAACAGCAAGAAAGTATTTGTAGCATGAATTTAAAAAGTGTAATCTGAATATTGCCTAAGCTTCAAGTTTATAGGCTCTAAATTAAGATGCTCTAGGTTTGTCCCTAATTCTACAGGCACAGTATCCACCACCTGCCAGGTACTCACTTGCAGTTGTCAAAGTGAATGTATGTACTGGGGACAAGAGGAGATAAGAGATTTCCCATATCATTAAATCAGCTGTGTATCCCTTAGCTTTAAAAAACATAGTGAATGGATGAATGCTTAAGAATGCATGGCTATGTAATATAATGACTCCTCTCTCATTTATAAAACCATGATGGTATGATTGATTTTATTAGTCAAAAGTACCCTTTCCTTCCCCTGTCATGTGACTTGCTGTGCCTCTCAGCAAGCAGAGAATGCTTCCCTGACCCACTATCAGGCTTGGCCATGATTTCCTTTGGCCAGTGGCATCTGCATGCATGTGATATACATAACATCCAAGCAGTTACAGAAATCTAAAGAAACATCATAAACAAATGCAATATATAAACCTTGATTGAATGCTGGTACCAAAACTTAACTAGCTATAAATGACACCTTGGAAGCTTAAGGTATGGTAATGGCAATATGATTATTTAAAAGACTGTTCTCATTTTTAAGAGGTGCATTCAGAAGTATTTAGGGTGAAGTGTCATAACGTCTGCACCTTATTTTCAAATGATTCAGTAAATATATGTGTGTGTCTAAATGGGTGTGTGTTTGAAAGTTATTACAAAGTTCAGCTGGTCTTGTGTTTTTCTTGCACTGTTCCACCGTGAGTTCATATCCAAGATAAGGACAGCTCCTTTAACCAGGGTCCCAGGATGAGAAAGCCCATGAATGGACCCATAGTTGACCTTCAGCTTGGAGCAGAGCTGCAACCAACCTGCAGCCCTCATGTAATGGGAATGTGAAAGAAATGCCTTACATTATAGGCCACTGTTAGCCTATAATGTTAGCATGGTAGGAGGGGGGTTTTTACACAGCAATGGCTAACTAGCACAGATGATAGTAACAGTATTACCTTGCAGGGTTGTTGTGTGGATCAAATAACACCTAAAAGGCAGACAGCATGGCATTTGACTTAGAGTAGATGCCTAGAAACTATAACTGTTGTTATAAACAGGTATTAGTCTCACTACCCTTCTCAGGCAAGCTCTGTTTCTCTAGAGTCATCCACACCCATGCCAAGGACACTGACCCACCATGTTGCTGATACTTGTCTTGAGCCTCTAACACACTGATGCCAAGTCACTATAGATCTCCCCAACACTTTGTGCAGTGTCTTCTCTCTGCCACCGCCCCGTGTGCTATCATAGTCTGCTTTGTATCGTCTGTATTTCACGCTTCTACAAATGTCTGCACAGTGGCCAACCCGACACCTAGGGGGTGGCACTGACCCACCTGTCACCTCTATCACCCTTGACACCCACTTTCTTAGCTGACTCCAGCTGGTGCTTCATTACTGCCTCACTCCAGATTTCCAGATATCATTGGTCTTCATCATGAAAAGAAACACATGTTCTTTTTTGCTGTGCTGTTTTGTTGAGGGGGTGGAGGCATAAACTCTCCCCGCAGAGAGGGGAGAACTCACGCTCCTAGAACAGTAAGTCCTCACTTAACATTGTCAATAGAGTCTCAGAAACTTCAACTTCAAGCAAAACAATGTACAGCAGTTCCTCAAATAATGCTATTTCCTTCAACATTGGTTTACTATATGCCAATGAGAAAAAAAAAATGTTTTCCTTATACGTCATTTCACTTCAAGTCGCAGTTTCCAGGAAACTATCAATGATCTTAAGTGAGGACTGGCTATGGTTTAATTTTTTTCAGTTTTCCTATGGCTTGGATTCATGAGTGCCCCCAGTTGACCAGGGCAGTGGGACTTTAGTAGAGCTTTTTATTGCCCCAAAACTACTGTCCTTCACCAAATAAAGAGACTAAGGCTAAGTTGGGCCACTCCTCCTAGACTTACTCCCCATATGTGTGTGTATACATGTGTGTTTGTATGCATGAGTGCCTGCCTGAGATGGGGGTGTTTCTCACAAAGCCCCACTGTCCTTTTCTGCAATCTGGCATCTGTCAGAACCAGCCCTTCCCAAGTCTCCCAGGCATGGTCGCCGAAATCTGAATCTCAATGCTGGGAAGGATTTAGTTCATTTCCACTCCAGCCACAGCCTCTCCTAATCAAGCATGATTTTCACATTCTATGTTATAAACTAATTTTCACAATAAATTGCATTGAAATATTAAGGGGTTCAGGTGGACTGGAGTCTCCAGATCCGGGACCCCAGAATTAAGTATCTGATTCCCCTCTACATATCTCCACTCCTAGCTTTGCTGCCAGCTGACCAAGTTGGCTCAGATAAGCCTCTTGACTTCTCTGGCCTTTAGCCTCTACCACTTGATCAAGATTAGATCAGGAGTGTAACCTTGAGCTAGGAGTCTAACCTGTATGTAGCGAGGAGGCTGGAGTCAACCTGTATGTAGTTAGCTACATACAGCCTATGGGCCAACTTGTTTCTGAAAGTAAAGTTTTACTGGAATATAGACACAACCGTTCGGTTATGTATTGTCTATGGCTGCATTCTCAGTTGTGACAGAGAATGACTGGCTGGAAAAATCTAAAATATTTACTACCTGGTTTAAAGAAAAGGCTGGCTTACCTTTAGGTTAGGTGATGGATAAGGTCTCCTCAAGCTGTAATACCCTGATTCTCTAATTCTTGTGTCATAGCCAGATGCATTAAAGCTTACCATTTTTAGGGAAAGGTATCTGAAAAAAATCCATCCTGCCCAGGATTTTGAAATGATTGCTACTGCAGCGATTCTGCCAAAAACATGACTTATCAGACTGAGCCAGGGAGCTGGGCTAGAGGGGAAAGAATCCTTCAGAAGTGAGAGAAGCTTGAGATGGCTGCAGCTTTTTTAGCTTTTCAAGGACACTTTGTGTTTGATTGTGTGTGTGTGTGTGTGTGTGTGTGTGTGTGTGTGTGTTTGAAAGGTCCACATATTCAGTTCCTTTCACATTAATAGAAGGCACATGGTTCCTTCACGAGGGAAAATATCTTTCAGAAACAGCATAATTTGCTCTAGTGGATAACAAATAGTTGGAAGTCTTCTCAGCGAGCAACCATTGTATCTGGTTTCAAATTCCTTTTTCAAGCCAAAGAAAATGATGATGATCTCTAAGTCATAGCTGTTTTTTGACACAGACCTGAACTCAGAATTCTAAACAGGACTATGCAGAATTGGATTACATTTCATCTCGCTCACCCATCCATCTTCCCCTTTCCTGCTCATTTGCTGGGGCTGCAAAAGTACTGAGTGCTCCAGGACAGACTTGGTTTTCCAAACCATGCAAGTCATTATGAATGGCCTTGTGTCCAGGTAAAGGTTAAGGAGGTCTTTTGTTGTTCTAGTTTAACTTGTCCCTGCCACTGCAGCCTAATCATTCCACATAATAACAGACCTGATACACAGGCCCGAGTCAAAGTCGCAAGTCAATAAATCCATTCCTTCCTCCCTTTCAGGCAAAGTGTTGAATAGTACTGAGTGTGCAGTGTCACCAGATCCTGTAGTCTATCACATCAAGGTCGTCTGGTATACAGCACTGAAAAAAAACAACTTGCTTTCTTTTCAGTGCCTTGCACATTTGAGAGAGAAGCATTGCTGTCCAACACACAAGGGTGGATGAGGAGTTGAGAGGGAAAGATTTACCACCCTGGTTTATGGAATCATGGAACCATTGAAATTGAGGAACACGGGTCCTAGACATCAGCTTGCCCATCCCTTCATTTTGCAAGTAAGGAAACTGATGTCAGAAGAGGGGAAGGGATTTGTTCAAGAATGCATTGACTCCTAGGGCTAGGACCAGAACACAGGCCTCCTGACTTGAGTACAGTGTACACTCTCTATTTTGAAAGGGGAAGACGGGGAATGCAAAGGGAAAAGAAGAACAGGAAATCTCTCCCTTTCTAAAAAGAAAACACTAGCCAATTCTAAACCCTCCTTACCAGAGTCTATTCTCTGCACTCAGATAACTTCCTATATGTAGATAAATTGTGTGAGGTCATATTCTCACTTAATTTCCAAAGGAAAAATATCCAAAACTTCCAAACTTCTAGAAACCTCAGTTTTCTCATCTGTAAAATGGAGATGAGATAACAGATAACAATGTCTGTTTCAAAGGGTTGTGGTGAGGCTGAGACATGTTTGAACGGTACCTGACACATGGTATTGGCTCAGCAAGTGCCAGCTCTTGTTGTCATCATTGTTGTCACCAGGACGAGGACAGCTGCTGTGTGCTAACGCGCAGACAGCTGCCCCATCAACCCCTCTCTTCCTGCATCACGCATGTAGTCTCTTGGCTGCTCTCAATGGGACAAAATGCGGCTCACCAAATTATCGTTTCACCTCTGGTGTGAAAATAAAACCTGCTGATAGAGGATTCTTGTAAGTATGCAACCTTGAGTTATAGTTTGTTTACTTTGCGAAGGGACTTCCAGCTCCTCCAGGTTCGTAAATTCCTTGTGGTGAAGGCGGGAGGGATTATAAATTAACTTGAAAAATAGGGCTACATTTGTGTACCTTCCAAAGGTTTAAATTGCTTCAAAAGGAGAAAAAAAATCATACTGCTCATCTGCTGTCTCTATTTTTTCCCTTAATTAGCAGTTGGATTAGGTACACTTGCAGGGGAGGAATTAAAGGCACCAAAGAGAAACCTAAGCCAAATGTCGAGAATTTCTGCCCAGGGACCTTAAAACCACCTTTCCACCATATCTGTAAGATGGATATGATAGCTTGGGCCTGATGTCCTAGCTTATACCCAATACCTGTTTGTTTGTTTGTGTGTTTTTTTGTTTGTTTGTTTCTTTTTTTTTTTTTTTGGCAAAGCCTGGGATTATTTGGCATAATCCCACCTATTAATGTAAAGAGTAAGTCCTGGGGACACAGAGGTCAGGTATAGAGACTGGGGCTCCTCTGAGGAACTACAAATGTATTTAAAACCTGCCTAGCTCAGTACCAGGCACAGAGTAGGAATTCTATAAAATCTTCTCCTTTCTTCATAAACCTCTTCTTTGCCTATTCTTCACAACTCTAAAAGCCACACCCTAGAGAAGAATGCTTTCAATCAAGGCAAATAACAACCCTTATGAGTGAGATGTGGGGTAAAAATGAGTACAAAGGTCTGGCTTCTATGCATTGACCCTGAGCTGGTCTGAATTAAAGAAGATATTTATTCTCATGACATTCTGAAATCCTGCAAGGATCCCTGGAATAATGTCCATAAATATTGCCTAATGTCAAATAGCAAAACCCTCTTTGCTTGTCTAGGCTAGAAATGGCTGCATAAATGTTATCATTGGTACAGCACCATTTTTGTAAACAATGCTGTGCAGGCTCAATGAGTTATAAAGAGCCTCGTGAGCCTTGCCCCCTCCATATGAACATCCCCTTTCATTCTCCTTCCCTTTTCATGTTTAAGGTTGATCCTAAATTCAAAAACTTGAACCAAAATAAAAGTGATCACATTTAAGTATGACTTTTATTGCTTAAGTTTTAAAGACTAAATCCTACTTAAGAATAAATAAGAATTTCAAAGAAAATCCAAATTATCATCAACTATTCCTACTAAATAATCCCATAGATTTTTGTGAAAACCTGAATATCTCAGAGACATGTGTGATATATAGAATATCTCACGTAGGTCAATGGAAGACACGGGAAGGGAAAAAAGAAAAATGTACATCTTCAAGTGCTGGTAGTGCAATGCTAGGGAAATATACTGTATTTTTCAGCCAATGGGATCAGCCCATGCACTGGCATCTGATATTTCCTCCAAATAAATTGGTCAGGAAGAGAAGCTTAATTTATATTAGCAAGTATGACACCTGAACAACCTCAAAAAAAAATGTTAGGAGTGGCCAGGCATGGTGGCTCACGCCCGTAATCCCAACACTTTGGGAGGCTGAGGTGGGCAAATCACTTGAGATCAGGAGTTCGAGACCAGCCTGGCCACCTGGCCAGGTGAAACCCTGTCTCTACAAAAAACACAAAAATAAGCCAGGTGTGGTGGCGGACACCTGTAGTCACAGCTACTCAGGAGGCTGAGACAGGAGAATTGCTTGAATCCGGTAGACGGAGGTTGCAGTGAACCAAGATCGTGCCACTGCACTCCAGCCTGGGCAACAGAGTGAGACTCTTTCTCAAAGAAAAAAAAAAAATGTTATGAGCTAGCCTGGACTCTTAACACTCAAGACAACTTCCCAGAAAGCTCATTCCCAACCATTTTAGAAAGAGTAGCTAAGAAACGAGTCGTCCATGATACTGACAATACCCCATAAGAAATTTTTGGCATTCTGATACCTAATAAATGTTTAGAAACAAGAAGCTTCACTTTTTCCTAATTCACTGGCAACTTTCATCTGCACAAGCATTTATCTGAGTGTCTTGTTTTGTTTTGTTTCATGTATTCTTTATATGGACAGCATTGAAATAGGCCCCAAAGTGTATGTGTGTGGAGAAGGGATGTAAAATCACTGTGTAGAGTGCACAGTCCTATACCACAGAAGGTGTTGTTCTGGACAGAAAAGAACTTGTCTTTACTGAGTGAAACGTTTTTAAAATATATAATATATAAGCAAAGAAACCAAGAAATCAAGGCAAGAATTATGAATGCAGTGATTATTTCAGTGTGCGTTTTGTGTGTACAGTGCAGTGTCTGAATGAGGTTTTTAAAACAGCATAGATTAATGGCTAAGATGTTAGCCTCAGGAGCTGGACCACCAGGTCTTCATTCCAGCTCCACAGCTGACTAATTTGGTTAAGTTGGGTGAGTTCATTAAACTCTTTGTGCCTCAGTTTTCTCATCTATAAAATAAGTATAATAACAATGCCTACTTCATAAAATCATTACGAAGATTCAAGTTAATACAAATAAAGAACTCATATTAATGCAAGCCTGAGAGGAAGAATTCAGTAAATGTGTGCTATTATCAATCCTTACATCATCCCTAGGATGAAGGCTGTAGAATTGATGAAGGATTGAGACTCATAAGTTTCAGTAACCTGTCAGGCCCGTGTCATCCTCTGCTCACGCGTCTGCTGTCTTCTGCCTTCAGGTTCCCATCCCTCTCTGTCCCCTACCTGCGATTGCTTAAACACCTCCTCAAAACTCAATTCAGATATGCATTCCAAAGAAAATTCTCTGACTCCTCTACCTACCCTCTACTTACCCCGACTTACACCATTAAGGTAAGTGCTTCTGTCTTGGGCAATCCCATAGTACCTACTACCCTCCACTGAAGCCGTCCCCTTACTGACTATTCCTCCCACTGGGATATAAGCTCTTTGGCATCAATAGCTCCCGGCATAATGCTTGGCAGACAGTAGGCATTTAATAAATCTTTGCTGAACGAATAACAAATAAAGTGGGGAATCACGAAAGTAGATTTCAGCCAGCCCTATTAGCCCCCAAAGAATGCAAAATTTTTTCCTCTTCGTGGTTTCTGTTCTCAGGGAAATTTTCTACAGCCATAAGTGGAAAAATGTTAGCCAAGGACCATAGAGCAAAATGCTGTAAATGTTCAATGGAGAGGGCCCAAGGTGGACTGTGCAGTCAAGGAGCGTTTCATAGACAACTCAAGCTTGTCCCTGAAATGTGGGTGGAATTAACATAGGCAAAAGAGTGAGAGAAGCCTTTCACACACAGAAAGGTGGGAAAGTGCAAAGCATCATAAAAGGATTGCAGCAGCACAAAAACGAGACTGCGTAGACCTTTGGATTCTAGACTCAGGAATCCCATTCCCCTCTGGCACCATCCTCCAATATCTTAAGAAGCATCACCCTGGCACCACCCTCCAATATCTTAAGAAGCATCACCCTATGGATTATGTAGAACCACCAGGGATATTGTCAACCATCAGTTTCATTAGAAAGGAAGGCTGGTCCGAGAGATAGGATCAGACAGTCCTGGGTTTGAGCTCTAGTTTCAGCTGCTGAATAGCTCTATGGTATTAGACAATCCTATCAGCCTTAGATATGGACACCCATGAGACAAGCATATACTATTGCTTACAAGGTTATTAAGAGGATTCAAAATAACATCAAGTTGTTAACCCACAACAGGTGTTCAATAAATTTTAGCTGTCAATCTTAGCCTCACGCCTTACACCTGCACCCATACCCACACTTTGGGTAAAACTAGAGTTCACATCATAGTCTCAATCTTCTCTGTGAATCCACATCCCCCTCCACATCTCTATGAACTCTGTCCAGCAAGAGTGTTGATGGTGTAAGTGCTGTGCTTTCCCCAACAAGTTCTGGTCATCGCCAGACCAAAAGATTCTCTGATGAAGAGTAGGTTCTCATTAAACCAGGGGAAAAAGGAAAAGGCAAGCACCCCCTCCCTATAACCACCTCCTAATAGAATGATCAGGAACAGGCAGCAAAATCAATACCAAGCCCCTCTCTGTCACCATTTCACGAGGCAGCTTTGTGTGCTTGCATCTTGCACCACTCGCCAGCAAACAAAATGGAGTGCTGTAGTTAATTGAAAAACAGCTCTGCCCTGCCTGCCATAATTGACATTAAGTACTGTTTGGGGTAGGAAATCAGCCATTTCCAATTGATATTAAACGGGAAATCATTTAACATCAATGGATATAAACCAGGCGCAATTGTGCTGAATTAGGGAGAAATGTTTTGGCTCGTGTTAAAAAATGTTTCTGTGAAGTGGGATTTTTCAGAGTAAGTGAATATTAAGTCTGCTTAATACCTGCATTAGGAAAGAGAAGAAACCACTTCTCAGTCTCCCCTCAGGCTTAGAAGAAAGCTGCCAAATGCTTTTTTGGAAGAAGCCATGTTCTAAGGTGGTCTTGTCTTTGAAAAACAAAGTAGAAAGAAGGTATAATCTGGGAGAGCAGATGAAAGGACAGAGAATCTCCGGCGAGTTTATCCAGCATCATCCACCATGCTGCTGAGGGAGAAGTTGGGCTCCTGTGAAGAGTGAAGAGGCATAAACAAGGAATCTCTTGGCCTCCCTCTGAGAAGTCACTATGGGACCATGCCCTTGATAGAAGGAAAATAAATAAGGGCAAGATATGCATAGGGAAAGATAAGTCATCAGTCTCCCCTCTTATCCAAGTCCATTTTCATAACACGCATTGGGATATTTTGAAAGCCGATGGCTTCTCCTCATCCTGTGATATAACGGTGCTGGCCGTCTTAATCAAAGCAGTGCAAACCCTTGTTCCTGTAGGCATGGCTATCTTATCAATTAGGGCTTTAGAAATGTCTCCGTTATTCTCCAAAGAGATAAAAACCAGTCTGACTTCTGATCCTCCATTTGTTCCACAAGAACAAGGAAGACAGAGGAAAAAGAAGAGGGATGTAAGTGAAGAATACAATTGGAAAGAGAAGATGAGAGCCTTATGGGTTGGAGAGATAAAAATGAACTGTCTGGGGGAAGAAGGAGGCACAAAGCCACAGTGGTAGCTTCACAGGAAGTCTATTGATCCATTTTACAGATGAGGAAACTAAGGTCCAAACAGGTTCTGTGACATGCCCCAGGCCACGCAACTACTTAGTGTAAGAGCCTGGTCTAGAGCTCCCCTGATTCACTGCCCAGTTTTAGCACCTGATACCACCTCTAGAGTAAAGAGATAATGAGCAAAGAAAGAGATGAGGAAAAGAGGAAAAACAGTTAAGAATGGAAGAAAGAGTATCTTAGAAGTTAAAAGCTAGAAGGTCAGCATACAATTTCTATTTTAGGAGTAAATTGAAAACATCATACCATTATCTGAGTGGACCCCACATGTGATTTGCAGAATCCAGCAAACAACTTGTCAGCCCTGTAAGTTTTCTGTCTGGAATGGTGGCAGTTGTAGACATAGGCCTCTGAGAGTCTTCCATCTCATTGCCTGATTTCCACAGCTAGGCCTTCACATCTGCAGTGTTTCTGTGGCTAAAACAACCAGTCAGGTTTTATCCCAAGGAGAACTCTTAATAGTGAATTCTGAGACAATCTCTGAGACCTTGTCCTTTTAAGTGGGTTTTGTATGGAAATGAAATTTGTCCCTTCTAGCTCCTTGGATAAAGAAGCTAAATGAGCGTTTATGGAAATTATATATCCCACGAACATCTCTTCTAACAGACAAGCTGTCTAGCTTGGTCCATGTGTGGTGAGCAAGAAAGGTTAGACTCAGAGTGGAGTGTAAGAAAACCTTCTTCATAGCCTGTCCCCTTTTTCAAGACCCAAAGTTAACTCTTTTATAATGCTGTACCCTAAACATGGAGCATCAGATAAAAGCTTGCCTGCAGAAAAGTCCCCCAGGGAGGCAGGGAATCAAGAGTGTGCTACTGCCTTGGCCTCAGGATGCAGTCGGCGATGTCTATACCAGGGCTTAGGCTGTGTTGAGGGATGAGGAAACTGTTTTAGTTTTTATTTTCTAGGCTTTCTCTCCTCCAGTCAATGGCCTTCCCTTTTTTCACAACTGCATGCAAAAAGGCTTTGATTCCTGGCTCCCTCACCACCCTTCGCTAACATGCGACAATTATGTGGCTACAACAAATGGCCAGAATATAGCTGGGCACACTATGACCCCCTGGATTAGAAAGGAAACACTGAGCAAGCGGAATGGTGGCTACTTCACTGGCTTTGTCAAATAGCCTGCATTTGTGAGGTCAAGGCTAATTTATTTATTCACTTATTCATTAAGTCAATCAACAAGTTAGCATTGCATGTATACTCTGGGTGAAAGAAATACCACACTGGTCAGAGTATCCAGAGGTGGATAAAACACATTCCCTGCTCTCAAAGAGTTTGCCACCTTAGAGAATCCATTTCATCTTACTCTTTGCCCAGCAACTACATCTAGAAACAAATGCTCGTATTGATAAAGCTGCCTCATTCTCTGCTCTAGCCTTATTTCAGTTTCTAAAAGGTTGATAATCCTTTCTGCCACGGGGCCATTTTCTCTTTCTGGGATGTTTTTCCCCGCTGCAACCTTTTCCTTACCTGTTAGCTCCTATTCAGCCTTTAGATCTTGGCCGAAACACCACTTCTCAGGGAAATCTTGTTTTCGCATTCAGCCTGGGTCAGTTTTCCTTGTTCTATCTCCCTTTTCCTTTTCAGTTTGTGATTAGATTTCCATTAATGAGTTATTTTTTGTTTATGTCTGTCCCCCTGCTGGAAGTGAGCTTGGAAGAATAGGGATGGTGGTTATTTTTGCTCAACATTGACTCTTCACGCCAGCCAGCAGAGAGCCTGGAACATAGTGGGCACTCAGGAAATACTGGTTGTTGAATGAATCAAAAGGAAACAACAGAACACTGCTATCAATACATCGTACATCCTAGTTCTTCATGCTAAGTGACCAGGTTGAAACTACTACTTATATAATTACATTGAAAACTTTACTTGAATATACATATATTCCAAGAGTCAGTGTGGAGGTTTAAAAGAATAGACTCTCCCCTTTCACCGTATACAAAAATCAACTCAAAATGGATCAAAGACCTAAATGTAAGACCTAAAACTTGTAGAAGAAAACACAAGGGAAACAATTCAGGACATTGGTCTGAGAAAAGATTTTATAAATAAGACCTCAAAAGTACAGGAAGCAAAAGAAAATAAAACAAATGGGTTTATATCAAACTACAAAGCTTCTGAACAGCAAAAGAAACAAACAGGAGTGAAAAGACAACCTATGAAATGAGAGAAAATATTTGTAAACTACTTATACAACAAGGGATTAATATCCAGAATATACAAGGAATGTAAACATCTCAACAGCAAAATAAATAAACAAAAACTCAATTTTAAGCTGGGAAAATGATATGAACAGACATTTCTCAAAAGAAGAGATACGAATGACCAAAAAGTATATGATAAAATGCTCAACATCATTAATCATCAGGGAAATGCAAATCGAAACCACCATGAGTTATCATCTGACCCCAGTTAGGATGCTTATTATTGAAAATACAAAAAACGACAAATGCTGATGAGAATGCAGAGAAAAGAAAACTCTTATACACTGTTGGTGGGTAAACTAGTACAGCCATTATGGAGAACAGTATGGAGGTTCCTCAAAAAACTATAAACAGAGCTACCATTTGATCCAGCAATCCCACTACTGGGAATTTATTCAAAAAAAGGAAATTGATATATGGAAGAGACATCTGTACCCCCATGTTTATTATAGCACTAGTCACAATAGCCAAGATATGGAATGAACTTAAGAATCCAACAACAGATGAATGGATAAAGAAAAAGTGGTATATATGCACAATGGAATATTAGTCAGCAATATAAAAGAATGAAACCCTGCCATTTGTGGCAACATAGATGAACCTAGAGGATATTGTCTTACATGAAATAAGCCAGGAACAGAAAATCAAACACCGCATGTCCTCACTTATATGTGGAAGATTAAAAAATAAAGTTCATCTCATAGAAGTAAAAAATAGAACAGAGGTTACTAGAGGCTGGGAAAGGTAGGAGGAGGAGAGAGATAGGGAGATATTTGTTAAAGGATACAGAATTATAGCTGGATAGGAGGAATATGTTCTAGTTTCTATGTTATTGTAGGATGACTATAGTTAACAATAATATACAGTTTCAAATAGCTAGAAGGAGAATTTTGAATATTACCGAAACAAATAAATGATCAATGTTTGACATGATGGATACGCTAATTTCCCTGATCTGATTACTATACATTATATGTATCAAAACATCACTATGTATCCCATGAATATGTACAATTACTATGTGTCCATTTTAAAAATTAATTCAATTTTTAAAATGGACTCTGAAATAAAATCTGGCTGGCTATGTTCAATACTCACCTCTGCCAACTGAATAACCCTGGACAAAGGCTTAACCTTAGGCTAAAAAGGCTAAAAATTAGCTCCCCAAAGGATATTTATATCAAATCCCTTGAACCTGTAAATGTTACCTTACTTGGAAAAAAGGTTTTTGCAGATGTGAGTAAGTTAATGATCTTGTGATGAGGATATAATCTTGGGTTAGCCAAGCAGGCCCCAAGTGCAAACACATGTATCTTTATAAATAGACACACAAAAGAGAAGACCCATAGACAGCAGAGGGAGAGGCCAGGTGACTGCGAGAGCAGAGATTGGAGTGAGGCTGCCACAAGTCAAGGAGTGCCAATGGAAATGAGAAGCTGGAAGAGGCAAAGAACGGATTCTCCTCTAGAGCTTCTGTAGTGAGCGCAGCCCTGAAGACAGTTTGATTTCTGACTTTTAGCTCCTAGAACTGTGAGACGGTAAGTTTATCTTGTTTTAAGCCATACAGTTTTTAATAATCTGTTACAGCAGCCACAGGAAACTAGTCCAACCTCTCTAAACCTCAAGTTCCTCATACATAAAATGGAGACTATGGCACACACCTTATAAACTGTGAATTTAAATAAATCAAAAATTGCCCAAAGAATGACCCGACTCCAATGATCATGTCTATTCAAGATGAAAACATTTAGATCCAAAAGGAAATTTCTGTCAAGCACTGGGCAGTTAGGTCTTTACCTCACTTTTCTATAGCCTGAAAATAAATGTTCCAGGCACACAATGACTCTTTTTCACTTGTGACTCAAACAGCCCAGTGTCACTTCACCCTGCCATAATATTGTTAGGAAAGCCATGCACAGGCCATTGGAAAGAGATGATCAGGGCCTCCCTCTTAGTATCCCAAAAACCCATTTCAGCACCTGTCATATGATAGATGCTCAGTGAATGCTTGATGAGTGAGTAAGCTCTTGAGTCATTACAGTTTGGACAAGTTGACCCACTAAGTAGAAGAAAGAGGCACAAGGGTTTCAGAAGGAATGATAAACACAATTTATCCATGTACGAGTAGCCAGCCTCATCACTGAACCATCAAACTGAAGATGATGATGATGACACTGCATAGACTATTCCTGCCCAGCATTCCAAGGATTCCTGTCAACATCAAGATGGCTCTAGTATGACTGGAAAAGGGTTATTCTCCTTACATATGTCTGCCTTTCCACATGCTTTTATATTTAGCAAGAAATATTTCTTAGTGATTCCTGGATGACTTTGTATTACACATACTTTGAATGTTAACAGGATCTGTTTTTATTTTGCTTTTAACTTGAAATGAAGGCATAATGGGAGTAGGTCTATATAGGCTAAAATCAAAGAGGTTAATTTCATTCTGAGAGGGACGTTCATTCAAAGGATTAATGTAGGTTAAACTCAAAGTTAGTTTTATGACTCATGTCCATTTTCACATTTTCTCCTAGCATGATCTCCATTTCTAGGCAATACTTGAGCTGTCTGTATGTGGAAGCAGGTTACTTTCTTTTGATAGTTTTTTCCAGCTTGTTTCAACTTTTTGAAGTGACAACCTTGGTAATTATAGCTACTAGCATAATATTAATGATAATATTAATGATAATGATAATTTTAAACCCATAAGAGATATTTTATACCTGTATGGATCGCTAAGACCAGAGCCAACATAATAAGACCAAAACTTTTCATGAATCTGTCTCTGCTAGAACAGAGGGTGTTTTCTTGCTTTTTAATTTTAGGGTAAATAATAGTTGCTGGCTGATTTGAAGCTGGATCAGCATGCATAATCCTAGACAGTGAGAAGAGATGCTTTAATTTAAGTTTCTGGAAAATCTCAAGCTATATTTTAGGAGTTGCTGTCTTACAGACCCAGAATCACATGGTTTTTAAAGTTTCTTATTCGATTAAAAAGATATATGGGAAATGTAGAGGAACCCACAAAACACCCTAAAGCACATTAGTTGGATATAACGCTCATTATTTTACTCCAGGGAAGAGTTCGACACTTTTCAAGGTCTTATGTTCATTTACTCATTCTACACATGTTTATTCAGAGTCAGCTATGTGCCAGGCATTATTCCATGAACAGAGGACACTTTGGTGAATAAAACCTTTATGCTTATTGAGCTTAAATCCATCAAAGAATATGGACCATAAACAAAATGAATCAATGAATTAATAAGAAACTATCAGAAAATAATAAAAAATAAATAATAATAATAAATATAAGAAATAATAGTAATGGTGGGGCACGGTGGCTCATGCCTGGAATCCCAGCACTTTGGGAGGCCAAGGCGGGTGGATCACTTGAGGTCAGGAGTTCGAGACCAGTCCGACCAACATGATGAAACCCAGTCTCTACTAAAACTACAAAAATAGCCGGACGTGGTGGTGCATGTCTGTAATCCCAGCTACTCGGGAGGCTGAGGCAGGAGATATGCTTGAGCCTGAGAGGTGGAAGTTTTGGTGAGCCGAGATCACGTTGTTGCATTCCAGCCTGGGCAATAAGAGCAAAACTCCGTCTCAAAAAAAAAAAAAAAAAAAGAAAGAAAGAATAGTAATAAATGCTATGATGAGAATAAAATTGGATGCAGTGATAGAAGTGAGTGGGGGATGGTTATTTGTTGGGTGGTCTGGGAAGGCCTGTCTGAGGAGCTGGCATTTAAGCTGAACTCTTACCACCACCCCACCCCCCACTTTTCCCTAAATAAAAAAGATAACATAGTTGAAATACAAGGAAGGAGGAATGAGCGACAGTGTCAGAAAAGAGGAAGCTGAGATCCAGCATCTGAGTGAAATGTTCTAAAAGCTTCATTTGAAAAATCACAGTGATATGAAAAAGGTCATGCTTACAATACTCTCACTTAATAAACAATGGAAAGCTCCCCTCTGCCCTCCCATCCCTGGAGGACTGTGCATAGCCAGAGGTCCATCTATTTCTTTTGCCTTCATGCCTTTCATGCTAGACCCTATTTTATAACTCCAAGATGCCATCAACTGTGAGATGCAAGCCAACTAGAGATGCGAAAACATTATACTATACATGTTTTTAAATCTATGAAATAGAGTAATTCTGGCCTGTTCATTGCCTCCAGACTAAGTTTATATTTATTTCCTACTAGAAATCTCAGTACACTCTACAACTTTACTCAATTGACTTGGTTTCATTTTCCCAGTTCCTGCCACACTTTCTAAAAGTCCTTTAAGCTGCCATCATCACTCATGCAATGCCCACTGGGCAATATTTCAGGAGGAATGGGACTCTTCCACACTTACTAAGTTGCCTTAGTTCTGAACTCTTCTCTTGAACCATATCCCCCACCCAATTCCACCCTGTTCATGACTCTCCCTTGCATTTGGTGATTATTCTCTCACTGATCTTTTGACTTGAAAGCACCTGTTTCCCAAATCTTCTCAACCCCTAGTGGTACCTGGTATGCTAACTGAGATCTTTTCATTTGCTAAACCAACCGAGTTGATCCAAGCCCCTCCCTCCCTGGCGAAGTTCCTCCATGGGCTACTCTCTGCATCGGACTTGTTCAGGATATAAGAGAAAGGAGTTAGGTTCTTGTTTACTTGGAGTTATCAATCTCTATACCACTCCTCCTATGAATTGAAACCCTTCTCTATGGATAAAATTACAAATTCTTTGTTCTGGCTCCAAGGAGAACCCTTAAGCGAAAATCAGTAAAATATGTCCCTTAAGTTTTGGGCAACAAAGGGTAAGAAATGAGAGATTTTAATTTAAAGAACAGGGAATTTATACTGACTGGGAACTAAAGGAAGGGTGAATAATGTAGAAACACTTCAGGAGCTTGTTTGATCCAAGGCAGAAAAAGGTACTAAAATATCAAATAATTATCAACACTTTGTCGTTGAATATATTTATGTACTTAGCTTTCACTCTCTGACAAAATAACTAAGGTAGAGAAGGATTTTTGTGAACTTTTCTGAACAAAGTTAGGTGAGTTGATGAAATCATAAAACAATTAAAGACCAGAAAGCATAGAAGACACCAAAGTCTTCTCCATTTGGTCTGAAGGTCAAGTGGAGCCTAGCAGTGAAGGTCGAATGGAGCCTAGAGACTTGGGACCACTCTCTGTGGCATTGTTTCCCAGTCAGGTCTGAGGAGGCTCAGCTCCTATACAGGCATGTTTGAATGGGTGCCAAAGGGATTGGATTCCTTAGAATATTCTCTGCACAATTTAGGAAAGCTTGCTCCTGTGTTACTGAAAAGGAGAAGATGGATATTCCCACATCTGATGAAACTAAAAACTCTAAAGATTGTGCAGTGAATTAGCAGTTCTCTCCTGAGGCACAACTCTAAATGACTGACCGTTGGTCATTTAATGAGACTCCAGTAAAATGAATAATAAGCAGGGAATCTTGACATCTAGAATTTGTAAACCATTCCTCTTCTTTCTTTCTCTAAAAGATATATTGTATATTTAAACATTTTGAGTTAGCAAAATTCTGATGATTTTCATTTTTTATTCCACGGTAAAGAAAGAAGTAGAAGAGCCTCATTAAATGAGAGTAACAGTGTTGAGAACTGTGGCTGTGATTAGCTCTGCTCAGGGTTGAAGTTAATATTGCTTCTCCCCTGCAGTATTTTTTAATTACACTCCTGATTTTCTATTTGGAGACATCATGGACCTGTTCTAGTAAATTGTCACACAATCACAAGTCAAATATGTGTTAAATATGAGAAAATGCTGCCATTTTTATCTGATTTGTGGTTCATTCATGCACCGTTATCTGCTTTTAATTAAATAATATAAAATGCACATGGTCAGCAGTTTGACTTTTCATCTCCTTACAATGTCAGTAATTCAGCTTGGTTGTTCCCACCTACCCTTAAATTATACATAAAAGATATAACTCTTGCATGGTACTGATCCGATATCTGGACAACTTATGCCCCTGCTAAAATAGCTACTATCCAACTATACCTGAAAAAAATCCCCACCAGAATACGCCAAAGAATATAGTCCATCAAAAACACAGTGTGGTTTTTTAGTAAGGGAGCAGCAGCAGGCTTCATTGTCTGATTTTCTTGTTTCATCCCTTTTCCCAGTGTCATATCCCTTGTTGATTTATAGTCTACTAAGTTCATTAAAGATCCAGCTTGACTCCCATGGAATTGCCTAAGGCTCTGGAAGAAAGAACTTGACTTGCAGGTTGCTGTGGACTTAGACACTTTACTACTTCATTAGGGCTGCTCTGCCACTGGACAGCTTGCGTATGGCTGTGCCAGAAATGCCACTTGCTTCTTCCTCGGCCTTCTACCCCCACCTTCATCACAGGCTTTTAAAGAACAAAGACAGATTAAAGACAGAGGAATGAGGAAATAAAACCTAAAATCTTTCCAATTCCTAGTATGGTTCTTATTGCTATTACTATTGTCATCAAATGTAGCAGATTTATTCCTCTGTCCTATTTGATAAGACACTGTTCTAACTGTATTTTTTTTTTCAGTGTAGACCTAAATTAGGAACTCTTCACAGAAACTCTTGGATATTAAGTAAGGCATAGAATTTTTTTTTTGAATAAATACATAGCTTCACTCTTGAGGAAATGGGTAGTCTCTTTGGCTATTTATTTTTCTGTGATATTCTTGAAATTATCTCAAAGAAGTTTTCAGGATGAGGCAGCTCTATTTGTAATCCAAAGGAGAATAGAAGAGATTAGCTAAATGATAATAACAAGGAGGTGACCCTAAAAGGAAAACCCTCTTGTAAATAAGCTTGATTTATTTACAGCTAAATGTGTGATTGCAAAAAAATATTTTCAGCTAAACCATAGAACTTCTGCTTAATAATAATAATACTTAGCACTTAAAAAGCACTTTACATCTGCAAAGTGCTTTATAAACATTAACTAATTAATCGTTAACAACACCCCAGTGAGGTAGGTAAGTATTATTCAAGTATTCTCTTGAATGTTCAAGCCAGGATTACAGCGAATCCAGAGTGGGTTGTTGCATGAGTGAGTGTGTGTGTGTGTGTGTGTGTGTGTGTGTGTGTGTGTATGTGTGTGTGTGTGTGTGTCCCCTGCTCCACTCTTAGTAAATACAGGACTTTGGATTGTCTTATAAATGGGAAGACAGCTCATCTGGGGAACGATTGAACCTTTCCAAATGGTTTTGGAGTTTCCTCAATAGAGCTAAAACAGACTCAGAGATGGCTTCTCTAAATCTTTCAGGAATTTGAAGTAACTGGGTAAGGAGGGGTTTGTGCACAGGAAGTCAACCATTCTCTCTTTCCACATTCTTCACTGATTGGTGTTTCGGTTCTCCTGTTATTGGATAAGAAGGACTAAAATCTCATTTCCAGAAGAATTTTGCTCAGGAGTCAGGGAAGGGTAGGCACATAAGACATGGCCCAGCATGGAAGAGACTGGCATCCCATCCCCAAGGATAGGGAAGACATGCTCTCCAAGAGCCAGTGGTAGGTGCTGGGATAGTGAGTCCAAGTGCTGTAGAAACAAGGGAAATAAGTATCAAAGGCCAAGGGAGGGCCTTGTTACAGCACAGCATTTGAGTTGCCCCTGAAAAAAGGTCAAGGTGGACACTCAAAATGCCTGTGATGTATTACTCCCACTTTTATTTGGCTGAAAGCACTACAACCACAGCAAATGAAGGTCACTCCTGAGCACTGGTGTCTTTTCTGGGTCAGGTAACATACTGCCAAAAATAACCTTGGCTTTTTCATTGATTCCTTCATTTACTCATTAACAAGAGCTATTGTATACTGAGCATTTTCTCTGTGAAAGGCACTATGTTGAATTCTTTAGTTTTATTTGGTCACTGAATCTTCACCACAATCCCCTCAGGAACATCCTACCATTAACCTCATTTAAAGATCAGTAAAGTTAGGCTTAAAGAGTTAAGTAACTAGACTGAAGTCACACAGCTAGTAAGAGTCAGGACTAAAACCCAGACTCTTAGATTTGTGATCCCACTCTTTGAACCAAACTCTATATTTTCTCCCATTGATTCAACTACTATTTGAGTATATTCCTGGCCTAGAAGTAGGTTTTGGATATAAGTACTGAGCAAACAGACATGAGTTTTGCCATGGTAGAGAGACTGACATTAAAAATATATGTATGCTATTTCAAATTAGAATCAGTATTGTGAAGGAAAAATCAGAGTGGTATGAGAGAAACAGGAAACATAATTTAGATCAGGGAATCAGAGAAAGTCTCTCCAAGTATAGGATGTTTAAACTCAAACCTGAAAGATGACAGGAGCTAGCCAGGCAAAGAAGGAGTAGAAGAGCATTCCAGGCAGGGGAAGGACAGATGAGAAGGCCCCGAGGGGCAAGGAGTTCAAGAAACTGACAGAATAACACTGTAGAGAGTGGATCCGGATCCAGGGGAACAGGCGCACAAGAGGAGGTCAAAGAGGAGAGCAAGGGCTGGATCATCACACAAGGCCTGATAAGCCATATGTAGCAGTTAACATTAAGTTCAGCTGCATATAACCCAAAAACAAAGTAACAGTGGCATGAAGAAAACAGAAGCCGATTTCTCTTACTCGTATAAGAAATCCAGAGATGGGCAGACCAGGGATAGTATTGCAGCATTGTGGCATTCAGGACTAGGACTTCTTCCACCTTTTTACACTGCCATCCAGCAAGTGGCTTGCATCTGACAGGTCCTGTCATGATCCAAAGAAGCTAGTGGAGATCCAGCCCTCATATTTGCATTCCAGGCAACAGGAAGGAAGAATGAAGGAAGGGCAGGACAAAAACATGCCCCACCTGAGCTTCCTTAAAGGACCCTTCCCAGAGCTTCCAGACAACATTTCCACTTACATACCTTTGGCCAGATCTGTTACAAAACCATACCTGTTTGCAAGGGAGGTAGGAAGTGTAACCGTGTAACCAGGCAGATTCTGGTACGAAAGGGACAGGAATGGATATCAAGAAGGTCATCGGAGTAGTCTCTGCAATATCATGATGACAGAGGGTTTGGACCTTATTGTAAGTATAATAGAAAGCTTATGAAAGGTTTTAAGAAGGGAAATAACATTACCTAGTTGGTGTGTTTACAAATGCTGGCTTCTTTTGTGACAACAGACTACAATGCAGTTAGAAGACATTGGCTAGAAGCTATTGCAGCGATCCCAGAAAAATGCTGTGGATTTGATAAAGGCAGTATCATTAGAAATAGGAAAACATGATGAAATTGAGCTATGTGTTGAAGAGCAAAAGAATAGAAATGTTTATAAATTTGATATGGGACTGGAACTGTAGGATCTTTCTGGGATAATGCCTAATCTAGTGGCATGTGCAGCCATATGGTGGAGGTACCACTTACAGATATGGGAAATACTAGAGAAGAAAAAGATTTGAGTGGGGAGGACGAAAAAGATTTCAGTTCTGGACGTCTTAAATTTAAAATGCAAGTGAGATATCTAACAGAAGATTTAAAGTAGACAGTAGACAGTTGGACATCCAGGCCCAGAACTCAGAAGAGAAGCTGCAGCTACAGATAGACAGTTGGGAGCTATTGCATGTAACTGGACTTTAAATCCCTAGGAGTAAAATAAGTTCTCTTTGGGAAAGAATATAAAATAGAAATGAATATCTGGGGAAGACAACTGTTAGAGCCAGGTAGGGAAAGAAGGGCAAGCAAAAGTGGCTGAAGAATTGACCACGAATAGAGAAGGAAACCCAGGAGTGTGGTGTCGTGAACATCAAGAGAAGAGAGTATTGCAAGAAGAAGAGAGAAGCCAACTTTGACAAATGCTGCTGAGAAGGGATCAAATAAAATGAGAGCTAAATAGTCAACATTAGAAGTAGCAGCATAGAGGTCACTTATGTCTTCCTCCAGAGCAGCCAGGAGAGGTGGAGAAGATATCTGGGATGTATTGAAGAACAGCTTGTGTGGTGAGGAAGTGCAGGAGGAAGCATTTATACAAACCTTCAGTGTGGTTTGGCTGTGTACTAGAGTTAGGGTAGTAAGTGGAAGGGGCTTGTGGGGTTAATGGAAAATACTTGAAGAGTAAGAGCTACTAATGTTTGCTTGAAAGTCAATGGAAAGGATCTCGTAAGGAAGGAAAGGTTGAAGATGAAGCAAATAAAAAAAAGGGCTCATCAATGAAGAGCATTGCCCGAGAAGAAAGGAAGAATTTGATCTAGAACATACACGAAGGGACTAGAACATATATCTAGAATATATATGGAGTTTTTGACTGAAGGGGGTATACCCTTATAGGTAGGAATCAAAAGAGACAAAAGTAGAATCTGACATGTTTATGGTTATGGTGGAGATAAAATTATGGAAGTCTTCAATGGCTTCAGTTTTCTCTGTGGAAATGTGAATTACAATGAGAGTAAGAAAACTTTTCCCATCTATCAGATGGGTAGAGACAAAAAAAAGATGAGTAGGCCGGGTACAGTGGCTCACGCATGTAATCCCAGCACTTTGGGAGGCTGAGGTGGGTGGATCACTTGAGGTCAGGAGTTCGACACCAGCCTGACCAATATGGTGAAACCCTGTCTCTACTAAAAATACAAAAATTAGCTGGGTGTGGTGGCCTGCACCTGTAGTCCCAGCTACTCGGGAGGCTGAGACAGGAGAATTACTTGAATCTGGGAGGCAGAGGTTACAGTGAGCCAAGATTGCGCCACTGCACTCCAGCCTGGGAGACAGAGCGAGACTCTATCTCAAAACAAACAAACAAACAAAAAAGATGAGTAGCATGCTGTGGTGGCAAGCCTGAAGATACAGGCTTGCCACCTGTGTCTTGTATAGTCCTGTACACTGCTGGAGGGAGTGTAAATTGGTACAATCTCTGTGGAGAGGAATCCAACAATATCTATTAAAACTGCAAGTGGCACACCATTTTACCCATCCATAATACTTCTAGGAAATTATTTTATAAATATACCAACACATATGCAAAATGATGTAGGTTTAAATGTATTCACTATTGCATAATCTATACTAGCAAAATACTGGAAGTGACCATCAATAACAGACTAGCTAAATAAAAAATGCATCCATGTAATGTAATATAATAATGTCATCTACAAAAATAAAAATTCTCTCTATGTACTGAAATCAATTTATTTATGATGTGTGGTTAAGTAAAAACAAAAATCAAAGTGCTATAATATATGTAAAAGAAAAGACAGGGAGGAGGGAGAATATGCATATGTAATATTTGCTTTTATACATACATAAATTGTCTCTGGAAACATACAACTGCAAATATTGGTGGCCCATTGGAAGGAGAACTGGAATTATGAAGAAATAGGGTAGAATGTTGATTTTCAGACCTTTTGAATTTTGAACAATTCGAATGTATAGCTTAGATCAAAATAAATGAAACTGTTAATTATGTTAGAGAAAAAATGTGCATATGTATTATGAGTCCTGGTAGTCCACTGAGGTAGAAGACAGGGATGATAGAAGAGGAGGAGAGGAGATGATGCATTGGTCACTGAGGAGATGGAGAGAGCAATCCTACTGGATACAGAATTATAGGGAAAATGCTGGGCAATGTTGAAAGCCCAGCTGAGGGTAATGAAGGTGAATTTATAGTGGAAACATCCTGTTTGGTCATATGATCATTCTCTTTCCCTTTTTCTTTCTCTTCCTCTCCTTTTCTCTTTCTCTTCTTCCTTCTCTTTCTCTCTTTCTTGCTTTCCTTCTTTCTCTCTTCCTTCCTTTCTTTTATTTCTTCTTTCCTTTCCTTCCTTCCTTCCCTCTCTCTCTCACTGTCTCCCTCCCTCCCTCCCTCCCTTCCTTCCTTCCTTCCTTCCTTTCTTTCCAGCAATGTTTGGCTGTTTAATTATAGGCACAATGACAGTATATTGCTGGGCCTCTCTAGAGGGTGCATTTTCTGGGCAGGTGGGAAGAAAGAAAGGTGGGGAAGGGTATTTATAAATTATGAATGTGATAAGCTAGATACACGACATGTGGAGGTGACAGAAAGAAAGTGGAGGAATTGAATTGTTCATGTCATAATGAGGTCCAAAGAGTTGTAGATAGGCTCTTGAGCAGGTGAGCTATAAGGAGAAGGTTACTTTTTCAGTTCCTTGAATGAGCAAAGGATAGTTTTCCTGTTGCAGGAGGTTATTAGTGGGAAATGGTCATATGAAAATAAGGCAAAGAGAGACAGAGGTAAATATTGGACACGTGGGCGTCATGAGGGTGCGGCCCAGAAAGGGTTGCCTAATGCAGAAAGAACTGGGTTCTCTGGACCATGATCAAGGCATGGCTGACTTTGTCTACAAACAATCAATTGTAGACTCTGTAGGGAAATGTTGGTAAGGCTTTGTGCTTGAGATAACTGCAGTCCAATGGCTCAACTTGGGGAGGAGAGGGTTACAAGATTTCTTAAACTATATTGAAAATGGAAAGAGAGTCCTTAGTCACATAAAGAATGGCAACTCTATGGTCATAACAATTTCACTATCAAGAAAAAAACACTGGCCTTTGTTCATTTGAGAAAGGAAGCTCCACAAAGGGACTCCGATGAGACCAGTTACATGATAGCCACTATCGAATTAACAATTCTAAAACTGATTTGACCCTGAAATTCCCAAACTCACATGCTTCCAGTGGCTCTAGACTACCCACAGAATAAGCTCTAAACTCTAAAGAACATGGCAAGAAAACTTCTACCTTTGCCCCAGCCTGCTCTATGCAGGCTGAACAACTTTGATCTCCCACTTATATTCATATGGATGCATTCATAGGGCCCAGAATATTCATTATTATACCTGCTTCCACACTTTTTCTCAAGTCACTGGCTCACTTGAAATAATCTTCCTCCCTTCTATCTAAAGGCAACATTTCCAAAGCCCATGCCAAGCCCCACCTTCCCCTCCAGAGCCATCTGTCCAGAAACTTACAAAACTGAAGAACACAAAAAGCAGCCCAACTTCCAAAAATGGTTCCAGTTCTATTGGCCAGAAGCCTAGGGAGCAAACTTCGTTCATTCATTTGCATTGAAGGGAAAGCAAGCACTGGACTCAGGTCTCCCCAGAGGGTTGTAGGCAAGAGAAGTGCCTTTCCATTTTTCAAGGGAGCAATTTCAAGTCCTTGAAGATCAAGTTTAAGTCATTTCCTGACCCTACACCAACACTGTTTCTCCACAACTCCAGCCAGGTTCAACTCCTCTGGAAGTCTCAAATGTAGTTTCTGAATTAATAATTCCTTCCAGCTTTGATGTCTTTATTTGAAAGTTCCAGAAGAACAGAATGTTTTTTTAAAGGAAATGGGAGAAGTCATGCTCAAGGGAGGCATTATGGTAGAGAGAAAAGAGCTGTAACTTTCAAAAATGCATCTGGATGAATGAGACTAACTTCCTATGACTAATGTCCCCCAAACATTAAGCTAATGATTAAATTAAAAATGCAAATCCCCAAGATGTCATATGCTGCTGGGCGGACTGATGGAAAGGAGCCTTGCAAACAGTCCCAACATTGTGTGGGGAGCTGGAGAGGAGATGTGAATGAAAACAACAGAGAGCCATATGGTCCTAGCCAATGGTCAACAACCAAAAATTCAAAATCCAAGGACAGAGAAAACTCCACAGCTATAAAGCAATGTGTTTCTCCTACTCTATCTTTTATTCTGGCACTTATCCGGATGCGCTAACGTGATGGGGGATGGAGAACAGAGCAAAGTCTCAGGAAGCAAATCTGTAGGCATCTCTCACAGAGCTCTGCTTGGCAAGCTGTGTGACCAGTAGTGAGCTCCACCTACACACAGAATCACCACCCCAGGAAAATGAGTATGTGCGAGGTTTGTGTGAACTTGAAACAGCCATGCAGGTCTGCCCATTGATCCTCTATCTGTCTGTTAGAAATGAGACCAATACGCAAAAATCAAGGGGAGCCTGAAGTTGGCAGGATGTCCCAGGAATCCCAGCAAAGACTCAATACAGGACTCCTGTACCTTGGTGGCAACAGTGACTCAGGCAGTTCTGCTTATAGTGTACAGGAGACTTAGCAATCTTGTGTCCTCTCAGGGTTTGAAAATTGTAATTACTTGATTTTAGGTACCTTTTTTCCAAACTACCTCTGAGCAAGTAGCTGATTGTGTCCCATCCTCTTCAACATACAGTATCCTCCCTTATACCTGGGGGATACATTCCTGGATCCCCATTGGATGCCTGGAACTCTGGATAGTATGGAGCCCTATATATACTATGTTTTTCCTATATACACCTATGATGAAATTTAATTTATAAATTAGGCACAGTAAGAGATTAACAACAAAAATAATAAAATGGAACACTCATAACAATGTGTTACCATCACTACTCTTTGCATTTTGAGGCCGTTATTAAGTAAAATAAGGGTCACTTGAACATGAGCACTGCAATGCCATGACAGCTGATCTGACAACTTAGATGGCTATCGAGTGACTAATGGATGGTGAATGAAGACACCACGGATATTCTGCACAAAAGCATGAGTCCCATCACAGGTGGGACTGAGCAGGACAGCACAAGATTTCATCACACTACGCGAAACAGCACACAATTTAAAACTTATGAATTATTTCTGGAATTTTCTATTTAACATTGCAGACCATAGTTGACTGCCGGTAATTCAAACCACACAAAGCAAAACTTCAGATAAAGTGAAACTACTGTATTTATACCTGAAAAGCAGGGATTCTCGATCTGGCATTTAAGACCTCCTAGACAGTCTGAAAAGCCCCTGACATTGTATGCAACATCTTGCACCTACGAGGATTTTAGGAGAAAAAAAGTCGTAATTTTTATTCAATTTTCAAAGAGATTTATTAACTAAAATTGATTTAAAACCATCAGTTTGCCTTACGTAGCCAAGAAATGATGGTCTTACTGACAGAGAATATGAGATATTTTCTAGATATGTGAAGAACATTATAGTAGAACCTTATTAGAATCTGTTGCTTTGGTATAGAAACACCCACATTATAAACTCTCCTTTTTAGAGTAAAAGCAATACAATATGCATTCTTCTGCAGGGTACGTAACTTGATCAGAACCAATGCTATCAATAAGGGCTCTTTAAAGAGGTATTATTTTTAAGTGTGATTGATGAAAAAACATGCCCAGACCTCGCGGTGGCTCACGCCTGTAATCCCAGCACTTTGGGAGGCCGAGGCGGGCGGATCACGAGGTCAGGAGATCGAGACCATCCCAGCTAAAACGGTGAAACCCCGTCTCTACTAAAAATACAAAAAATTAGCCGGGTGTAGTGGCGGGCGCCTGTAGTCCCAGCTACTTGGGAGGCTGAGGCAGGAGAATGGCGTGAACCCGGGAGGCGGAGCTTGCAGTGAGCCGAGATCCCGCCACTGCACTCCAGCCTGGGCGACAGAGCGAGACTCTGTCTCAAAAAAAAAAAAAAAAAAAAAAAAAAAAAATGCCCAGACCTACCCAGAAGTTATTCTCATAACTTTATAAGCAATATTAAATTACAGATGCTATATGAGACATTACAAGCATGTCATTCAATGCACATGTATCTATATAGTATACTGTATATTATTAATATAGTCATACAATTTTAGAATTGGAAGAGACCAAGGATGCCTCCCTTTCTGTGCAGAAGTAATTAAGACCTAAGGTTACAGAAAAAGTCCTGCTCCAGAAGAGCCTCATCTTCTGAATTAAGCCCAAGGAAAGAGCTATCAAGGGTCTGAAACTATGGAAAAGCTGGGCCAACCTTCCTGGAAGACAATCTGGCATTTTCTTGTAGGTGGCATGGCTTTGTGCCCTTCCCTCCATTCCCAGAAGGCTGCTCCCACAGGGCAATTTCTGTAAACATGGGATTTTTTTTGTTTTTGCTTTTTGTGTTTTGAGAATTTCTACACTTCTCTCCAATGACCGCTTTCTTAAAAAATGCTATGCATGAGCTGGCCAGCCAGTCACCTCCTCATAAGGAAGAGCAGAGAGTCCTTGCATTTATTGGTAGGAGGAGTAAGGTTAGCATGCTTGTCCTTGTTTTCCTTCGCCATCTAGGGCTCTGGTAGGAATGGGGAGTCCTGAAATCTTATACAAAGGGAAGTCTTATTCCCAAGGCAGCCACCATCAGAGGTCTCAGCAGAGACCTCAAGCTGATCTTAAAGTTAAGCCGGTCTTTCACATTGACATTTTTTAAGAGTACATGCCAGTTATTCGTAGCATGTCCTTCAACTTCAGTTTGCCTGATGTTTCCTCATGGTTAGGTTCAGGTTATGCATCTGAGGCAGGCATTCCTCAGTACATCACAACAGGAGATACACACTGTCTTTCCACCCTCCTGCTCTCGGTCTCAGACCCAAGCTGTGCATCAGGACTAGGGAAGGCGATTCTCAGAGACACCAGTAAGACAGTAGTGTGCCAGGCTTCCAACTCAAAATGACCAAGTATGAATTTCCTGAGCTGACATCTTTGCCACCTCACCCCCAGCTCCTCATTCAAGCAGTATGATTTTCAGTTCATTTCGAGTTTCTTGGAGATGGCCTATAGCAGAAGCATTGCAGCCTGGCAGGCAAGAACAGGCAGGGAGGAGGACTCTGCTGAAGGGGCAGTCTCCTCCGCCCAGATCTTGCACCCTTCTGGGCTGACTGTGGCGGTGATGGAGTGAGGGGTCACCTCACTCTTGTTTTTACCTATTCAAGTCCAGCAATCTAAGGTACCTTCAGGATAACCCTCATCAGAGATGGGTAGTCACCACCCACCTGGGTAACCGGTCACCCAATCATTCCAGAGCTTTTTACTGAACATTCAGTCCCCATCTATTATTCATCTAGGCAGAGCCAGATGAAGGGGCAGAGGAGACCCGGTTGGAAGCACGAGATCAAGATAGCCCTCGGCAAAACTGTGGAGACTAAATAGCTTGTATTCAATGACCTCTGCTCTTTCCACTTTCTTTCCCCTTTTTCAAAAATAATTTTCTCCCTGGGGCCTAAGGCTCCCAAGCTTTTCTGAGTAAAGAAGATATTCACACTAAAATGCTGGGTGCTTTCTGCATATTCAGAGTACTATGCACAGTTTTTTTAACAGAAGGTCTCTTTTTTATGGTGCCAATATTATCCAAAAATAATAGCTAGAGAATGGTAGAATGTCCAGCAGCAATGGGGGAGCTATTCTGGGCCTTCTAAGCACCCTTCAAATCATTCCAAGGAGACCACGTACTGCCTACATGAATCTGAATCTGGTCAGCAAAGCCTTAATAGCTGCACTTGGAGCTGCTGCTCTTTCTAGCAATCCTAAGTCCCAGAGAGCTCTCATGAGGAATGAGGAGAAATATTTGCAAAGAGTGTGCTCAAAAGATCACTGGATTAAACACAATCCACTCCACCACTCAATCTGTTTAATATGTTGGTTACTTTATCTCTCAGGACCCGTTTCTTCAGTTAAAAAATGAGAAGTGATGTGGCTGGTTGATCATGAAGATCTTTCAGCTCTGAATTGCTGAGATTTTTATATCCAGACCTACTGTGATCGAAGCATTCAAGGAGCTAGAAATCACAAGTAGCATAAAATTTTAAAGTTAATAACTTGTAGAGTTTACTATGTGCTATTCTAAGTACTTAACCTGAATTAACTCATTTGATCCTCATAATAACCTCCAAAGTTGTGGCTCTTACCATCCCCATTTTACAGATGAGGAAACTGAGATGCAGATTACTTAGCTGGGGAATTGCAAAACAAGAATTTGACTACAAACAGCGTTAACTGTTCATGTTCTGAACCACTATGTTATGTTACTCTCAAAGTAGGGGAAAAAAAGTTTGCCACAGAGGAATTAGGTCAGTGGGATGGGGGCTGGGGGCAAGAAGAAAGAGGGTTAAGGATGCTGATGAGGAGGGGTGATTCTGCTACCCTAACTGAGGTTCACACGCCGTGATGGGAGCTCATAGCAAGACAGTCAGACCCAGCCTGTCTGAGTGTATGGAATTAGCTCCCTTGCTGACACGTGAAGTCTCTGAAAGCCTGTGGACATCTTTCAGCAGAACTGGCAAGCGGAGGGAGGTTCTTTGTGGCCTGCTGTGTGGCTTGTGCCATCCTGGACCCAGCTCGGCTTCTCCAAGCCAGTCCTCTTTAGGCTAGCTGCTGCCAGGCCAGGATGATTTCAGAATCCAAGGACCTGAGAGTTGGTCTGAATTCCTTTCCCCTGAAACTCCCCAGGCCTGATCACACATAGACACACAGATCTCCAAAAGAACATCCAAGAAAGAAACTCTCCCCTTTCTGGAATTCTGATGGCAAATAAGCGAAGATGTATGCGTTGTTGTGACTATGCGAGACAGACAAAGACAGATAGACAGAGACAGACAGACAGAGAACTGACTCTCAAATAGCATGGAAGCTTGTTTAAAACTTTCAGTTTAAATAAATGTAGATTCTATTCTGGTGTTCGGGAGCCTCTGTTGGTATCTTAAAATCAGTGATTTAGCTCCACCTAACTTTTACAGTTTTTTTTTTTTTCCTAGTTACAGTCTGGCATAAAAGTGTCAGTTTGTTATGTGGGTGGGTAATGGTATGCTTTTAATTAAGGAGGTAGAGACTAAATTAAACCACATCAAGTGGCTAGTGTTTCTTTAATTTCAGATTGTGGTTGCCTTACCCTAAGCATAAGGAGTTGGGCTAGATCATGATTCCTCTTTAATGGTTATGGCTGAAAAACTCCATCTTGTGACCAGCCTCATAATTGATTAAACACAACTGTGGACTCCCATGATCAGGAAGTGCAATTTTGCTGGTGTCGCTTCAAGTCTAAAATACCTCCAGGGTAATTACAGGCTCAGAGGCAATGCAGAAGGCTTTGAAGTAGGGAAAGAAAAGATTAGGGCATCCAGAGGATCTGTGCCTGTTCATTTGTCCTTCATGGCAAAATCTTTAAAGCCTTTGGGGAAAGATGCCTCTGTCTGGGGGTAGGGGGTCGTCCAGTGGGCTGGGAGTCCTGGTCTGGTTGCAGATGTGCAGGGGATGGGTGTGTCCCAGGTCACAGCAAGCTTCAGGGGTCACAGCAGCACCCCCTGAGAAAGGCTGCCTTTTCCTGCTTGCTCCTAATGAAAGTTTCATGCAGCTCTGATTCTCTTTGCCTTGGGTTTAGTATGCCCGACTGGCCGTGACTTGCGCTGTCCACTCGAGGCATGCAGAAGTGCACTCTGTCTGACCAGCTAAATTATTTACCTTGATAGCAATTATCAAACACTACAAGCCACACTCTAAAGGCCTCTTCGTGGTTCACGCAGAGAGAATATAAACCTTATTCAGAAATGGAGAGAGTGGAGGACTCTTTTTTATTTTTTAATTAACAATAGGTTAGAAGTAAAAACCATTATTAGTGACAGTACATAATGGGAAAGCAAGACCTGCATTGTTAAGAGGACTATTTAAGGAAATGTTAATGAATTGAATTTGAAGTTCCTCATAGTCAACCTGGAGACAACTGATGGTTTCGAAGTGGAAAAGTGAAGAGTTATTAAATGTTGTATATTTATTGCACTAATAATCAGATTGCCAGAGGCTGGCAGGGATGCAAATATTGGTCCATGTTCTGTTTAACCATTAGCTGTGGTAATGCAAGAGATTCACTGGGGGGAAGTTAGCGTATACAAACATTTGCCAATGCCACTGTGATGAATAGTGTGTGGATTAGGACCATAACTACTCCAATCCCATGAAAGCCCATTTCAGCAGAGGATAGAATCATAACTTAACTTTTTATTGGCACTTCGAGAGAGAAGAGGACAATATTTCTGGCAGCTGCCATTTTACATAGTCTGCTGTTTTGTTTTGTATTCGAAAAAAATAATACCTTTCTAGTTGCCCAAGTTTTCTAGCTCTCCTAGGAGGAGGTGAAATAACCTCCTGTCCTGGTATGTAGGGAAGAGCCCTTTCTAAGGCAGAGGCCCCTCTGATGCAAAACTGCAAAGATCCTCTGGCACCTTTGTTATAACTATTCCAAAGAATGACTCACTTGACTTGGAGCAAACCTCACAGAGTAAAAGAGCATGAACTCTAGAGATGGAGTCAGAATTCTGAACTCAGAATTCTGGATGAGCCACTACTTCTCTAGATGAATCAGGAAAAGCCATTTATCTCTCTGGACCATAGTTGCTTCATAGTCGCAGAATGAGGATCCTAATTCCTACCTTGCAGGACTAGGACGAGGACCAGTGTTAAATTGTGCCAAATGCCTAATATGGGGATGTAACATAATAGGTTCTTGTTTCAGGGAAATTCCCTACATTCAGACCCTAACATGGAGATTAGAGGATTCACGTGTTTGTGATTGGATAAGAAAGTCTTCCCAGGGCATACCTAGACAGGAATAGGAGAAGCTGGTTAAGAAAAGGGGGCCAGCCAGAAAAGCACTTTTTTTTTCAGGTGAAATCCCATGGAAGACAGCTTCAGCTCGATCTCCAGGGCAACACTAAAGTGTAAGTTATGCCTCTGAGTTGCCAGAAGGCAAGAAACTGGGTGTTCATGTTCCTGGGCCTTTTAGTCATTGGTTAAACCCTCCTCAAGGGAACATAAACTCCCAGAACTTTTCAACTCTTCAAACCATAAGCAAAGTATGCTCTAGCGGTCTGAAGACAGTGCTCTAGAAGAAGAGTTGCAGTTCCTGGCTGCTGGAGGCAAAGCAACAAAAACCCCAAAAGCAACTCATCTGGGTTGGCACAAAATGGGTTAAAAAAGGGAAGAAAAGAAAAGAGAAGAAAGAAAAGAAAAAGATCCAAGGACATTTGGGCAGAGTATCACATTATCCACTAGAGTGTCTGATACAGCATAGCTATTGCTATAATTACCATCCATTGTATTAACTACCTTGAGGTTATCCCGCAACCTCTCTCCAGCAGGTTTTCAACTGAATGTGAAGAGACGGAGGAAAGGGGCCCATCACCTTCTTCCCTGAGCTCACTTTAGCAAGGACATGGTGAGCACTTGCTCTTCAGCAATTGCTCTTCACCACATCAGATCCTGTGGGGAAGACACACACAGGAAGTATAGGCTCCATCCCAGTCCATAGAGAGAGAGAGAAATACCCCAGTGGAAAGTCAAAGAGCTACACAAAGTAGAATCTCATTCTTTGGAGGAAATAGAACAAAAGCAGGAGACAAAGCAGTTCCTGATTCTGCTGTCACTGGTGAAGAAAAATGGTGTCAGTGGAGAAGGTATTGAATATGGGATTTGCAGAGAGAAAAAATGGAGGCTCCAGGGGAGATGATCTATGGCCAGGTTTAGGGAGCAAAAGAGTGGAACAGCAAACAGGCACTGGATGAAACATCCCTTTCTCCCCCAGATCCCCCCTAAATGTCAGCTTTTTGCCATTAAGAACCTTACATGAAGATGAAAATATGAAGAAAAATTTTCTTTGGAGCCCATAATTTGCAGCTACCAACACTTAGAGGAGATCAAAAATTTTCAACTGCAAGGACCCATAAAAATCATCTAGTATAAACCTCTTGTTTTATTAATGAAGAAATTAAGGTATAGGGATTAAACAAGCCACCACAAGCCATAGCAGAATCCCACATCTTCTTGTTCCTAATTTAATAATCTTTGTATCATTCCACATTAAATCTATAAATACGAGATTTACAAGTGCCCAAGAATGGCATCCTTCAACCCCATACACCAAGGGACAGTAAACTATGGCCCAAAGGCCAAATTCTGCTTGCTGCCCATTTTGGTAATAAAGTCTTATTGAAACATAGTCATGTCCTTTTATTTATGTATTGTTTATGGCTATGTTCACACTCCAGTGACAGAGCTGAGTAGTTCTGACAGTGACTGCATGGGCCACAAAACCTAAAATTACTATCTGAATATTTACAAAAAGGCTTACTGACCCAGCCATAGACCATTCGGAGGATGGCACTACCAAAGGAAAGAACCTTCACCTACCTGTGAAGATAGGATTGGTAATTCAGTCAGGAGGCTGTTTAAATGCCTTGCTGAGTAAACCTGGAAATGAAAGGGAGTGGAATTGGCTGGAAGTTCATGTCACAAACAAGTGTCTGCCCTGTTTTCCCAAGGTCAGCCCACTCTAGGGCAAAGAGGCCTCACACACCACATGGACAATTAGGCCAGAATACCTTTCCAGCCCATGTAAAGATATAATTCAGCAGTGAGACCCTCAAAGCTATCTTCCATCGCTGTCATTAAACTTCCACCCTGGGGACCTTCCATCTCACATCTTCATGCTGTGTGTTCCCAGTCCTCCCTGCAATGCCACCTAAACAAAGGTGTACACATTTTCTTCGCTTCAGTTCTGCCAGGATTATCTCTATTTTCACTTATGGAATAATCATATGTATTTAGCAATGACAGTCTATAAATCTAATTGTTGTAACAAGAAAAATCACTGATATTTGTTATCTGCTCAGGTGGATTCTTGGACAAATGGAAGTGAATTTCATCAAACCACATACTTCAAAGAGTTTAAGGAACACGTCACTAAGCATCCAGCCCACATAGAAACAGTCTAATGCTACATAGGAAAAGCTTCAGAAATGCTGTTACTTCTCTAACAGATAAATATGATTCAAAGCACTGACAAATGATTTCATTAACATGGTACCTTTCAGTTGGCCAATGGGGTTGGCTCAGAAGCTGGATAAAGCCAAACTATTTGCAGGTATCATTCTGATTGTATTGCTACTGGGGAATATTTTATTTGCAAAAACCTGAGATGATTTTTCTCCCACATATAAAAGGGAGTTATTCTTTGGGAGCCTGAAAAGACACATCATCACCAGAATTATAATATTGTAATAACATATACAATATAATTAACATATGGAACATAATGATATATTACATGATATTTAAATTTTTAAAATTAGGGGAAATAAACAGATGGTCTGAAGACCACTGCCTATGTCCAGTTGAAACCCAGCTTTTAAAGGAAACACAGCATTTCTCCATCAGTGCCTCAAAAGATGACGTAAAATCACATCTGACAGCCTCAAGTGAGCCTCAGGTGCTACCTGCTCTCACACATTCAGCATCCCTCTAACAAGAAAGAACACTGTGGTGAGTAGGAAACTAACACTCTAAAGTGGAAAGGGTAAGAAAATGTCCTGCAATATCAGCTAGAAGGGTTCCTCAGAGACCCACATCTAAGTAGTGAGCAGGGGAACCAGCTCCGCTCAGAAATACTGATAAACTGTGATGTGTACCGTTGCTCCTCTGTGGAGACAGGATCGAGGCCTGGAAGTAGCCGATGTTTTTAGAAAATCTTGCCCAGGAGGAATCACTTCTCAAGAGTGTTGGTTACCTGGCTGAGAGGTAGAGGTGGTGGTTGCATGGGTAAATATGGCCAGTGTCTCTGATTAGCAGGAATATCTAAATGCCCATATTGTTCAAGTATGCGCATATCTGCTTACCACATTTGGACACTTGAATAACGACAGCCTTAAAGATAATGGAAACAAACTTTTAATAAGCCTAGCATCATTTATACATGCTGCTTGGGCTCCGTTCCTTCCTGAGAGCTATCCTGAGAAGCTGAGTACCTCCTGCATGGATGCTGCCAGAACAAGAAGAGTTTGGAACTCTCCCTTATGACTATTTGTTAGATCATTTAGCAAATTCTTGGGAAAGACCCCAACATACCAATCTTTATCTTTTGAGAGTGTATTTGACTTTTGGAATGCTCTGAAAATTGCTCAGAATCAAGCATAGCAAACAAGGTGAGTAATTGAGTTGGGGAATATCATGTCAGATTGAAAATGAGATTCAGCTAGGAAGCCATGAGTCCACTTTCCTTTACAGACTCAAATCCTGGTTCTGAGTTTGGGAGCAAAAGACAAATCCTCCACCACACCTCGAGCAATGGCAACCTGGACACAAGTCATAATATTGAAAGATACATTGAGATGTCACTTGGCTTGAGAAAATGTTAATCCCATGACTTTTCAGTGCCACTAGGTATGTGAGAAGAGGACACACAGATGGAGTTTCAAACAACGTAGCCAGCTGTGAATGTCCACATATTTACAAGGCAAGGGAGGTCTGCAAATGCCATGGAGGTTTTTTAGGGGTCATCAAACTACTGCCTGGGGGCTAAATCCATCTCACCAGCCCACTGCCTGTTTTATAAAGTTTTATTGGAGCAGAGCCATGCCCATTTGTTTATGTATTGTCTATGCTGTGTTCGCCCTACAATGGCAGCATTGAGTAGTCGCCACAGAGAACCCATAGCCAGCAAAGAATAAAACATTTACTATTTGACTCTTTTTTTTTTTTTTTTTTTTTTTGAGACGGAGTCTCGCTCTGTCGCCCAGGCTGGAGTGCAGTGGCGGGATCTCGGCTCACTGCAAGCTCCGCCTCCCGGGCTCACGCCATTCTCCTGCCTCAGCCTCCCAAGTAGCTGGGACTACAGGCGCCCGCCACAACGCCCGGTTAATTTTTTTTTTGTATTTTTAGTAGAGACGGGGTTTCACCGTTTTAGCCGGGATGGTCTCGATCTCCTGACCTCGTGATCCGCCCGCCTCGGCCTCCCAAAGTGCTGGGATTACAGGCGTGAGCCACCGCGCCCGGCCTATTTGACTCTTTACAGGAAAAGTTTACCAACCTCAGTCCTTTGTGATTAAGTCTGTTTTAGAGGCTAAAGTAGGGAACATGTGGTGAATTGTTTCTTTTCCAAATTTTCCTCAATGACATTTGACCTTTTTATCTCCATGGAAGGTGATAATAGAATTTGGCTTAGGCTGTTATTCATCTCCCATGGCTGCTGTAACAAATTGTCACAAACTGGGTGGCTTACAACCACTCACAATTCTTGAGGCTAGCAGTACAAAATCAAGGTGCTGGCAGGGCCTTGCTCTAAAGGCTCTAGAGGAGCGTCCTTCCTTGCCTTTTTGGCCTCTGGTGACTACAGATAACCCTCAGCATTTCTTGGCTTATAGACCCATCACTCCAAACTCTGCCTCCACCTTTGCGTGGCCTTCTCCCTGTGTGTCTGTGTCTCTGTGTCCAAAGTTCCCTCTTCTTACAAGGACACCAGTCATATTGTACTTAGGGCCCACTATAATTCTGTATGGCCTCATCTTAACTTGATTACATTTGCAAAGACCCTATTTCCAATTAAGGGATCATTCACAAAGTCTTGGGGGAAAACACTATTCAACCCAGAACAACTTGGTACTTAGTACTCAATAAATGTTATTACTTTGCTCTTCGTGATATATTCTGACCAATTTCCAAGCGAATTGACTGCTTTCCCTCCACAACAGTCATAAGGAGTTTGTTGTTCTACCTTTCTGTACCCCGATACCTGCTGTCCCCTACTTAGAAATATCTTCTCTCTTCTCAATACAATGACTCCTCTTAACTTCCTCCTGAAGATGCACATCAGAGTAGCCCATTCATGGCACTTCTGTTCTTTTCATTTCCTAATTCTTCACAACACTGGTACTTCACACACCACATGGACAATTGGGCTAGAATACCTTCCTCTGATTTGACTTGTGGGTAAGACACAAACATTTAGTCCATTCTTGATATGAACAGAACTACTGTCTAGCAAAGAGCACCAAAGCTGCAGCAATTCTCCACTGCTCTCTTCCCCCTGTGTTTCAATGGTCATCCTTAGGTATTTTGCCATTTTAAATAATACTTGCCCTTGTCTAGTGCTATCAAGAAGCCACAAATGTTAATGGAAATCCCTACCTACTACCAACAGCCAGTATCAATAATGAATGGGTTACCAGGTAAAATGCAGGACTCTCCATTAAGTTTGAATTTCAGATAAACAATGGATAATTTTTTAATGTAAGTATACCCTGTGCAATATTTGGACATATTTATACTTAAAAAATTATCCATTGTGTATCTGAAATTCAAAATTATCTGGGCATTATGTATTTTTATTTGCTAAATCTAGCAACCCTAAATAATGATCCATTGGCTACTTAGGGGTGCAAAGGACTTCACTAACTGTACTACATAATATTTACCTCCCTTACCCTGCTGTCAGTACCTTAGAAAGCTCAGCTTTTAAGGCCAGCTATTAGCAACTAACACTTAGCAATTTTTTCCTTCTGCATCTAAGGAGAATTTTCTAAGAATGCTGGCAGTATAGTCTACACATGTTGCTAGTACTAGCATTACACTGGCAACATTCAATAACCATGTGGCTTTAAGAAAGTCATTTAATCTGTCCCTCTCAGCCTCAGTCTACTTATCTGTAAAGCAGGAATAATTAAGGTTGCTATGAAGATTAAAGTAAATAGTCCTTGTAAAAGCACAGTACTTTGCATATAACAATCACCTAATATATTTCCATAGCTTATAACTATCATTACCCTTTGGGACTTACTGCATGAATTGTGGGGAGTGCATCTGCCCTGGACCTCAGATTCTCAAGTGCATCAAATGCAGGCTTTTGTTATGCTCTCCAGATGAAATTATACCATTATAGTTGGCCTCATCAAGATACCCTGACAAGGCTGAAAAAAGATGCTCACTGTGTAGCTTTAAACCTGTGTGCCCCTATATACTCTATGGGTATTATTTTTATAAATCTTTTCCTGATGGAAACAAAAGAATGAGAAAAGAACAAATCCTGTGGGTATCAAGTGAATAGCAAATATCCATTGCATCACAGTTTTATAATGCTATTTTGGGCCTCTTATTTTTTAAAATACCGAGCACGTGAAAAATACAGATAATTCAGGGCCTGTGCTGACCTCTGATGACAAATCTGTGAATTCACTGCCAAGGGTGATGAGCAGGGACCCTCTGCAGCCCAGGGCTTCCAGCCAGTGGACACACAGGTGTGACTCACATGGGTCACAGGTGAGGCCTCAGGAAGACAAGATGGGACCAGAGTCCAAGACCAGTGCCTCAGCCATAAACAGCTCATCCATCTCCTGCAAAGTGCCCTACAAATATTATCATTTTACATTTGTGCCGTGACATAGAAAATGTTGGGAAGCACTGTTCTAGACTCTAGGGGAAGCTCAGATCTTTGCCACCTTGACCCCCTAAATCCACCCTTAAGGAGGAAGAGGAGCTCTGAAATGGATCAATGACAAGTTGAGTCCTTAGAGACACACAATTATGGGGCCCTCTATTAAGGGTAGAGCCTTTAATGAATAGGAGGAGTAAATGGAGAGTAAATAAAACCAAACTGGAGAAAACTCTTCTTGGAGTGTTTCTCTTTTACCTTCCCTGCCGTGTTTTCCTGTGTAAGGTTCCACTAGCTGTGTGTCTGATGGGAATATCTTACTGCTTCTGATCCTAGATTGAAGGCCAGAGGGAGAGAAGAATAGAATGAGGGCTTGGGTAATTTCTGCTTTGTCCTTTAGGGAGGAGCTTGTTTCTCTAATTTCTTACTCATTTCTTCCCATAATTGTGAGTGAGGTAAGATCCAGACAGCCCAGGCCAGGAGGTCCATGGGCACTGTGGGTGGTAGGCATTTGCTGTCTCTGAGACAATGGCCAGGCATGACAATATCATGCTGTCAGGTGCAGTGAGAAAAGCAGAGGTTTAGAACTTGAACAACGTTGGGATGAAACCCAACACAAAAAATGGTTTGGTAACTTGGGCAAGTCATTTTCTCACATGTGAAGTGGAAATCATAACATCTTCCTGGCTGGTATGTTGGGGGGATTTAAGGAGTCAAAGTGAAGAAGAAAAAGCTGGGATCATCCTGCCTGACATATACAAGAACTTAGTAAGTGTTAGTTTCCTGCCATGCTTCTCCCTATTTCCCCATTTTTCTTAAAGAATCCTAAAGAAATACATTTCCACAGACACGCTGTCTAGGGAGGCACCTTGCCCCCTGGCTCCACCGTCCAATTAGGTTTCATATGCAGCCACCTCATGCCCACTCCCTCACCCCAGCCTGACTCTCCTGAGTTTCTAATGACTACATCCTCACCACACTGTGAAGGTTCCCAACTACATCAGCCATTCAGTCATTAGCACTTAAAGTCTGCTCTTAGCAATTCCAGTTGTTAAAGAGAAACTTTTTTCATCTTTTCAAATATTTTTTAACATATTTCAACAAAATAGGACCCTTCTGAATGAGGTTCCTCACTCTCCCATAATACTCCCTGGGCTTGAGTCATCCAGTAATTACATTGCCCATGCCCCAAGCCAAGCTAATCTCCCAAGACCACAGACCCAATCAGGCCTCTCTCCTCCTCAGACACTCTGCGGCTCTCCAAGTCCCCTGGCCTGCCAATCAATGACCTCTATGATTCTGCTCAAGCAAATCTTTCAGCTGTAGTCACTCTTGCATTGGCATTCCAACTTCAGCTAAAATGAAAATGAATGCCGCACATGACCCTCACTTTCTTCTGTCATTCCGTGCCTGGCATGCCCTTCCTCATTTCCACATGCACAACACCCCCTCAGAAATATGCTTTCCCCAACCGCTCATGTTGATATGTTCTCTTCTCTGAACTCCCAGAGCAATTAATTATCTGTCTTGAATGATAGATATTTAAATAATAATAATTAAAACAACCATCTCAACCTCTTATGGAGCCCTCACACACCCAATGTCTCCTAGTATTTACATCTATGTGATTGCATCAACTAGATTATGATCTCTTTTTATTTCTTATTTCTCTCTATGCTCTCCAGAGCATCTGACCCACTGCTTTCCACATAGAACCATGCACAATAAAAATTAAAAGAAGAAATGAAAGAAGAGGTCTCAAGAGGGAAACTGCCTTCGGGAATCAGATGCTGTCAAGAAGACAGATTGATGACTTTGACTTCAAGGCTTCTCTTACCCTCTTTAAAATATACTGATCTGATATTTTTAATGCTATGTACTTGTTTCACACATATTTCATGTTCTCACACTATGTGCAAACTAAGTGCCTTGATAGTGTAACTAATGAAGGGCCACAGAAACATCCTTTTCATCAAGTAAAGGGACTTGAGACATGATCATAAACATATATTGATAGCATAGCCTCAGATGGATGACCTGAGGCAAGAAATAAAAACAAATGTTCCAGAAGTTTAAAAGAGGTCCAAATCTTCTAATTATGAGAGCTACACCCAGACCAGTTGGGCTGGAGTCTACAGGAGCTAATGAGATTCAAGGATGAGTGAGTCCAAGTCAGTGGACTCTGTCAAAGTTATGCATATGGAAACAAAGCACATGTTGCCCTATACCTTGCCATGCAGTGATACATTCAGAGATTACCAGGTCCAGAACTACAGAGGAGAGAGTGCCTTTAATATAACTCAGTGGCTATGGGCCTTGGTTTCCTCATCTATAAAATGGAAATCACATTAGCTCCTTCATAGGTTTGATATGAGATTGAAATGAAATTATATTTGTCAAAAGTCTTCTGTTATCTTAGGGACATTGCCTATTCCAAGAATGGTAGCTAGCATATTTATTATTGCAGTATTTCCTCAACTTTAAGATGCCATGAGTTGGAAGGCACATATTTGATTTAAAAACATCTTTTAAAGGGAGTAAAAGGAGGAAAAAAATATGTTAAATCTACACATAGACTATAAGAAGGATGCTGATTACAGATATCTTCAACTGCTAAAAAGATATTTCCTAGAACTGAGGAAATATGGTAGGTAGTAAATAGTATGCCTCAAGAATCTGTGGATTCTGTTTAATTTCTTTGAAGTTTAAATGCAGACCAAGTCTTTATAAGTCAGAGACCTCAGGATATTCATGTCTGCCAAAGAAAGGTCCTGTAGCCCAGACCCCAAAGGGTGGAGCAAGGACCCTGAGTGCACACACACGCAGATACCAGATATGGAAACCCAGGAACAAATCACCCTTCACAGTAAACTTGCTCATTGTCTGAGCAGAATCGTGTTCTTTTAAAAATAAAACTGTGAGTGGGAGTGCTTGCGTTCTGGAATAGAGTCTTTTTTTCTTCCCTTCATCCCATGTTCCTTGGCTACATGCTATTATGTGATATTCAGGACTGTCAAACCTTCTGGAGCCATAAGCATTTTTCAGACAACCAATCTCAATATGCATTATCAAAATTAGATCTTTCTGTGCAGATGACAATTATGTATTATATGGTTACATGGTTATGAGTCTGTGACACCGTATTGTTAGACTTGGGGTATTGACTTTTAACAATATGTTACCTTATTGTATTTGTTGTCACATTATGCCTGGATTGCAGCATTTGTCTCGTGGCCCCACTCACGCTGCAATTAGTTCCTCGGTAAGTGTCAAACAGCATTGGGGGAAAGAGTGGGTGAAAGGTAACTTGGAGATGATTTTCTTTTACAACTGTCATTTATAAAAGAACTTCAATCGCTCCAGAAAAATACAAGTTGTATTCTCATCAACAAAATTGCCTCTAAACAGAATGACAACTCCAGTTGGGAGTTTGAATATTCCAAAGGTCTTGGATACCACCCCACGGTCACAAAAGAACAGGTTGCAGGGCGGGGAGTGAGAGAAGGAATAGGACATAAGAAATCCCCGTATTCATTTCTATAAACACAAGCTCAATGCAGTTTAAACTCATAAACATGCTAAAAGGAGCTAGAGGTAGCCTGTTACTTTGTCATATATTTTTATAGGCCTATCTGAATGGTTTCAGATTTGACATAGTAACTGCCTGTTACTAGAAATAAACTGTAAGTCAATTCCATGCTGCCATAATTCACTGCCCAGGGTTGTTCAAAAAGATTTAGTGATGCCCATGATGGACAGCAAACCCTGTGATGTTTTCATTTTCACTTGGTGTTTTGTCATGCCTCCAGCTTGCTGACCTCTAGAGACCCAGAAGGAGCAGACCTTCCCAAGGTGTCACTGTTCCTGCCAAGTCAGTAAGAGACTCGTTGCTGCAAGAAAGCAAATGAGACATTCTTTCCATGTCTCTAGGTCTGTCTGCCTTCCTCTTTATTTCGAGAGCTTGACAATCATCATTCCCGTATAAGTGACCTCTTTCTGAATAAATGGAACCAAGGCTACACATACCACCCAGCAAGAATGAGGTGCCTGGAAAGTAGCAATACCTCATCTCCTTGGCTGGCATTTTCTTTTGGCTCAAGGCTTTGGCTACATCTCTACCATGTCACGCACCCAGATGGAAAGTGAAAAATCCATTCAGCCATCTGGCTGTTTCTGTCTACACAATACCATGCATCTGCAGCCATCTGGGAGACGGACTGAATTTTTTCACTTTCTGCCTGGTTATTTGGTGTGGTGTAGATGCAGTCTTTTACTAAGCTGAAGTGCCTCATAACCCTCTGCCCCATTTGAAAGGCTAAAAAAATATTAGAAGACTCCAGGATAACACGGCCTATTGTGTCATTCTGGAAAATAAATGGAAACTTTGTGAATTACAGTATAATATAAACTGCAAGAAATAATAAGAGTAAGACTATTGTTTATCAAACAAAACAAACACAAGAACTGAGTCAAGTAATTATTTCTCAACTTGGTTTGTCCCAGGCAGCTAACACAATATTCTCAAGGGCGTATTATTACAATTCTTTCCTGGGGTTGGATATTAGTCTAAAAGACATCTCAAATGGACTCTTGTGCTGGGAATTATGGTTGAACTAAAAAATATATGACTACCATTTACCCAGCAATTCCATTACTGGGTATATACCCAAAGGATTATAAATCATTCTACTATAAAGACACATGCACATGTATGTTTATTGCAGCACTATTCACAATAGCAAAGACTTGGAACCAACACAAATGCCCATCAGTGATAGACTGGATAAAGAAAATGTGGCATATATACACCATGGAATACTATACAGCCATAAAAGGGATGAGTTCATGTCCTTTGCAGGAACATGGATGAAGCTGGAAACCATCATTCTCAGCAAACTAACACAAGAACAGAAAACTAAACATCACATGTTCTCACTCATAAGTGGGAGTTAAACAAGGGGAACACATGGACACAGGGCAGGGAGCATCACACACTAGGGCCTGTCAGGGGGTGGTGGGCTAGGGGAGGGATAGCATTAGGAGAAATACCTAATGTAGATGACAGGTTGATGGGTGCAGCAAACCACCATGGCAGGTTTGTACCTATGTAACAAACCTGCACGTTCTGCACATGTATCCCAGAACTTAAAGTATAATTAAAAAAAAAAAAAAAAAGTATGACTTCTAGGCCCTAATTAGTGTCTCCAAAAAGAGACTCTCTCTGTTCCTCAGAGTTCATTCTAAAACAAATAGAGAAATTTATGAAACACTTCCCAAGAATCATGTTCAACTTAGCAGAATTTCCATTCAAATTCCAGAAACTCAGTATATTAGCAACATTAAGAGCTTAATAGTATGAGGTGGAGGGGTGGGTATAAGGGAAGTATAAATTGTGGGAAAATGTAAATAGTGATTGTGCAAATGAGGGTTTCCCTGGTATTGTAATTAAACCTCTTGGAATTCTGGGGTACTTTCTCTTCCCCTAGCTCCTTTCTGAAGCTTATCTCTGGCAGGGTCTGGCAGCTTTCCCTAAACTTCAACCTCAGCAGACAGCAATGCTCAACTCAGTTTCTGAAGTTTTCATTCCACATACTGTTGGGTAAAATATAAAAATGATTAAATAATAGAAATAGATATGTAAAAATCATGATTAAAACATCTGGCCAAGGGAAGGGGGATAAGGATGGGCTAGGTCAGCAGGCACCCCAGGACTCGAGACCAACCTTTACCCTGAAGATAGCTTTAGCTTTGTCAGAGAAAGGATGGAGGGCATTCAGGGCCCAGAGGCAAAAAGAAAAGTAAATTTATGAAAAGTGAGCTTAGGGGATAAAAGCAAAGTCCTTGCTGCTTCTATTTCAGCATTATAAGCAAGAATCTCCCTGCACACATTTAAATGGCATGTTCACATTTTATGAATCAGGCCCTTAGTTTTAATTGCTTCTTGTACTATGGGCCAATTAAGGATGGGTCTGGAGGGCAGGGATCATTCCCACAGCCTCTGAGGTTCTGAGAGGTGGGGCTTGCTTAGCCTGAGGCACCCATTCACACTTGTATTAAAAAAACAAAGAAAAAAAACAGGAAAAGAAAGACCAAGTGCACCATTAAACACCTCTGATAGGAATGCATACTTTATACAGGCTGAAAGCAAAAACTGGAGGCCAAAAGTTCCCCTTTGGCCCCATCTCCTGCTTTCAAATAAAATCAATTACAACGTTTCTCCTTGTCTGAGACATGCAAAGCTAAATACCAATATGTACAGACCCAGTAGTGTATCTTGAGAAGCTGCCAATAGGTTTGTAAGCCCTCTGAGATCTCCTGTCTTTTTATGTACAATTGATCCCCTGAACCTTTATGCAATACTGGGGTTAAAGATTAAGAGGGTTTTCTTAAATATATATATATATATATATATATATATATATATATATATATATATATAAATAAATACCAACTGCATAAGATACACATATTAATGGACTCCTAGTTTCTACATAGCAACTCCAATATTGTAAAGTACCAAAGTAAGTGGAAAAACTTGAAACAAAAATAAAATCTGTTATTAAGCTATACATTATATTTTATATACCTTGACATACGTAGAGTATTTCCCCTGCTTTGTTTTCACATCAGAAAATTAAAATTTGTAGAAGGTATACAAATAATATATTTTTCAGTGATTTCCAAAGCTTTTAAAATAAGCTTTAGGTCTGATCACCAGATCACCTGCACCCCACATTTCAGAGCTGAACATGTCTAAATGTTAATTTTGAAGAGCCAGTGGGAGGCAGTGAGAGGGTCAAGCTAAACAGCACATGCACCTAGCAATAGCAAAGAGCATTTCTCGTTTGTAGGTCACGGTTCAAATCCCGCTCCAGTCAGCAGGACCCCAAAGCCAAGACCATTTAGTTGCTCAGGGATCTGGTGAATTGAGTTGCTATGAAAAATCTGGTCACCAGCCCAGCTGGACATCTCATCAGAGCAAACAGATTGTTCAGAATTTACCCTATTCCCCCCAACTTTCTTTCCTTCCTTCCCCCCACATTGTCCTACCAATGGAGCCTTCCAAGAAACCCCAAGTGCCTGGGCCTTGGGGTTCCAGAAATGTAGGCTGCCAAACTATACATTTCATATATAGATACACACACACACACACACACTCCCTCTGTCTACTGTCTGTATTATATATTCACAGTCCACACACACATACACAGTGTCCAGTCGCTATCTGTAGTCCCAGGAGGTAAATCACCTTCCTCTGCTATTAATCCAGCACCTTTTACTGACATTAGATTTGCTTGTAATTTTTCCCCCCAATATACACAGCCACGCTACTCTGTAGATAACCAACTAATTGAACAATATAAAAATAATTTCCCAATTTATGATAAACATGACAATGAAGCTTCCTCATTTCCCTAATGAAGAAAGGAAGCATCGAGATAAAAGTAAAACAATTTATTAGGTTTTGTTCCTGCACCACTGAAATAAAATAGTAAACCAACTTGGCAGTGACTACAGGGACCCAGCATGTGCTCATTAACTCTTTGCCAGGTACAAAGGTGTCCTAACAGCTCTGTTTTAATTCCATGATCCGGCCCATAATCCAGTGCTAAACAATAATTAGTATTGACTTGTTAAACAGTAGTTGAAGCCTTCCTTTAAGCACCTCAAATATGCTTTAAGTTTCATAGACGAAGAATCAAAGGAAGGGGGAGGCATAGTTGAGAGAAGAGAGAGAGAAGCATGAAGGTATTTACGGTTTTTAACTGTAGAGAAAGAACTTTTCTCCTCCCTGGTAACTTTGCGAGTATTAACGCATTGTTTCCAGACCCACGCCGGCACTTTATCCACCCCATGCCTGCTCACTGTGTGAGAAAGTCTTTCCTTCCCTAATAGCTTGCCCCCACCCCACATTCCCTTTTACTTTGTTAGACTGACCAAATGTTGGACAATTTTCTCCCCTCTTCTAGTGCAGTTTAAATTCTTTCCTGAAAATGGCTCTTTTCATCCTATGCATCAAGGTTCATTTAAAATCAGCAATGAATGAAGACCTCTGGCACTGTGGATTTTCCATGGTTTTATTTATTGTTCAATTGTGTATTTGGAAACACAAGAGGGGACACTGACCACATTTGCTGGGGAAGTGATGAATGCACCCATATGGGCATAGGGAACAATGGGCTATACAACCCCATGGATGCCCTTGGTAAGGGCAGAGATGCAAAGCTGGCTCACCAGCTTGCCTCACATGCTGCTCCCACTTTATCACCTGATTCTGCCATCTCTTCCTGGTGCACAACTAAAGCAAGAAAGAAAAGCACTAGGTGTGAGAGGTGTCTACATTTTATTGCCTCATAGTATTTCTACTGGTTACATTCTCTCTGCACCTGACTGGAGTCAGGGATTTGGAATCCAATTGCTGCTCCTCTGCTTGGATTGCTGGCCTTCTGTAACCAACCAGCATAGGAGTCACCCTTCTCAAGCAAATTGCAGATTGCCAGATTTGCAATCCTAAACCAAATCAAGCAGCGGCCCACTGAAGTGTTCTTCCATCTATGCATCCATTTGTCCACCCAGCCAATCAGTCAAGTGCTTTTTAAGCATCTCCAAATGTGTTTCAGAGCAAAATAAGAAATGGTCCCTGCCTTCAAGCAGCTTTGCAACCTGATCATGGAGAACAAACGGTGCACCAGGAAATCAAATAGTAGTTAAAGAGGGTAATTAATGAAGCACAAACAGTGAAAGCATAGAGGTTTAGGGAGAAGACATGTTAAAGAGAGCAGAGATGGTCAGGTAATGCTTCTGGAAGATGGGGGCTAATGGAAGGCCTTGAAGAAACAGTATTATTCTAAAGAGAAGAGGGGACAAAGGGGATCACTCTGGAGACTGGAAGCAACACAAAAACTCAGAAGCCAGAATCAGATCTCTGCCTTTCCAGAACACAAGAAAAAATTAAGCACGCTAGTAGAACACTTTAAATTTGCAAGGTACATCCATGTTTCTTCTTCTTCTTTTTTTCTTTTCTTCTCCGATAAAATCTGTGGGGTGGGCAAGACAGGAAGATTTGATGTAAAACAGCAATAGATGATGGGAAACATGTATAAGGACACTGTAATAACTCCTAAGAAAAGTAATGGGGATTATTCTGGAGAGTTAAGAGCATTAAATGGATGAAAACAAAGTATAAGATGAAGGAGAAACAGGCAGTAACTGTAGGAGGTGAGAAAGGAGGAGAATGTAAGACTATTAGCAAATTCCTTCGGTGGGTGACAAGGAGAGATGAATAGGAAGGAAGAGCAGGTTGAGGGAGAGTAGAAAGGATGTTTCTGTTCTGTATTGAGTAAACTTCAGGGGACTATGGAAAACTCAAGTGGAAATGGCCAGCAGACAGCTACATGGAGACATCTGGTGCTCAAGGTCGAAGGCAGAGTGGAAACAGATTGAGGAGTCATCAGTATAAATGCAGGGTCACAGGGATCCCCTATAAAAGGGGATATGGCCAAGCATTAAACCTGGGTCATTCCATTTAAGGGGTAGAAGAGAAAAGAAAGCTTATTTAATTAAGACCCATTACATATAGAAGGCCCTTGTCAAAATGTAAGAATAACGTGTACAGGTTCATGGATCATAGATTGAAAATGAAATTGAAAAAGATGGGATTTTAGAGCTACTTCAGTCCCACCTTTTCATTTTCCCAAGGAGGAAACTGAGAGAGGAAAATAGTGACTGCACCATAATTTATTAATCCATTAGCATCTAACAATCTCCATGTTCTTGTAGAATTATTTTATTAACTATCTAAAAAACATAGAGCATAGCCTCTGAGGCAGGAACACAGGAGTTATACTAACTCCTATTATTAGAGTTATACTTCCAATAAGGAAGTGGCTAGGTAGGAATGGGAAAGAAAGCCCCAAAGAAGTTCCAGATCATGGAATATTATTACCTAGGGAGGGCAGAACTGAAAGGGGATGTCCTCGGAGAAGGAACAGATCCCAGGGCATCCAGAGGACAGAATGGGGGAGGATGCCAGAGAAATGATCATGAAAAGTGGAAGAGAGGCACAGAAAAGGATTTCCTGTTGTGCCAAGGTGAAAAGTCTGAAGGTGAAGTCTAGATGCCCATTTAACACTTGCAGTCGGAGGGGTCTGATTAGTCTGATGGCCACTAGCTCTAACTTTCAGAGAGGTTTGAACCACAGCATTTCCCACCTACTCAAGATGTAAAATTTTACCAAGCTGAAAAGTTGAGTTGAGTCATGTTAAGAGCTGGGATTTGACATCAAATACACCTAAAATGAGTAGTAAACCCTGGGCCAGTGGTGTAACCCCAGGCTCTCTGAGAAACCCTGTGTATTAAATGTAAATAATCTACCAACCTCACTGGGTTATTGAGAAGATAAATAAAAATGGATGAAGGGGCCTGGCACAAAGTAGACTTTCAGTTCATATGAATTTCTCTTCCTAGGGAAGTTTCTTAAGAAGACATTCAATACACATACACACATACATACCTCATTCATATTTTCTAATAAATTGTTTCAAAATTCTAGATTTAAAACAAAATTCACTACACAGAGAGAAAAAGCCTGCAACAGATCTTTGTGCCAGAGCTTGAATGGAATATTATTTGTTAGAAGTTATTTATGGCATAAATAGGGGATTCCACTGGATGCCACTAGTAATTGTGATGAAAGCAAACTGGGAGCTGGGTCAACAATAAATAAATAAATAAATGAACGAATAAATAAATACTACCTAGTCACCCTGAAGAAGAAGGTCTAAAGATTAAATGTTCAGACCAACCTCCTTTTATATGGGTGCAATTTTTGTACCTGCAATTAGCTCCCTCAGCCTTCAATCTAAGAATCAGCTGGTTAATTGTGCATGTAAGTGGCTAATAGCTCCAACTGGGGGATAGTGCAGGCCGAGAGGGTCACACACCTTCCTCCACACATGTTCTGCTGTTACACATTACAGGCAGACATATAGACAAAAACGAGTAAAAATAAAAAGAAATATATGACTTATAATACTTCAAGAGAAACAGCATGGGATAATGTACATTGCATTCTCAAAAAAGAAAGCAACCCTAAGAAATGTCATCGTTCTTATGTTTCAGTCATAGTCATTGAGAATTATCTGCAAACGTGGGATCAAATTGAGTCTGTAATTAAAAAGGAGACAAAATGATGTTGTCAAGAATCCCTTTCAAAGAGCCACTGGATTGCTCTATGGTCTGGAGAGAGTCACTCCCACAATATCAGAGAGAATAAGGGTGGCCCGGTTTGGGTTGGGAGTGGAGGTGGGCAGTGAGTGAAATAAATTGAAATGAATTTTTGTGGTCACAGTTGGGCAACCACAAATGGCATAGTCATCTCTAATCTCTACTTTAAGCCAACCTGATGCCCCAAATACCATCCACAGTTAGACTATCAGGCAAGTACTTGCCAGTGTTTTGAGACCATCCTGCTCCACTCTGGACTTACAGCCCAACACCCTAGCTCCTAGCTCCACGTTTCCCCTTGAGGGGTCCTTCTTCATCAATTCTTCCTACTTTAAATGTGCTATCTTTGGGTCATATAAATGTCTGACGTTTTCTCTTTGGAAACCCAGCTCATGTGTGGTTCAAGCAGTGTTCCCAATAAACCTGTCCTATCTCACATGATGGAAGAAAATGGACCACTGATCCCAGTCTTAGATATTTGAGTGATTTCTGATTAAAAATAATACTTTGATAAACCTCCTTATAGATTCATCTTTGCCCTTATGTCTGATTATTCCATTAAAATAAGATTCTAGAAGCAGAAATTTTTCAAGCCCTTAAGTTGCCTGAAAAGTATATCTGGTTGGGAAACTGGGGACATAGAAGTCCAGCAGACTCAGCAGATTAGAATTAAAAGGTCAAGGGCTTCCTTGTATATCACATTCAATTTTTCTACATGTACCTGGTTTAATAATATGGAGCCCAAGACCCTTTTCCTATAGGGGGCAATGAAGAATGGCCTTAGAGTCAGAATACAGAGCAGAAAGAATTGATTTAAAGCTAAGTAAGGAAGAAAGGACAAAGTGCGGTATTACAAGGAAGGACTGATTAGTTGCCTAATCTCGGGTAACTTGCTTAACTCCTCTGAGCTCAATTTCCTTACCCATAAAGTGGGAATTATATGAATGCCTGTTGTACACATTCAATTCATCTTGAATAAACATGTATCGACCATCTACTATGTGCCAGGCAGATCAAGAAAATGGTCAAAGGGGCACATATAAAAATGCTTTGCTTACTTTTCTATTTGTCATATAAGTTTAATTGGTTTCTGTAATTTATAGTTTAATGGACTCAAGGCCAACTGCCAATAAGCCAAGAAAATTTCAGAGATGCTAGATGAGATTTCGAGGACAAAACTCTAGGAAAAGTTTTATAGAATTTCTCTTGTCACCTGAAGGACAACTCTAAAGCAAAGTCTGAGATTGGTCAAATTCACCTTGATGCCCTTGTACCTTTTATTTTTACAGTCCTTTTCCCCATTCTTTTTGCTTCCCCCATCCCGGTCTTCTGGACCCTTCATCATGAGCCCAGGCCCTCTTTATGGTGCCCCAACCCCTGGGTTGCCTTCCTTAAGCAATTCCAAAGAAATTCTTTCTACTCATCAACGTTACTCTGTCCTGTGTCCCACTCTCTTAGGGTCCTGATTGTTCAGCTGGCTAAGTTCTGATGACACTCACCATGGTGTTAATGACTGATAAATGTCTACTCCCTTTCTCTGGATATTTTCATTTCAAATAGAGGTTCCTGGAGAGTCCCTGCTTTGGTAGTGGTCATGCTAGGCAGAAAGTTTTCTCCTGCACAAACCACATCATACTAGTGACTGCCAAATTTGTCTATGCATAAAGCAGCATAAAGCAGCTAGCTCTGGTTCCCTTGGGATATCACTAACGGGCAGGGTGAAGAGAGAGCAGAATGCAGAGTTTGACACGTCACCTACCTGGAAAATGCACACTGATCTCACCTGTCAAGGGGAGATGCCCCAACCTGTCCAGTCCCCTGCTCTGTGCAGACCTGGCTTGGACCTAGGAAGAAAGTCGCCAGAGGCTGAATTTTCTCCCTTTAGTTCTTGAATTCAACCCTCCTTCCCACAAGCCATCATTGTGCCATCAGGGGTTTCTTGTTACAATTTAATTTTTCTCAGTTGCACACTGGGGTTCTAATCTGCATCACGCCAGCAGTGGGAACGTTTCTAAGAATCATTTCACAAGACACTTTTAATATATTTCCAGTAAATTGTACCTTGACCTGTCCAGTTGGCTGGGTCATTTAATGGCGACACACCCACTGAGTCCTGAGGGCCCCTGGAGATTTACCTTGGTGCTTTCCTAACAACAACAACAAAAAAAGCTGCCTTCAGTGAGGGGATAAAGCTTTGCTAACATGCAAGTGCTACGGGGAACACAATGAGTACTGCCCTTCAGAGAGGGCCAGACTGCTTAGGCTCGTTATGGGAAAGACTGCACACAGGATTAGACAAAAGAGATTTTGAAGAACTGCAGTGAAATTATACCAGCTTTGGGGGAAGTGGCATTCAAATATGAAAAAAAAATACATATATCTATATGGCCGGGTAATTATTTAAAGCCCCAAAACAGACAGTATAGTTTATCAAATATTGTTAGCCAAATTCAGGGCTGCTTTCAGGGACTTAAAAGCATACAGCCAAATGAAAACAAAGTTTTCACAGGACAAGAGCCAGTGAGCAATCTCCTTCAAATCTGCAAAGTCAGAAGGAAAACGTAACTAATCACAACTCACTCCAAGCTGGCTAGTCGAAATGATACCAATGAGAAAAAGTGAACAGTTAATAGGGAAATTTGGAGTAGGGGAGGGAGAGGGATGGTTCCCTCCTTTTCTTTCAGGAGCTGGCATTTGTGTTTGTGTTTGTGTCATTTGGATCCAAGCCCAAGAAATAAATGAGGTTTTTTGTTTTTGTGGGTTTTGGTTTTCATTTTTCATAATCCAGTTTATTTGACCTTTATTTTTCTGATAATGAAGGGAAAGAGAGAATGTGGTTGAGACAAATTCCTCAAAAGTACAGGCGGTGAGACCAAAGGCCTGGGAGGCCAGGGGCCAGGGCAGCCAAACGCACCCCACAGGATGGTCTGGTAGCCTCCAATTTCACTCTCCAAGAAGTTTTTATTTTCTTTTAAATTTTTTTTTCTTTTTTTAAAAAATGTCTTCCCTCCAGAAATTTAAGAGAAAAATAAATTAAGGAATGGGTGATCTGTTCTCATTTCCTACTGGGAAAGATGTTGGCTTGGTCTAGCTGCCTTGTGTCTCTTTGGAAAGACAGAGAATTCTGTTGCGTTCCACCAGTAATAGAAAAGTCCCTTCTGAGGGATGCGGCCTGCTCCTTTCTCCTGCAAACTCATCAGCAGCACATCACCCAAAGCTTTGATGTCCCCACACAGCAGGCCTCCTCATGGCAGTGGGCACCCTTTCAAGAGCAGCCCCAGAGGTTCCTGTTTGCTGACAAACTAAGGAGGGGGAGGTGGAGAATGACACCCAGCAACACCCTCACCTGCAGCTGTCACTCCCACCTCATCCAATTCATAAAAGTTCTGAAATGTTGGCATCATTGCTGCCGCTTTTCATCAATGCCATTTAAGTGAATTTAGAATAATAATTTTATTAAAATGTTTTAGATGCCATATCTCCAATCCATAAAATTTATTGTACCTTTATGCAGAATTACACTGGAGTTGAAACATATAAATCAATTTATAAGGTCTAATGACACACAAACGCTTAAAAACTAAAGGCGATGTAGTAAATTCAAATTACCATTACAAATGTAAGCTTTGTAGTCAGTGTATGACCCGCTAAGGATTATATTTAACTCCCCTGAGAGTGGTTTATCATAAAACTTTATACTTTTATTACAGTGAATTATTAAGTCCTCCATGACATGAGTCATTCCTCGCACTGACTATGGCTTTTTTAATGACACTGTAATAGACATCTTGCTAATAGCAGGAGGGTTGCTACCTGTGCAGCAAGGAGAAGTGGTGGGAGGAGGAGGGAAAAGACAGTACAGGACTCATGCTAGAAGAGTAGATTTTCCAAGGGACTCACATTAGCAATCATACAAAGAAGTGTCAGAAGCCTAAACACACTTACCCCTCCATGTTCTGTCCTGGGTAAAACAATCACATACCGCCTAAAAGAAATTCAATTTAGAAGTCACACATGGAGAAAGGAAAACAATCTCAATTTTCCTGAGCATTTTTAATTCTATCAAAACTTTAAATTCCTCTCCCTGCTGCTATGCCGTAGATAGGCTTCCTTTCGTTACAATAAGCTCTTCACTAATAACAGATCACCACCATCACATAACGCACAGTGACCCAGTGCTCATAAACGTGACTTTCCTGCGACACCCTTCTCTTTATACTGTGCCCACACAAGGACTCCATAGCAGGGAACTCTTTCCAGAATCCATTTGAGCCCTCAGATCATCACATGTGCAAAGTCTCCAGCCAAATCAAGGAAGGGTTTTAGATCGTTGTCCGGGTTTTAGATTGTTTTCCAGGTTTCAGAAGGCAGTCCTGGTGAGCTGGATGTCACTGGGTATCATCTACTCCTTCCAAAAACTACCTGAGGCTCACAATGCTGGTGCCACACAACCATTCACACACAATGCCATTTCCACATCTAGGACACCTGAATTTAGGAATCCCAATCTCCTAACCTGGGAGAAGAGCAATTCTCATAAAAGATGTCTCTGTGTTCTAGCCAGGCTCAGTTGTGTGAACCTGTAGATCCAGCTACTTGTGAGGCTGTGGTGGGAGGATCCCTTGAGCCCAGGAGTTTGAATCTAGCTTGGGCAAAATAGCAAGACCTGCCTCTAGGGAAAAAAAAAAAAAAGATATTTCTGTGTTGGTGAATAGACATGGGCTAAAAATAAGACTGGTGCATTCAACCAAAGAGGAGAAGAGAAAATAGATGTCTAGACTAGTTTTCTACACATCTATATGCAAGAGTGACTTATTTGTAGGAATTTCTGATGTACACTATTATTTTTCAGAAAAAAAAAAATAAACTACTCTATGGTGATTGTCTCTGTGCTCTCATGGGCATTTGGTCATCTCTAAGGCCATGATGCAATGACTGTGAATTCCCCTTCTTGCCCAGTGGCTTGCTAATTCCCACTGGGCATTCATTTGTTAACACATGCTTCTCAGGACCACCAAGGTGAGACTTAAAGAACCAACACATATGGCTTCTGACTGGTTTATTCTGAACATTTAAGCGCAGAAATTTTTGTGAGCATGGGGTTACCAAGGCACAGATTTGACTTAATGGGCTGAACAATTCAGGTAACTGACAACAAATTTTTCATAAACTGACTGGTTGGTTGACTAATTATAGGAATCTTATTTGTTGCTAATTTTTTTTTTTTTTTTTTTTTTTTTTGAGACAGAGTCTCGCTCTGTCGCCCAGGCTGGAGTACAGTGGCACTATCACGGCTCACTGAAAACTCCACCTCCCGGGTTCATGCCATTCTCCTGCCTCAGCCTCCCAAGTAGCTGGGACTACAGGCGCCCACCACCATGCCTGGCTAATTTTTTGTAGTTTTAGTAGAGACGAGGTTTCACCATGTTAGCCAGGATGGTCTCGATCTCCTGACCTTGTGATCCGCCCACCTCGGCCTCCCAAAGTGCTGGGATTACAGGTGTGAGCCACCATGCCCGGCCATTGCTAAGTATTTTTATAAGCACAGACATATAAAATTTATATAAAACCTCACCCCTCTCTCTCTCAGACACACACACACACACATACACTTTCCTCAATATGAATCCATTTTGAAAACTTTCACTAGAAAGTTAAACAAAATTAAACAAGCTTTTACATGAATTGCCCCAAACTTTTAAGCCATAAACAATTTTCACCCAAAATGCTATAAACTTTTCCCAAGGCTAGCCACTCTATCTCCTTCTCAGATACTATTCCATGAGAAACTCACTGAATTCAAATTAATTTATTAAGTATTTTTGGAGGGTCTATTTCATGCCTGACCACTACACTGGGGACCCAGGGTTGGACTTTGTAAGCACAGGACCTTGCCTTCATAAAGGTAATAGTCTAGACTCTAGGGCAGAAGTCAGCAAACTACAGCCTACAGTCCAAATTCGGCCCACCACTTGTTTTGATAAAATTTTATTGGAATACAGCCACACCCATCAATGGCTGCTTTGAACCACAATGGCAGACCTGAATAATTGTGACACAGAAATATGGCCTGCAAAACCTAAAATATTTACTATTGGGCCCGTTACAGATGATGTTTGCTGGCCCTTGGTCTTGAGCAATGGTTCTGAGTCCTAACTGAAACTTAAAATCATCTGGGGAGATTTTCTAAAATACAATTAGAGCCCGGACTATCCTAAATCAATTAAGTCAGATCTTTGGGGTATAGAACCCTGGAATTTCTCTTTCAGGGGAAAAAAATGGTTGACTCAGGTGATTCTGATACTGAGCCAGGATGGAGAAGCAAACAAAATTAAACAGACTTCAGAGAATAATGGCAAAAGCAATCATGAGTGCTAAACAGGCAATGAGCCACTTTCTGAGAAAGCCACTGAATAACCCAGATGTTCTTAGCTTCTTCAGGAGGAGAGACAAATGTTCTCCACTGCTTCTAGATATTCTGCCTCAGTAGCATGAGTTGGCTCTAAGACACATGACTCCAGGGAGAACAGCCAAAATCAGAATGTTCTCATGGAGAAGATAATCCAACATTTGTCTACCTATTTCTCCTCACCCAGGTAGCTAAGTACATCACACCCTGAGGGAGGTTTAATATTATTTCAGTAGCTAAAACAGGTAAGCAGTCCTCCTCTACCTGTAGAGAGGACCTGTTCAAATCAACACACAAAATTATGCATCAGCAGCACCTAATCTGAGCGGTCTTGAAGGACACCAGTGCCTGTCAAAATATCTGAAGTTGGGCATCTCTGATCATCTCTCAGATGGGAACTGGGACCAATCTGGAAGCCTTCATTTGGGCTTGATTTCCCTTGGACACTGAATATATTGTCCAGGTGTTGGTGGAAAGGGTCAAACAGCAACTTAAATATGCTAGGGCTCCTGCAAACCAGCCTCATCTGGAAGAACTTCAGAGTTTCCACTGAACCTGGGAGGCTTTCAGAGACCTGGAGAGAACCTCACATTCAGGCAATCTATATGGCCTAACTTAGTTTCATTAAACAACTATGTGTTGATTAATCACTAACTGTGGATCCAGAACTGCCTAGGCACTGAGTAATGCATAAATGCACATTCCAAAGTATTTACAGTCTCTATACACAGAACACACACTCATAACACACAAACACACACATTTCACACATGCACCCAAGAAATGCTTGCATAACAGCAGAAGCAACTACATGATTATGTACCATAGGGTGCAATTCAGAGGTGCAATCCTTTTCCACCTAGGGGCTGGGGTTGTAGGCCTTCTGTGGAGGAGAGTGAACCTTGAAAACAGGACCACAGCCTGTTTGAAATGAAAAAATTCCACAACCACAGAACAGCAAGGGTCTTCAGAATGACCTGATAGTACCTGTAAGGGAAGCAATACAGGAATTTGTAAGCAAAAACAACCAGTATAGAACCTGGGGAAAGAAGAGACTTATGGACTAAGAAAAAATCCCCTGGGAGACAAGAACACAGAGTTTCACACCAGACCAAAGAATTGAGAGCATCTTTCTTCTTTGACCTTCATCACCTTCTCAAATAAGGTCTTTGGGAGCTCAGAAGAGTCCTGGGTGATTTGGAGACCACTCTAGAAAGGCCCTCTCATTTCATACTTCACAAAGCATTTTCATACCTGTTATCTCACTGTGCCTTCTCAACAACCCTATGAATAAAAAATTTTTAATTACCCCCATTTTTAAAACATAGATAAGTATAACTGACTTTCTAAGAGGTTAAGGGATTTTCCCAAGTCATAAGTTAGCAAATACTCAAACTGGAATCTCATTCCTGTTTTTAAAGTTCAAGATCAGTGTGGGTTTTTTTTTTTTTTTTAACTACATGATAGTGTTGGGAAATGAAGACCTGCTCTCATGTCATAAAAAATGCCAGCCTGAGCCAGGGTCCTGCACAGGGCTTCCCCAGCCCTCAGGCCCCTGCTCTGAATAACAATACCATCTAATCATCAGAATTTCAAAGACAAAAGCCACAGCAACTCTTTATGATCACTGTGATAAATTAGGGTTCCGATCCTTTATATACACACTCAAGGACTGGAAGATGTTAACAGAAATAAATGAAAAATCCGTATATCACCCCGAGGCAAATTTTAGTTTGTTTTGCACAATCAATTCATATTTCAGTACTTTGGCCTTTTGCTAAATATTGGAAGAAAAAAGAAAGGAGGGAGGGAAGAAAAGAAATGGAAAAACTGATGTTGAAAAGGCAAAGCCCACTTTTTGACACCCTAGCTAGGTCATGTTGAATGAAAGGGACACTGGCACATTTAAAAGGACCATTTAACTGGATTCCTTAAGCTGGGTCTTGACAAGAAGCTTGAAGCAGGAATTTACTCTTTCTACTCATGGAACCCTGGCTGTGAAAACTGTCTGCCTTAGCCAAGTTTTTTTGAGTTCAGAAGTCAGCTAGATTTCTGAGCTTATAACTCCAACAGCACAGCCAGCCCACACAAGCTCCTCACCCTGTTCTACAGACTAGAGCAAGGGCTCCAAATCACAGGTGAGGAAGGTCATCTGAGTAGGAAGAAGCTGGGTTGCAGTGGAATCTACGCCTGCTGAGAAAATCCAGTGTCTTTTAAAGTCAGGAGGCAAGTGCTGTGACTGAGGTTTCAAGTTAGGAAAAGAAATGAGAATTGGGAGTCACTCAGCAGGGATGTCATATTAATGCAAGCATCTGAAACCCACCCAGTCCTTCAAGGGGCAGTAAAAATGTCACCTCCCCCAGGGGCAATTTCCCCTTATTCATTACTACTCCTGCCACTTCTTCTGTCTGCAGCTCATGCTGTCCTGTGTCAGTCCGTACTTAGGGGCAGAGAGGCAGGAAGGTGGGGCTGTCATTTAAACTCTGTGTTTTCTACACCAGGGGTCAGTAATTGACGGTCCCTGGGCCCACTGCCTGTTTTTATGGCCCACAAGCTAAGAATGGTTTTTACAATTTTAAATGGTTGAGAATAATCAGAAAAAGAATAGTGTTTTATAACAAAGAAAATGATATGAAATTCAGTGTCCACAAATTTTAGTGGAACACAGATACACCCATTTATTTACCTATGGTGGTTTTCACACCACAGCTCAGAATTGAGTAGCTGCAACAGAGAATGGATGGCCCACAAAGCTTAAATATTTACCACCTGGCTTTTTGCAGAAGGAACCTGCTGATCCTTGGTCTGGACTATAGCAAGAACTCAAGGAATGTTTGGGGTATAAGGGAAAGAAGAGAGTGTGAGGAAAGAAGGACGAGAGGAGGCATGGGAAGGGAAAGGAGAAAAACTAATGTAAGAATTAAAAGTAATAAAGAAAGGAAATAAAGACAGTTAAGGAATTCATTTAAGGAGTTAAAAGGGAGCAGAGGTCAGTCATTCAGGTTTTCATAAGCCATTGGATGTAAGAATGGCTATTTATGTTCCCAGATTCAGAGGATCCCTTGTGAGTATTAACACCAAATTGGTGGCTGTCCAAGAAGACATACCAGGAAATCAGTCAGGTGCCCAGCAGAAGTAGCTCAGAGCCAAGATCCCAGGACAGAGACAGTGTGAAGGGTTAAATTTCCCAAGCTGTAAACAGTGGTCTGTATTTCAGCGTTGTAACCATTCTTTTCACCCTTTACTCCTTCTATGCTCAGCCCATTATACCCCACTCCCATGGAGCAGAAGAGTCTCTGCTAGTTATCCCATTTACTGGACTTTCCAGGCTCATCACTTTACCTTTTGCACATTCCTATTTGGACACCTTCTCAGCAACCTCTCAATCAACTTGTGTCATGGAAAGTTTCAAGTCCTACTGCAGGTCTTCTGGATTCTTGGATAACCCGTCCACACTTGGCTACTCTTTCCTCTCTGGGTTCTCTCAGGACTTCACCTGCAGCACTTGGAATACTGGCTCAGCACTTGCCCTGCACTTAGGATGTTGCATTGAACACAATGACAGTTAAACACTGAGCCGGCTTTGAAGGAAGTTGTACAGCCAGTGCCTACCTCTATATGTCCAAAATCTCACCAGGGCTATCCCAACTAGAGTCATCTTTTTATCTCCTCAGCCTTTGTAATTATGTCCCCTCTTCTGTTCCTCATTTATCTTATTTTCTCTTTTGTTAATTAATTCTTCCAGAGATTTATTGTTAGTGCTTCCAAATGATCAACTTTTGGCTTTGTTGATTTTCTCTATTGCATATTTATTTTCCAGTCTACTCATTTGTACTTTTATTCTTTCTTCGTTATTTTTCCTTCAATTTTGTTTGACTTTATACTGCTCTGCTCTCCTAACTCCTAAAATTGAACATTGAATTAATTAATTTTGAGCTTTTCTTATTTTCTGATATGAGTACGTAAGTCTACAGCTTTCTGTCTAGGTCTTGTATTAACTATACCCCCGTATGTTTATGGGGGTATAGTTTATGTTTTGATACATAAACAACTATCCTGCAATTCTAAATATCTTGTGATTTCTCCTTTGACACGACTTACCTGAATGTATTTGTCTTAATTTTCAAACATATAGGTTTTTTCTAGTTAGTCTATGTTATTGTTGTATAATGTAATTGCATTGTGGTAAAGGGTGTGGTCTGGGTAGCTATGACCCTTTGAGATTGGCTGAGACCTGCTATAGGGCTCAGTACAAAGTAGATGACCATACATGTTTCATGGGTTCTTGAAAGAATGTGTGTTCTGCTGTTGTTGGCTGTAATGTTCTACGTATGTCCATTAAATCACATTTGTCAATTCTGTTGTTTAAATCTTTGTAGCCTTATTAATATTTTCTCTCCCTGTTCTATGTGTTACTAAAAGAAGTATGGTAAAACCCAAACACTATGGTAGGTTTATCTATTTGTCCTGCCTATTTTGTTGTATAAATTGAAAAGATATATTACCTCTTAGAGTTGTAATGTTTTCCTAGCGATCTGGATTTTTACCATTGTGTGATGACTCTCTTTAATAATGCTTTCATCCAAAATTAACATAGAAATCTCAGATTTGTTTTGATTAGAATTTGCATGGGGTATCCTTTTCTATCCTTTGTCTTTCAATATTTCTGTGTGCTTATGTTTTCATTTATAAAGAGAATTTAGCTTAGTTTTTTAATCCAGTCTGGAACCATTGTTTTTTAATGAAAGAGTTCAGGTTACTTGCATTTATAATATTTACTCTTATATTTAGGTTAATTTCAACAATATTATATTCTATTTTCTTTTTTTTCTTTTTTTTTAAAGACAGTGTTGCTTTGTCACCCAGGCTGGAGTACAGTGGCGCTATCTCACCTCACTGCTGCAACCTCCACCTTCTGGGTTCAAGCAATTCTCCTGCCTCAGCCTCCCTAGTAGCTGGGACTGCAGGTGCCCACTACCAAGCCCTGCTAATTTTTGTATTTTTAGTACAGACAGGGTTTCACCATGTTGGCCAGGCTGGTCTTGAACTCCTGACCTCAGGTGATCTGCCCGCCTCGGCCTCCGAAAGTGCTGGGATTAAAGGCGTGAGCCACCACGCTCGGCCTATATTCTATTTTCTATTCCCCTGTTATTGTCTGTATCTCTTTTTAAATTTTCTTTAGTTCCTTTTTTTTAGATTAAGTCTTTTATTTCTCATTCTGTTTTCCTTATTGTTTCGAAGGTTTATGCTATATGTTCTACATTTTCTCTGTCTGTTCTTATCCTAGCCACTTTTTTTTTTTTTTTTTTTAGATATGGGGGTCTCAGTATGTTGCCCAGGCTGGTCTCAAACTCCTGCCCTCAAGCAATCCTCCCACCTTGGCCTCCCTAGTAGCTGGGACTACAGGCTCAAACCATTGTGCCCAGCACCCTAGTCATTTTAACATGGAGATGTAAATTATCAAAGTCCAAAGTTGGTTAATATTGTTACCTTCATCCCAAGAATTACAAAAACCTAGAATATTTTAACTTGGATCCTTTATCTAATTCTTAATTGTTTTAGTTATATTCTATTTCACAAAAAGAAAAACAAACCAGACTTTTTTTTTAATACAGGCAGTGTTTGCTTAGTTTTGTCCACCTATTTACAGGTTTCTTTGCTTATGGTTTATTCCCGCACCCCAAACTTCCATCTAGGATCATTTTCCTTTTACATGAAGTTTATTCTTTAGAATAACCTTTAATGAGGATGTTTGTTGTTTATTTATTTGTTTTAAAATGTTCTTATTTAGACTTTATTCCTAAATAAAGATTATCACTAAATAAAGGTTTTCTTTACATAATATCCAAATTGAGTTGTTTTCTTTCAGTACATACACTATATTATTCCACTATATTCTATTGCTCCCAAAATGTCTAAACACCATCTTTTGCAGGCAATGTGTCATTTTTCGTTGGCTGCTTTTAACACTCTTTGTCTTTGATGTTTTGCATTTTTTAAAACCTAGGTGTGGATTTATTTTTACCTTACTTGATATGTATTGGGCTGCTTGGTTCTAAGGATAAGTAATTCCAAAAACTCTCAATAATTGTGTACTTTATATATTGACTATTTTCCATTCTTCATGTAATTACTGTCTGAATCTCTGATCTGATCTATGTTAAATCTTCTAACTCCATCCTCCATATCGCTTAACCTCTCTTATATACTCAGGTCTTTGTCTCTCTGGTCTGCATTCTCAGTTTGTTGTTATTGCTATTGTTGTAGATATCTCTTCTAGTTCACTAAATCTCTGTTTAGTTCTGTCTACCTTGCCCTTTAACCTATCCACTGAGTTATTTCAATTATTCTATTTTTCTCTTCTAAAAATTCAATTTGACCTTTTCATTTGAAGCGCTTTGGTCAATCTTTATGGTTTCTTGTTTCATTCTCATATTTTGAAGCTTTTCTTTTATGTCTAAAAATATATTCAGCATAGTTATTTTAAATTATGTGTCTGATAATTTCAATAACTGAAGATTTTACAAGTCTGATTCTGCCTTCACTGTTTCCACCAGCCGCTATTTATGTTGCCTTGCTTCCTTGTGTATTTTATTATTTTTGACTGAGCTTAGTATTTTTAAACTTCATCTTTGGGAATTTTTAGGCATGGGTTACAGTTGTTTGTCTTCAGAGAAAGGAGGAAAGAAACCCAGCTTCTAAATAACCCAGAACCATTTTCAATTCAATTCCCTAATTGAACATTTTTTGGATTATATAGGTAGCATGAATTCTGAAATCAAACTCACATGAGGGCTAAGTGTTAGTTATTTCTCATTTTCCTTCTTCACACAGCAATGAAGGCAAATTTTTGTCCTTGCTATACTCTTCTGCATTCTTTCTTATTCACCTTTATACTCCTAATGCGACCCCTTGGGGTTCTACATTTATATGGGGGACCCCATCAGACTCCCTACTTTGTGGAGGACGTGTCTTATTCCATCTTCTCATGTCCCCTCTCATCACTGCAGTAGAATCAACGTCATTAGGACTCACCAGAGACCCCAGTGCACAAACAAACATTGATGCTAATTTACCTGTCATATTTCCTACTCTCCTTTCTATTTGGCCTCTAAATATTTCTTCGTTTCATGCCATCTTTGTGAAACACAACATTTTTTGTTGTTCCAATCAGAAGTATTGGTCAAGGTATTTAGTCTGCCACTCCACCAAAAACTTAACAACTACTGTCCAATTGACACATAAGCTCTGGAGTAGAGCATTAATACATTCAACACAGTGAAGACTCTGAAATGGTGAAGAAGTGAAGACTAGCATCTATATACTGACACATCTGAGCTACAAACGGTTCCATTCCAGTTTAACTCTGGAAATAGGGTCGGATCTCTCGTTGTGGATTTGCGCAATTTATCCTAAATCCAGTTTCTATTTCTCACCACATAGTTCCCTGAATCTGGCTTCTTTCTCCTCTCTTTAACTTGGGACTGTGAAACTGGAATTATAGCTTCATTCTGAAGGCGAGTTTCAATGTTTATCCGTTAATGGAAAACTCCTTCTCTTTCATTTATAAGTTAATGGAAAACTTCTTCTCTTGTTCTTTTGTTTCATATCTTCACTCCTTGCTGAGGATTTGTTCTCCACACATGTATTAGTCACCTGCTGTGTGTCAGGCATTATTCTTGCCCCTTAACAGAATCACAGATCCTCACAGGAATTCCTGAGAGCCTCCAAGAAATGAGAGCCCATCTCTATGACAGCATGACAATTTCATTTGGAATTTATGCATATCTGTGACTGGTATATCCAATCCCAGTATGATTCAAAGTGTGGTACACAAATGGGCAGTTGGGACCTGAATGACAACCTCTGAAGATAGAAATCAATGATCAATAATCTGCGTTTTGGCCGGGCATAGTGGCTCACACCTGTAATCCCAGAATTTTGGGAGGCCGAGGTGGGTGGATCACTTGCATCCAAGAGTTCGAGACCAGCCTGGCCAACATAGTGAAACCCCATCCCTACAAAAAAATTAGCCAGGTGTGGTGGCACGTGCCTGTAGTCCCAGCTATTTGGGAGGCTGAGATGAGAGGATTGCTTGAGCCCTGGAGGTCAAGGCTGCAGTGAGCCACGATCATACCACGGAACTCCAGCCTGGGTGACAGAGTGAGACCCTGTCTCAAAAAATAATAATAATCTGTGTTTTAACAAGCTCTCTAGGTGATAATTAAACTCGTAAAATTTGAGAGCTAGTGCTCTATCACACTATTATATTATCTTTGCTTTATCTAACAATAAAGTCTGAGTTTCATTGATCCAGATTCCTGATTTCATAAGAGACCACTAGGTTTTCAAAAGCCACCCGAAGAAGTACTAGCGTCAGCTCGCATGCTTTCATGATACAGAAGAACTAACTGTGAAGAGATCGTAGATGCCACTAGGTACAGAGCATAACATTTTAAATGTAATATATTATGTTTTCTGTTTTTTAGAAACTATTTGTAACAGCATTGCTGGCAAGTTCTCCCTGTTTCCCCATCTTGCCATTTGGGCATACATAGCTAAGTTCCATCAGTGAACGCAAGTTCCAACCAATCTGCTCACCTTGTGGCTGCAGAGGGAAAACAGAGTAAAGAACTACATAATCAACCAGCATAGGAGTCATCCCATAGCATCTTGGAGGGAGGAGATAGGGTAAGAAATAAAGTTTATGCCTGGAATGATCTTAAGGCCACACCAATAGAGAGAGGAGAAGTGAATTGAACTCAGAGGTTCAATTGGGAAGATAATTTCCCAGATATGGTTGGAAATAGCCCCCCACAACAATCTGTTTAATTAAGTCCAAGACCAAAATCTCACTGGAAGGGAAGTAAAATGATGTGGTAAGAAGGAAAGGTTAGCCAAGGAGAAAAAATCTTGTCAATCCAAAATTTACTTGCAAATCTTCTCCCCAAGAACTGTTAGGAGGAAAATCTACACACACTTGAGAGAAAGAATACACTCAATATGCACATGTCCTAATAATTTAATCTGCTTTTTTTTCTATTTGTCATATGTGCCACATTTTTGTAACACATAGATGTGTGCTTGACATGATGAAAGCACAGAGTACCTTCCCCAAATCATCTCAGGAAGAATTTGTGCCAAAAGACAAAGTGGCAAAGACATTCCTGGATGGCTGCTTATGCTGGAATTTGTTTTCACAACTAAAATAAGAACAGAGTTAATTTGGCTTTTGAGCTGATATGTAACTAAAATGATTAAAACAAAATTAGGAGTCAACATTATATTACAGAATCTTAGGAAATCAAGTCACTGGGCATGTTTATGGGCAAGAAACAAAAAACTCTTTCTGGACACATTTGGGGAGAAGGAGGCTCTCAGCTTGCAGTGCAACTTGGAAGCTAGATGGGTTCTCCTTGACATTTCCAAAAGGAAATTGAGTATGGCGTTTCTGCTTCGTTGCCACACTCAAACAGCATCAACACATTTGTGGCAGAATAGGAAGCATCACCATTTTCCATCTCTGACACAGAACAGGACACAGAACACATTTCTTTTGCCTACTTTAGTCCCCAAACTTGTATTTCCTAGAAAAAATGAAAAATAAAAGGTTACCCAGGTTCAGTAATGAAAAAAATCGAGTGACATAAGTAATTTCTGACTCCTATCATTTTAAAGAAAAAATAAGATAAAGAAAGAAAAGGAAAAGAAGAGTCCCCTCATGCTTCTTATGGTAGACAGAATAATGGGCCCCCCAAGATGCCCACATCTTAATCCCCAGGATATGTGAACATGTTATGTTGACACATGACGTATGAAATATGACAAAGGGGAATTCAGTTTGAGGATGAAATTACAGTTGTTAATCAGCTGACTTCAAAATACGGCCATTAATCTGGGTTAACTGGGTGGGTCCAATGTAACCACAAGGATCTTTGAAAGTGGAAAAGTAAGATGTGAATAGAGAAGCAAGAACCAGATAGATGGTAGCATGAGAAGGACTGGAGCCCAGTGTTGCCGGCTTTGAAAATGGAGGAAGGGATCATGAGCCAGGGAAATTGGACAATCTCTAGAAGGTGGAAAAGGCAAGGAAACAAGTTCTCCATAAGAGCTTCCAAAAAGGAATGCACCCAGCTGACAAGTTCATCTTAGCCCATGAGATTTTTCATGGACTTCTGGTCTACAGCATCATAAGATAAAAAAAAAATTGTGCTGTATGAAGCTACTGCATTTGTAATAATTTGTGATAATGACAATAAAAAACTAATATATCCCCTCTCAAACACAGACTTTCCCTACTCCCCAAAAGTGATGACTCTAACTTCTAACACAATAGATTAATTTCACTTGTTTTGAACATTTGTTAAATGAAATAACAGTCTGTATTATTTTGTGTCTGAATTTATTCTGTTTTTTGTAACTGTGTAGTATCTGTATATATATATTTTTTTTACTTATTCTACTATTGATGGACAAATCTGTGACTTTTATAAATAATAATGCCGTGAGCATACTTGGTACGTATCTTTTGGTCTAATGTGTTCACATTTCTATCGATACATACCTGGGAGTGCAATGGAGAGATAGTAGGGTAAGCACAACTGGAGTGTGTCATGCCTAAGATTTTTTTCCAAAATACTCTTATAAGCAGGGTATGAATAAGCAAATCAACTCTATAGTTGGCAAGGTTAGCATTTTGTTTTGTTTGTGGTGGTTGTTACAGATTTTCCATTCTGGTAGGCGTGTAGTAGTCGCTGATTGTGTTTTAAACTTGCACTTCTCCAGTTACTAACGGTGGTCACGTTGTCTTATGTTCATGGGCATTTGCATTTTCTTTTTTTGTGAAGGGCCTAACTCATTTGCCCATTTTTCTATTGGGATGTCTGTGCTTTTCACATTGATATATAGGAGCTCTTAATATAGTCTGATTATCAACCTTTTGTTGGTTACATGTGTCAAAAATATCTTCTAATCCAGCTTACATTTTTATTCTCTTTACACTATGTTTGGATAAGCACAAGTTCTTAATTTAATGTAACCCAATCTATCTGTCTTTTCCTAAATAGTTAGTGTTTTTTGTATCTTGTTCCAGAAATCTTTCCCCACCCAAAGTCATGAAGATATTCTATATGATCTCCTAGATGTTATTGTTTTGACTTTCATATTTAGATCCACAGTCCACATAAACTTGATTTTCAAGTACGTGTGAGGCAGAATCCCAATTTCATTATAAGGATATGCAATTGACACTGGACAGTCATTGAGAAAAGGCCTCACTTCCCCCACTGCACCAAAGTGCTACTTTTAACAGAAATCAAATATCCATATAGGCATAGTTCTATTTCTTGACTCTTTTAGTCTAGGCATACACCAATACACACTACTTTAGTAACTGTAGCTTTACAATATGGCTTGTTGTTTGATAGAGTATGTCTTTCTACCTGCTTCTGCTTCAAGATTATCTTAGATATTCTTGGCCCCTTGTGTTTTGATATAAATATTGGAATCAACTTTCCCATACCCATAAGACAATGTCCTCAAATCTTTGTTAAGATTGTATTGACTCTATAGATGAATTTGTAAAGAACTAACATAAACTTTTATTTATTGAGATCATCTTTAATTTTTGTTAATATTTTGCAATGTTATGTGTAGTAGACAAGTAAACATATTCTTAGCTTTATTAAAAGGAGCTTAATATTTAATGATATTTTTAATTTTATAACTTTTTTCAGGCACTTAAAAATATCTGTTAGTGCATTAGTGTTGAATAGTCTTGCTAAATTCATTTTTTAACTCTAATAAATTATATATAAATATTTTAGAATTTTCTATGAACATAATTATGTTGCCTATAAATAATAAATAATGAGAATATTATTTCTCCTTATGAACTTTGCACCTTCTATTTCTGTATATTGCTTTTTGTGCTGGAAGGACTCCAGTACAATGTAGAATAGGAGGGATGAGAGCCAGCTTCCGTGTCTCATTCCCAATTTCAGAAGGAAAACATTGATCATTACACTTTTAAAATGATAAATACTTAGTATTTTTCATAGACATTCTATATCATATTAAGAAAGTACATTCTGTTGATTTTATGCTAAGAGTTTAATATGAATTGGTGTTGAATTTTCTGTACCTATGAAGAAAATCATATGATTTCTCTGATATTCTGTTAATGTGGTAAATCACATTGATAAGTCAAGAACTCATATTTTCATTTCAAGGGTAAATATTACATAAAACACTACACACAGAGTGATATAATATCATTAAAGCAACTGCTAAAATAATGTAGCAAAATGAATAGTTATAGTAATAAGTCAACAAAGGAGATAAAATTGAATCAGAAAAAGACTCATGTAATACAAAAACAGATAGAAAAAGGAAACAAAGAATAGATAAGAAAAACAGAAAACAGATTTTCTTGGTCAGGCCAACTATATCATAATCATATTAAATGTAAATAGTTTAATACACCCAATTAAAAGGCAGAGATTGTCAGATTCAATAAGAAAGAAGACTCAACTATGAGCTAACAATAAGAAACTCACTTCAAATATAAAGATATAAATAGGTTAAAAGAGAAAAGATAGAAAGAATATATTCTGTGTTAACACTAATCAAAAGAAAGAAAGAATATCAACATTAATATCAGACAATATAGATTTCAGAGCAAATAATGTTACCACAGATTCAAGAGGGTCATTTCAAAATGATAAGGAGGTAAATTCAATATGAGAACATAATAATCTTAAATATCTGCACATTTAATAACAGAACTTCAAAATACCAAAAGCAAAATCTTATAGAGGAAAGGAGAAATAGACAAAATATTATTTTCAAAAACATAAACCCTTTTTGTCAATAATTGAAAGAAAAACTAGACAGAAAATCCATAAGTATAAAGTAGAACAGAACAATGCAATCAACCAATTTGATCTAATTAACATTTATACAACAGCTTCCTAACAATAGCAGAACACATTCTTTTCAAAACCATATGGAATATCACTCAACAAACTAGGGAGAGAGTGGAACTATTTTAACATAAAAAAGCCGTATATGAAAAACTTACAAGTAATATTATACTTCATGGTAAAAGATTGAAAGCTTTTTCTCTAAAATCAGAATCGAGAAAACAGAATCTTGCTTTCACCACTGCTATACAACATAGTAGTGGAAATCTTCGACAGAGCAATTAGGCAATAATAATAATAATAGGCATCCAAAATGGAAAGGAGAAAGGAAAATTACTTCTGTTTCTCAGACAACTGATCTCATATACAGAAAACTCTAAAGATTCCACATGCAAAAATTGTTAGAAATAAAAAAACAAATTTTACATGTTGCAGGACATAAAATCATCACTCAAAATTTAGTTTCCTTTCTATATACTTAAAATGTACAATCTAAAAGGAATTATTAAATTCCATTTACAATGGCATCAAAAAGAACAAAATACTTAAGAATAAATTTAACCAAAGAGACAAAAGACTTTTGCACTACAGGCTACAAAATGTTGCTGAAGAATGAAAGACCCAAATAAATGGAGACATCCTGTGTTCATGAATTGGAAGACTTACTGTTTTTAAGAAGTCAGGCCAGGCACGGTGGCTCACGCCTGTAATCCTGCACTTTGGGAGGCCGAGGCGGGCAGATTATGAGGTCAGGAGACAGAGACCATCCTGGCTAACACGGTGAAACACCGTCGCTACTAAAAATACAAAAAATTAGCCAGTCGTGGTGGCGGGCACCTGTAGTCCCAGCTACTCGGGAGGCTGAGGCAGGAGAATGGCGTGAATCTGGGAGATGGAGTTTGCAGTGAGCCGAGATCGTGCCACTGCACTCCAGCCTGGGCGACAGAGCGAGACTCCGTCTCAAAAAAAAAAAAAAGAAGAAGTCAACACTACTCAAAGTAATCTACAAATTTAATGCAATCCCTAGCAAAATCCCAGTGGCATTGTTTGAAGAAATGTAAAAATCCACCCTAAAATTTACATGATATCTCAATGACCTTAACTATCCTAAATAATCTTGTAAAAGAAGGACAAAGTTGAGGTATCCCAATTTCTAATTTCAAAACCTAAGCTGCAATAATCAGAATAGCGTGGTATTGCCATAAAACAAACATATAGACCAATGGAACAGAACAGAGAACCCAGAAATAACCCTTGCAGATATGGCTAAATGATTTTGACAAGGATGCAAAGACCATTCAATAGGAAAAAGTCTTTTCAACAAATGATGCTGGAAAACTGGATACCCACATGCAAAATAATGAAGTTGGGCTCTTACTGTACACCATCTACAAAATTTAACTCAAAATGGATCAAACTTAAACATAAGACCTAAAACTATAAAATGCTTAGAAGAAAAATATAAGGAAAAAGCTTCATGACATTGGGTTTAACAGGGATTTCCTGGATATGACACCAAAACCACAGGCAACACAAGTGAAAACAGAACAACTGGACTATATCCAAATTATAAACTGCTGTGCATTAAAGGACACAATCAACAAAGTAAAAAGGCAACCCGCAAAATGGGAGAAAATATGCGCAAACCATATATCTAATAAGGAGATCCTATGTCAAATACATAAAGAATTCCTTCATTGCAACAACAAATATAACCCAATTTAAAAATGGACAAACAACTTGAATAGACATTTTTTCAAATGTGATAAACAAATGGCCAGAAAGCATATGAAAAGATGCTCAACATGTCTAATCATTAGGAAAAAATCAAATCAAATCCAAACCATGATGAGATATCACCTCAAATTCATTAGGATGGCTACTATTTTTTTAAAAGGCAGAAAAGAACAAGTGTTGGCAAGGACATGAAGAAATTAAAATATTTGCTGGTAAAAATGTGAAACACACAGCTCCTATGGAAAGCAATATGGTAGTTCATCAAAAATTAAAAATAGAATTACCATACAGTTCAGAAATTCCACTTCTATCTATATATCAAAAAAAATCGAAAGAAGGGTTTCAAAGAAATATTTGTACATCCATATTCATTTCACCACTATGCAAAATAGCCAGGAAGTAGAACCAACCTAGGTACCCACTAAAAGAGGAATTCATAAACAAAATGTGTTATCTATCTACACACATGTGCACACACGATGTGATATATATGGAATATTACTTAATATATTCAATTATAATATATATGGAATATTATTCAGCTTTTAAAAAGGAAGGAAATTCTCACTCATGCTAAAATATGGTTGAATCTTGAGGACATTATGCAAAGGGAAATAAGCCAGAATAAAAAGACAAATATTGCATGATTCTATTTACATGAGTTATCTATAGTCACATTCATAAAAAACAGAAAGTAGAACAGTTGTTACCAGAAGCTGGGGTAGATGGAGATGGAGAGCTGTTTGATGAGCATGAAGTTTGTTTTACAAGATGAAAAATTCTGGAGATATGTTTCACAACCATGCGAATTTTCTTAACATACTGAACTGTACACTTAGAAATGATTTAGATGGTAAATGTTATGTTTTTTTTACCACAATAATAAAAAAAGAAGCACAGGGAACATTTACCAAAATAGACCATATTCTGGGCTATAAAACAAATCTTAATAATATAAAATGACTCAAATAATTTGTGAGATCATGAGAACCTGAAAATTTCTTTGGGAAAGTTTTAAATGACAGATTAAATGTCCTTAATTGATATTTTTCTTATAATTTTAATAAATTATTTCCTTAGAATTTGTTCATTGGAATTTCAAAATTTGGGGCACAAAATTTTCTCTAATATCCTCTTGATAATTCTTCATATCTTTTTTTTTTTTTTTTTTTTTTTTTTTTTTTGAGACGGAGTCTCGCTCTGTGGCACAGGCGGGAGTGCAGTGGAGCAATCTCGGCTCACTGCAAGCTCCGCCTCCCGGGTTCACGCCATTCTCCTGCCTCAGCCTCCCGAGTAGCTGGGACTACAGGCGCCCACCATCACGCCCGGCTAATTTTTTTTGTATTTTTAGTAGAGACGGGGTTTCACCGTGTTAGCCAGGATGGTCTCGATCTCCTGACCTCGTGATCCGCCCGCCTCGGCCTCCCAAAGTGCTGGGATTACAAGCGTGAGCCACCGCGCCCGGCCCTTCATATCTTTATTATACCTTCTTGTTCATTTCTGCTATGTACCTACCTGTCTTTTTCTTAATCATCCTGACTTGTGGTTTGTCAACTGTCAGTCTTTCAGAGAATTAACTTTTGGTTTTATTGAATTTCTTTATTGTATATTTGCATTCTATTTAATTAATTTTTCCTCTTGTTTTTATTATTTCTTTTATCCTCCATTTTGAGGTTAATTGGCTGATATTTTTTAATGTCCTGATATGAATAATTACATGGTCATTTTCAGCCTTTTTTCTTTTCCTACATGTTTTTATTATGATGTATTTCTTTCTAATTATATCTTTACCTGCATTTCTAAAGTTTGAGGATGTTATATTTTTCTTATTTTGTTCAAAATATTTTTAATTTTTATTGTGATTATTTTTAACATAATAATTATAAGAAGTCTATTACTTAATTCCAAGCACTTGGAGATTTTCAAGTTTTCTATTTGCTTTGACTTCTAGCTTAATTTCACTCTGGTTAGAAAATAAATTCTGTATAATTTCAAGTTTTTGAGAATTTGTCTTTACTTGCTTTATGGGCCATTGTAACTATACATGTAAAAGTGGTTAAAATAGTTAAGTTAACTTTATATTATGTATATCATACCACAGTAAAAAAGAATACACTGTTGGATACTATGTTCTCTTTGTCTTTTAAGATAATTTAGTTAATAATATTGTTTAGAGGTTCTATATACTAACTTTTATCTGTGTGTTCTATTGGTTCCTGAGAGATATATGTTAAATTCTCTTACTCTGATTATGAACTTCTCTATTTCTCCTTTGGATGGTTTTATATCTACTTGAAGCTCTCAGTAGATAGCTATAAATTTAGACTTGTTACATCCTCCCAGTGAATTGACTTTTTTGTCATTATATGTCCATTTTCTTCTCTAGTAATGACACTTTTTGTCTTAAAGCTTCTTTCGTATTAGTATAGCTATATCAGCTTGCTTTCAGTCAGTATTTTTCTATCCTTTTCTTTTCAGCCTTTCTATATCCATACATTGATTTTGTATTTCTATAGGCAGCATATATTTGGGTTTGGTATTGTATTTAGTCTAACGGCTTAAATTTTTAATTTGTGCATTTAATCTATATACATTTAGTGCAATTACTGATATATTTGAATAGCTCTATTATCTTCCTACTTACTCCTCTTACTCCTTCCTACAACTATTCTGGTTTTCTATACTTTTGTTTTTTCTTTGAGAAGGAGTCTCGCTCTGTCCCCCAGGCTGGAGTGCAGTGGTGCGATCTCGGCTCACTGCAAGCTCCGCCTCCCGGGTTCACGCCATTCTCCTGCCTCAGCATCCCGAGTAGCTGGGACTACAGGCGCCCGCCACAACGCCCGGCTAATTTTTGTATTTTTAGTAGAGACGGGGTTTCACCGTGTTAGCCAGGATGGTCTCGATCTCCTGACCTCGTGATCTGCCCGCCTTGGCCTCCCAAAGTGCTGGGATTACAGGCGTGAGCCACCGTGCCCGGCCGGTTTTCTATACTTTTTATATCATTTTCTATCCTTCTTTTGGATTGATTAAATGTAGTTATTTATTATATTCTCCTTCTATTATGTTATTATGCATCCTTTTAATGTAAGTATGTGTATTTTATTTAGGGCTACCTAGAGATAAAGGTATACTTATAAAGTCTGTCTAATGAAAATTAATACTTTCATTCTTACTGTACAATTCAAGAACCTCAAGACACTTTAATTCCATTAACTCTCTCAATTTATATGCTATTGTTATAGTGCATTTTAATTCTATATATGTATTCTTCCCACATGACATTATTATTTTATATAGTTAAAACTTACTTATATTTTTCTACATATTTATTTTTCTCATTTCTCCTATGTTCTCAACCTTCAATCTAAAATGGTTATAGAATGCCCTTCATACTTTCCTTTAGTATAGGTCTGCCAGTGACAAATCCTCTCAGTTTTTTCTTATCTGGAAATGCTATTGTTTTGCCTTGATTTGGGGGATCTTTTCAATGAGTATAAAATTCTAAGTTGCCATTTTTTTCAGTGGTTTGAATATACCATTCATTAACTCCCAGCCTCCACTGTTGTTGTTAAAAAGTTAGCTGTTAGACTTGTTGCTGTTTCCACTCTGGCTACTCTTAAGATTTTCTGATTGTCTTTGGCTTTCAGCAGTTTAATATTATATGCAACTGTTTAGTGTTTGTTCTACTCTAGGTTCAGAGTGTTTCTTTAATATATGGTTTGATATACTTCTTCAGTTTAGGGAAATTCTTGGCCATTATCTATTAGAACACTGCTTTTACCTAATTCTCACTTCCCTATCCTGCTAGGCTTCAAATTATATATATCTTGGAATTTTTTCTCTATTCTTTTTTTTTCTATTGATTTTTTTCTTCTTTTAAACTCAAGGTTCATTTTAAGTATTTTATTATGAACTATGTTGCTGTTCACTTAGTCTCTCTTCAGCTGTCTGTTCATTGTTAATCCACCCACCGAGTTCTTAATTTCCCTTTTATTTTTCAGTTCTAAAATATTTATTAGAATGTTTGGTTTATCCTCCAAAATTCTCAATCTTTGATTCCCCTAAACATATTAAAATCTCATGATTATTTAAAAATTCGTGTCTAAAAACTCCATTCTCTGGATTCCCTCTGATCTAGTTATATTTTATGTTGTTTCTCTTAATTTTTTAACATTATCTTATACTTTTATATGACTTTTTTGTTTGATACAGAACATTGCAAACATAAAACTGATATAATCATTTCAGAATTAGGAGTATAAAATTATCCTCCAGAAAGAAGTTACATTTGCTTTTGAAAAATGGCCAGCACCACTAGCATCCCAGGTCACTCTCTTCCAATAGGAGATTAAGATAATTTGAAACTGGGGCTTCCATTTCTGCAAGTCAGTATAAAATCAGTTTACTTTTACTCCAACTGAAAGCTTGTTGTTACCAGAGTTCTTACTCCTTCATAGTCGCTCAACTTTAAATTCCCCCTTAGCCATATGAGACTCAAGAGTCAAGCCCAGACTCTCCTCTAAGCAACCTCTTCCAGGGTGCCTGTAGATGCCCCTGGGGAATGCTGCTCCAAATGCTGGGCTGACCTGTCTAGATATCATTCTTCTCCAGATCTTGGTCCTGTTACTGTGAATGGTCTTGTTAGCTCTACTATGTCTTTTAATAAGTGTTTGTCACACTTTTTATTCTAACTTTTCTAGTTGTTCTGAATGGGATGGTTGTCCAAATTATTTAGTCCTTCACTGAAGAAAACAAAACTTGCACACAAAAAAATTTTAATTTATCAATAACAATCAATTTATTAAATTTTCCTCATCTCACTCAAGCAATTTGACAGTGTCACCCTGAAGTATTTCTATCCCTCAGTCATCCATTCTTCTACTACAACATCAAAGGCAGAATCCAGGTCTAGGAGAAAAGATTTAAAGATTTTAAAACTGATAACATTTACATTTGCCTGTAACCTCATATATTTGTTTAATTTCATGTCATGTAACAATTTTATGGCATGCCATGCTTTAGGCATGAAGACACTTAAGCTCTAAGGATGGAATCAATTTCCAAGGCTACAAAACTATGGCAGAACCAAAGTCTCTCTAACTTCATGCTTGGACCCTATTTCATTAGATAACAGCTCAAAGTTCCTGAAGGGATGCTGGCTACCTAGGTTGAAGCATGGTGAGGAGGTAGAAATAAAAAGCATCATCCTCTCAAAGTCAGGAGCATAAAACCTGTGAAAGCAGCTATCTAGAAGAACAAAAGAGAACTTTTTCAATGAAATAATTTTTTTAAATAAAGCAGAAAACATCATCCAGCCTCTCTCTTTCTGCACCTGGTTAAACAGTTTCGAGGGCTACCTCATGGGTCTTTTAGCAATACAACCAATTGAATATCTAAGAACCTTTCTTTTCTTAGGGAGCCAGATCCTATCACAGTATGAGATGATTCATGCTTAGAAGTAAATCACAGAGAACCTTGATCTTATGACATTAAGATCCTTTGAATGATCCAGGCTCTTTGCTTAAATAAGACTCTGTTTCCAAATCTCTTTATAATTCAGTTCTTTGGCTACTTACAACATGCCAGACACTGTGATGGGAATATAACACAAACCAAAATGACAAAATCCCTTGTTCTATGGAGTTTACAGTTTAGAGAAGGGGACAGGCTTTAGTCTCAAACTACCACATAACTGATGTGTAGGTGAATATTTAAAAATCAGCTCCCCTCGGGGAGGGAGGAGGCTCTGATTCGTAGTGTTTGCCCATTTCTTTATGTAACTACTCCCAGCATGAATGATTTTAGCCTCTCAAGGTGATATCACTAAATATGGAGTTGGGAAGAGATCCACACAATTGGCTCTCAAAAGACAATATGAGCCAATCCCAGTGCACTACTGAATATAATAAATGGAAAATGTAATATGTGCTCTAAAACAAAGGAGCCCCATTCTACAAGATACATAACAGAGAAACCAGATTCATTCTACATGGTTACAACAGGCATCTTTGAAGAAGTGATGCTTGTTCTGATACCTGAAATATGAGTGGATGTTAACCAGGCAAGGAATGGACATGAAGGTGAAGAGCCAGGCAATGGAGCATGGCCCATGGACTTTTGCCATGAATGGGCTGGAAAGGGAAAGCATCAGGTGGGCAGCTGAGAGGCTCATCTCCATTCTAATCTATTTTCTGCATTGTTAGTTCCTCAGTTTCCTACCACTGGCAAAAGCTGGAGGATGCTTAAACCCACCGGGGGTAATGCACTTGAAAGGACTTGCAAAAAAGTTCCACAAGTTATAGGAACACAATCCTGAGGCTAGCAGGCTCCGTTGCCAACATATGCATCAAGTAGGCTGATGGCACCAAACAAGAATGTGGATTTCAAGGAGCCTGGCAGCTTTGCTCAGTTATTCTCAGCCACTGATAGAGCTTTCTCCCTAAAGTTTGAAATATATTTCCATATTAAACTTTTAAAAGATGAGGGAAAAAATGGTACAAATTGAGAGAGGGAGGGAGAAGAGAAGAGAAAATGATTGCACATTGAAATAAATGTGCTACTTAAGAAAATTATAAGTGCCTAAAAACAGGAGTTTATAATGAAAGTGCCTTCTCAAGCATAACTAGAGCATCACTATTCTGATGCTAAAATACAATAAACTGTCCTATTAAATCTAAGGAGTTAGATTTAATAAGATGGGTAGTATATTAAATAAATGCCAACTGATTATTAAAGATCTTTTTATTGAGGATTTACAACTATGTCATCAAATAACTGAGCAGTATTCAGGTATAATAAGACTCCTATGGGAAACTTAATTTAAAGTAGTGCAAAGAACCAAAAACACTATTACAAACAGACCATGAAAAACCTGAAAAATAGATAAGTTAAGAGGCAAAAAACATCCCATCAAATTATTGTCAATAGTGGGGACAGAGGCAGTGAGGGAGGACAAAATATCATTTACATATGAGTCAACTAAATAGCTATTCAAAAGCATGATAGCATGACAGAATGGTACATGAGGTGTGTAGATATGCTTTCCCCTAGGAGCGGAACACACTTTTCTTTTTTTCCTTTGGAAAGAAAATTAACTTTTTAATACGAATTTTCAGTGGTAAAGAAACCTTTGAATTTCTTAGAAAATAGGTTTTGCAAAGCAAAGTGAGTGCCAAGAACAAGGGGGTTTGTGTCTTTCCCTACCCAGACCTGGAAAGCTGCTGAAGGGCTGGAGGGAGGAAAGGGAGAAGGCAAGGGGGAGGGAGAGGGAGAGGAGAGAAAGAAAGAGAAAAGGAGGAGGAGAATAGGCAGGGAGAGAGAAGCAGTGAGAAGAGGTTTAGGGAAGAAAAGATACTTGCCTAAGAGTCAGAAAACTGAGTTCTTTTCCTGGGCTTATCTCTTGCACACTGTGCAAAATAGAACATGTTATTCCAAATGTCTAGGCTTCATCGGTTTCCTCACGTGTAACGTTAAAGGGTTAAGCTACAAGACCTCTAAATTCCCTTTGAGTTCTATAATTCTTTGTTTTATTCTCAAACCTAGTCCTTGTGTCTTCTGGTGATATTCCTTGGAGTATAAGAAAAACCTTCTACAGTAATAAAACCCCCTTAGAGTATGAGAGATAGAGACCAAGATAGAGACGGAGGGAGAGAGAGGGAGAGACAGGAAGAAGAGGATGAAGAGGAGGATGAGGAGGAGGAAGAGAGCTTCCGGGGTAATAGTTATACAATCTTGTTTTAGGAGGTCCTTTATGGTTTTTTTGAATCCCTCTCATAGCTGTCATTTCACAGCTTCCTTGTTTGGTAGGCAAGGAAAGGATTATTATTTTCATTGAATAGATGAGGCAGCCAAGCTCAGGACCCTCAAGGTGCCTTACCCACAAGGGGGCTGGTTTAAGGTAAGCGACAGATTGCTCCACAACTCAGTGCTAGCTTGGTGGGTGGCTGGGGTGGGTGCCTTATGCACACATGCAGGACAAGCCAGGTACACAAATGTTCCAAGACAAGGAGGCCTAGAAATGTGACTTGGGCAAGACAGATGAGTACACAGCTTCCCAACCTAAGTGTCACTTGCCTTTGGCCCACAACAGGCAAAGAGGACACTGTAGAGAGTAAGCAAAAAAAGGACCAAAAAAAATTGCACTATTGACAAATGACTCCACTTATAGTACAGATTTCGGACACCTTGTCCTTAGTCACAAGTGACATCTAATTTGTCCCTAAAAATCTAGCCTTTACATCTTTGTTACTTGAGGCTTTAGGTTAAGACATGTGTATGTCCCTCATAAATCTGATCTCCTTTAGGGCCTGTCCACAGACCCCCAGTTGCCACCCAGGAGCAAAACAGCACTTTCTTTTCTTCCCAGAAGGCTTCAGTGGGAGTAAAGAAATTATCTTAAAAATATACAAAGCAACCCCTAAGCATCTGTAGGAAAGTAGTTACCTGAGTTAGGGACAAAATGGGGAGTAGAAAAGCACCAAAAGAAAATCAAGGAAATAGGGAAACATATATTTCTATCTCCGCTTCTCCAGTGCATTTGGCTGGCCGGGATCCCAGTGGTTCTACACTGTAGAGGGACATCCGTCAACACTAATCAATACATGTGGTGTTAGTCATGGATGATAAATTTGAAAGGGATTATAACTGTAAACAGTGATCAATAGAGACTTGCTGGAGGAGACAGAGAGGAAAAAACAACCTGAAAATGTTACACGGTTAATAAAATAAGGGGGGAGAGTCAGTCTTAAACAAAACTCCAAGAGACCTACAGTGTTCTTAGTTCCTTCTGAGAGGTGGGATGGAAGGGGAAGTGGATGAATAATCCTCACCCAGAATTTTCCACAAGGCAATTGCTACTAAAAGGGTGCATTATTAATTTACAGCCTACTTGCTGATACTTCGGGTTGGAAGGCACATTCTCCATTAGCATTTGGTTGAAGATGTGTTTCTGGATCTGAGCTGGCACACTGAAAGCCCCCAGAGTATAGCTTGCCCTTTCCCCACACCACTTCCTTCCCTCCTGCCTCTCCTCACCTCCTCTGATTTCACTGCAGGCACATGACTGAGCAGTGCATTCACAAGCATGACATCCCTCTCTGCAAACAAATATATCCTGAATCCAAGCAAAAAGGAAAAAAAATGCAGGGAGCCTCGGCTGCTCACCCATAGATGAATGGAACTATCCGTCTTGTCACCGGGGGTCGGAGCGAGAGGTTACTCCGAATCTATACCTTAGCTTCCCTGCTGACGTTTGCAAGCAACTTCCTTAAAAATAAAACAAAATAAAGAGTAAAAAAAAGAATCCTGCCACATTAAGCAGTTAGCCGGTCCCTCCAGAACCCTTCGAAGATTGTGTCTTCTCACCACCTTTGGAGCCACAGCTCCAGGCCTGACATATACATTTTTTTCTTGCTGACCTTTTAGTGTCCTTTCTGCCAGAGTGTGTAAACCATAAGCTGATATATGAAGGCAATTTTTAGTGGTGCCACTTGTATCTGAGTGATTGCACACACTTTACGTTTCTGGCCTGCCACCCCCTCCACCTTTCGAAGATCTCTCTATTTTCTTTTAAGGGAACTGCAGCAAAGGTGAAAGCAAGTTTAACTGCTTCAAGACTTTGATGGCCAGAAGCACCTGTTTGGGGGATTTGAAACTGACCAAGGCCCACCTTCAAAGCTAGAATGTTTCTTTGCTGCTCTAGGGATCAGCAGGACAGCAGTGATGGGGGTGGAGGTGAGGAGGTTACTTGTATTTCTCCACCAGCCCCCAACCCCCAACCACAACCAAAGCTGACATATATCAAAAGCCCAAGCATTGTTGAAGACTTAGAGAACACAGAGTCATTTTCTCCATAAATTCTGAGAGCCGGGGACCCTGGGGACTTCCACAGTCTGAGTTCCAGAGCAGAGAGATGGGAGTAGAGGAGTGAGGGCCGTCAAGTAAGACAAGATACTCAGCTAGCAGAATCACAAAGTTCCCAAACTCTGTCACCCTGCCACTGTCCTGTCATCCCTTCAAAGGCCAAGGCTGCTGTTTTTCTTCAGGGTAGCTACAGTTTCCATCCTGCTAGAGGTCAGGATGTCTGTGCCCTGGAAGGGACATTGTAAGAACCCACAGGGGCAGGCATCATTTTCTCTTATTATTCCAAGCTGGGATTGGATGCTGAAGAAAAATTGTAGCACCCACCACCACCACCACCAGGACAGGGTGTGCTCCTGTTCTTGCAGTAGCTCACAAGGCACCAGGCATCAAAGCCTGAAGGGGAGCAAGAGGTGGGCAAGACAGCCAGAGGAACCTCCTGCTGAAGGAGGAAGTATTTGAAAAGAGTTGGTCTGTGTTCAACGAAGCTCCATCTTGACTGGTCTACTAATGTCCTACATGCAGGGCAGCATGTGTGAAATCTGCCAGGGGAATGTGGTTATTAGAGAACAAGCCTCAGGACCACACCCACCCACATGCCATAAGGCCCTTCAGTTGCCAGCCTTGAAGGGTCAGGGTTTCATTTCATTAAAAGACCCAGTGAGGCCCTTTCCCTGGAGCATAACTCAAGGACACTCAACGAGAATGTCTCACCCCCCTCCACTGGATCCTGGGTGACTCCCAACTACCAGACAATGCTGTCTGGAGACTGAGTGTCTATGAAGCTAGTGAAAATGACTCTTGAGGGACCTTCACTGGGATCCTCACCTGCCATCTGTGGGGAGTTCACAAGTAGTTTACTACTGGTAATCTAAGATTTTTTAAATGTTTTTAACATATTTAATCAAATTCTGGTTTACTTTTCTCACTCAATGTACAGTCATGTGTTGCTAAATGAAAGGAATGCACTCTGAGAAATGCATCACTACACAATTGCATCACTGTGTGGACATCATAGAGTGGACTTACATGAACCTAGGTGGTACAGCCTACTACACACCGGGCTATATGGCTACGAACCTATACCACATGCTACTGTTCTGAATACTGCAAGCCATTGTAACACAATAGTAAGTAGTTGCATATCTAAACATAGAAAAAGTACAGTGACAATATGCTATACAAGATTTTTAAAATGGTATACCTGTATAAGGCACTTATCACTGAATGGAGCTTGGAGGACTGGAAGTTTCTCTGGGTGAGTTAGTGAGTGAGTACTGAGTGAATGTGAAAGCCTAGGACATTATGCACGACTGTACACTTTATCAACACTGCACACTTACGCTATGCTCAATTTATTTAAAATGTTTTTTCATTAATTATAAAATAATCCTAGCTTTCTGTAACTTTTTCACTTCATAAACTTTAAAATTTTTCTTAACTTTTTGACTCTTTTGTAATAGCACTTAGCTTGAAACAAAAGCACATTTTGCAGTTGTACAAAACTATTTTCTTTTCCATATACTTATTCTACAAGCTTTTTTCTATGTAAAATAATTTTTAACCTTTTAGTTTTTACACTTTTTTATTAAAAAACAAAGACACAAACACACACATTATCCTAGGCCTACACAAGGTCAAGATCATGCATATCACTGTCTTCCACCTCTGTATCTTGTCCCACCGGAAAGTCTTCAGGGACAATAACACCCGTGGAGATGTCCTCTCCTATGATAACAATGCTTTCTTCTGGAATACTTCCTGAAGGACCTGCCTGAGACTGTTTCAAAATTAACTTTATTTTTTATGAGTAGAAGTACACTCTAAAGTAATGACAAAAAAAGTATAGTACATACTATAATACATACATAATTGTATGTATTATACAATCGTGGTTTATTGACAACAGCATCACCAAAAACAGGTAAATAATGCATGGTGCTGTGGCGTTACTAGAGCTACGATGTCACCAGTTGATAGGAATTTTCTAGCTCCATTATGGGATCACCTTCATATATGTGTTCCATAATCCACTGAAATGTCATTATGCAGCACATGACTGTATTTAAATTTCAGTGATAAAGAAAGCAAGGAAATACAATTCATGTCTGGGTATCCCCAGATCTGAAGACCATCCTGTCTATCTCACTGACTGCAGGAGAAGAGGGCTACTGATATACCAAGAGCACTCTGGCAATTATATGCGGGTTGTGCCACCCCGCAAAATTTCTGGGGAGGTGCTCAAAATTTTGATATGTGCTTGAGTGTATAAAAATCATCCATCATAGGTGTGGCGGCTGAGAAAAGGGTGAGAACTTAGGGATTAGCCATTGACCAGAGCAGCACAGGATAAAATAGGGGTCCACTGAGTGGTCACTAGGCAAATGTCCCATGATAGGCCTTGGGAAAGGGAGAGCTATTCCATACACTGACCCATTCAGTCTGCTCTGTCAGGAACCTGGCTCACGCTTATAATCCCAGCGCTTTGGGAGGCCGAGGCAGGTGGATCACCTGAGGTCAGGAGTTTGAGACCAGCCTGACCAACATGGAGAAACGCTTTCTCTACTAAAAATACAAAATTAGCCAGGCATGGTGGCGCACACCTGTAATCCCAGCTACTCGGGAGGCTGAGGCAGCAGAATCACTAGAACCCGGGAGGTGAAGGTTGCAGTGAGCTGAGATTGCACCATTGCACCCCAGCCTGGGCAACAACAGTGAAACTCTGTCTCAAAAAAAAAAAAAAAAAAAAAAAGATGGAGCCAAGTAGACTGACCCAAATTACTTAGGAGGTGAATCAACAGGTCTAGGTGATGGGGCAATAACAAGGATAACTTGCAGTTTTCTGGCCAATGTGAGCAAATCACTGCTTCTAGAAAGCAGAAGTAAGAAGCTCCTCTCTCCAAAATACATGAATTCACTTAGGGCGAAAGTAATATTATTGCTGGAGGAGCAAGGGAAAGGAGTAGAAGAATGCCCTGGAGACTTGTAAGGCTTTCTCAGCGACAGCCAGAGGATCCATGAACAGCCTCATCTCTCTTGGCATCACTGGTGCACACTAGGATGCCTGGCACAAAGTAGATGCCCCATCTTTTGGGGAAAGGGAACTTAAAAGACCAGCTTGGCCAGATATTATATATTTGCTCTTCAGCAAGCCTCTCTGGTCTTCAGCCTGAGGGCACTGAACTAGATCCATGGTTTTCAGTGCTTCTCAGAAATCTAAAGTTTTCTGGAGCATCTCCATGGCCACTTGGAGTTCATCCCCCAACACATACCTCCACCCCACTGTTTTCCATCCCTAAAGCATCGAATCCTGATTTCTGTTTTTGGTGTGTTTATCTGTTAGGCCCTTGCAGAGGGAATAGTTTTCATTTAAGGGGAAAAGTACTTCCCAGTAAAAGAAAGGTTTGAAAACCATTGGAATACATGATCTCCAAGACAGGCTTCAGATCTCAGTTCTGTGTTCTGTGTCCTAAATGAAAACAGCAGCGAGCTTCTGGAAGGAGAATCTGGCCTTCCCCCAGAAGGAATGAAAAAAGACACATTTCAGTTTAAAGGAGCTTCCATAGCATCACTGCCCTTGAGAAAAGACTCCCTTCCAGCCCTGCTTTCCAGGACCCTCCAGCTGCCACCAAACCCCATGCCTCTGGCTTCCTTCATGCCTTACCAAGGCCCATAATGAGACAAACGTGAAATAGTTGAGGTGATCTAGAGACGTCTTCTGCACCCCCCACCCCCCACCATGGCCCACCATCCCATCTCACCAGCCTCTCCAGTTTTTAGAAGAAAGGTTTCATTACTGAGAGCAGCCAGGAGCTCAGAGAACCTCCTGATTGACGCTGTCAGTTAGATGAAGAGCTCTTGTGGCAGAAACTGCCTTTTTTTCATTAAGTTTGAAAACATGCCCAGGGGCTAGTCTGTGATCTGCTCATCAATAAATGGAAATATACTGATAGACTCAAATTCATGCCAGGCTTTTGTTGATAAAGGATGGATACCTTGTCAGTTTCCTGCCCCAAATAAGAATTTCTAAAAATCCCTGTTGTCACTCAACTGCAGCCTGAGATCTGAGGGGAAGGGAGGCAGGGAGACATCAGCTTTGTTGTGAGGCTCTCCTCTGGGTGGGTCATCACTGTGATCACAGCCTCCAATCTGTGGGATGGAAACTTGTTCCCTTAAACACAGAGGTCTACCATCTCTGATTCTTTCTGGGACCATCAGGGGAACTGGCCCCTGAGGAGGAATGCTGGCAGAGTTCTGAGCACATTACCAGTGACTCAGACATGAGGGATCTCCTTAACACAGCCTCCAGGGGCTTCAGGAGGGTTGAGGAATGGTAGGAATTGGATTTACCAGAATTCCCAAATGCCTGTGCAGACAGGCTTCAGGACAAGAGGTAGTCATAGCTGCAGGACTAGGGTACAATGAAAAGAGAAAACAGAAAAGTGAGAAAGAGTAGAGGGGAGAAAAGAAAATAACTACTCAGAAAGCTAGGCAGGAAGTCACTTAACCTGCCTTAAGACATAAGAAAAAAAAAGAGTTCTACCTTCTGCCATCAAAAACAAGAGAGATCACAAATAAAAACTTTTTTTAAAAAAAGAGCAACCACCAGAATTGCCATCAAGCAAGCTTAAGAGCTCTAACCTGCAGGTTTTCAACAATTAACTTTTAAAGTGATTGTTCAACAATCCACCCTTATGTCACTACGTGAGGGTAATGTCAATATTGGCAGGCATTTCCTAAAATTCTAGCTGTGCAGAGACAATACCATTAGCCGAATGCCTGGGCCATAGGGATGAGGGTAGAGGGTAGCGGGTGCATTCTCACATGGTTTGGCAGGAGATGTTTATTTTCTTGCTTTTTTTTTTTTTTGGCTTCTTATCACCAGGCTTTGTCCTTTTCCTTGCCATGTAGCATTGCCTGTCACTGAATTGAGAAATTACCTCTGCAGCCTCTTGGGGTAGCTTTACAGAGAGGCTCACTGGGCAGTGGTAACCGGCCAGGTGGTATCCCTGAGTGCCTGACTCCTGTTCTTCTCAGTGTCCTTTTGCCTAGGAATTGTATACCTCTACTGGTGTCCAGTTAAACAACATTTTATGTTACTTCTGTAACCTTTTCATCATTTCACCCCCTTATCATCATTCTATTCAAGTTATAAAGAGCCAATCTTCATTCATTCGCTTTTCAGCTAAAATTTGTGAATCATTTACCATGAGCCACAGTCCCTGCACCCCGTGTGGATATGGAAGAGGAAAAACAAGGACAAAACAGAAGGAACAGGCACCATGGAGAGCATCCTCCTAAGATCAGAAGGTCAGGGGAAGCTGGACCCAGGAGGAAAAGCTTGAGATGTACCTGAAAAGAGAAGGAGTAAGCAGGTGAAAAATGTGTGCAGCAAGAGAAGGAGAACTGTGATCAAAGGCCCAGAGAGCAGAGAAGCAGAACATGATGCATCTGAGGAGCAATCATAGCAACAAATTATATTAACAGAGTACTCACTGTATGTCAGACACTGTGGTAAGCACATTATAGATATTATTTTATTTGATGCTCACAACAAACCTAAGAAGTATGTAGTATTATTGTCTTATTTTCAGATAAAACATTACAACGGTTAATTTCTCAATGTCAGGCAGCCATTAAGTAGGATTTGAACAGTAGCTCTGCCTCCAAAACCCATAGACTGCTACCTTCTCAGACATTAGAGGCTTAGTTAGAGTGCAGGCTATGATAGGGAAGGTGACTGGTGTTAGATATAAGAGTTAACAGGTCACAGGAGGCTTGCATGCATACTAAGGGGTTTGGACATTGTTCAGTAATCATTCAAGAGCCATGATGGATTTAGGCAGAAACAAGAGATGATTAGATTTGGGAAAATTACTGTGGTAGCAAGGCAAAAAATCAGGTTAGTGAAAGAGGATGGGAAAATTATCTCTTTAACATTCACTCCAAAGAAACCCTTTTTGGCTAATCTCCATAAGCTCCCCTAGCCGCCACAACACACACAAATGAAAATAGAGAAAAGGCACACACAAAAATTAATTACAAAGAATACTACAGACTTTGCTTCTAGCCAGATTGAGTAAAAGGAATTGAATTTATCCACCTGCCTGAAACAATTAAAAAAGCAGACAACATATGTGAAAAGCTGAATTTCAAAACATTTGACATCAGGCCTGAAGGCCAGTGATGCCTGGGAGATGTGAAACAAGTGAGCTGAGTCCTATGATTGTCCCAACTTACTGCCTGGAGACAGTTTCCAGGTCCTGATGCAAGGAGGGGGACCCACATAGAGCACAGTGGTCTCTCTGAGATGAGAAGTGAAGCTGGTGGTCCTGGACATAGCTAGAGTTTACAGGGCAGAGTGCCAGAAAAGAGGGAGCTACCCAGAGAAAGAGAAAATTCTGGAGACCTAAAGAAGGTTCGCCTCAAGAGTTAAGTTGACTACTGATCAGCTCAAGTGTGAGAAGAAACTAATCAAGACCAGAGGAAAAAAATCATTTAAAAGAATTAGAAGTAAAAAGAAATAGCATCCCTTCCACCAGCCGGAGTACAAAAGCCTCATATTTGTACCAAGAAGAGTTTTGCCTCAGTAGTGGGAAAAAATAAACTGCTCGGATCCTGCCTAAAAAAGCAAAGAAGCAAGACCTGAAAGGCTCAAGCTGTTTCCAAGTAATTTAACAATGTTCCAGAACAAAACACAAAAATATGTATAGAAACACAAGACTATATAACACCTAACAAGGTAAAATTCACAATACCTGGTATCCAATTAAAATGACCAGGTATGCCAAGAAGCAGAAAAATATGACCATAATTAGAAGAAACATCAATAAATTGAAATTGACCCAGAATTTACACAGGTGATACAATTAGTAGACAAAAACATTAAGAGAATTATTTAAATTATATTACATATGTTCAAGAAGGTAAAGGAATACTTGAGTCTATTAATTGAGACATGAAAGATATAAATAAGGCCCAAATCAACCTTCTAAAGACAACCTGCAGTGTCCAAGATGAAACATATAGTAGATAAGATTAAGAATAAATTGGACACTGCAAAAGAAAACAGAAGTAAACTTAAAGAAATAGCAATAGAAACTTTCCAAAATGGGAAAAAGTATAATAGAGAGTATGTGAGCTGTGGGACAACTACAAGAGGCTTAATATGTTACTGGAGTCTTTGAAGAGGGGAAGACAAAAATAATATTTGAACAAATTCTGGCTGAGAAACTTCCAAATTTGTTGAAATTATAAACCTGCAGCTCTAAGAAGCTCAACAAACTCCAAGCACAAAAAACCTTGAAGAAAATTACATGAAAGCACATCATAATCAAATTTATTAAACCCCAGTAATAAAGAGAAAAACCTTAAAGGCAGCCAAAGTAAAACACACACACACATTACCTACAGAGAGAAAAGATCGGAATAGAGGCAGGTATTTCTTTGGAAATAATGCAAGCTAGAGCACCTCTATAGTACTAAATAGAGGAAAAATTGTTAACATAGAATTCTTTACCCTGTGAAAATCACTTTCACAATAAAGGCAAAATAACATTTTTTTCAGCCATATGAAAGCTAAAAGAATTCATTATCAGCAAATCTGCATTGTAAAAAATATTAAAGGAAGTACTTTAAGCAGAAGGAAAATGAAAGCAGATGTAAATCTGAATTGACACAAAGAAATGAAGAGAAATAAATAGAAATGTTATCTAAATGGGTAAATATAGATTTTGAATTACTTACAATTATTTACTTATTTCAATTACTTACAAGATAATTGACTATTTAAAGGAAATATAATAAAAAATCTATTGTAGGTTTTATAATACACATTAAAGTAGATTTATGATAAGAATAGTGCAAAGGACAGGAGGAGAAAAATGGAAATACATGGTTGTAAATTCCATATATTACACCTAAAATGTTATAATATCATTTGATGGCAGACTATTATAAATTAGTATATGTACTATAATTTGGGTATGGATTCATGTTCACAGAAGAGACAGTTTCATGGAGAAAGCCCATTGGAGTGTAGAAGCAGCCAAGGTTCATGATGCAGACAAGGTTCATGGAGAGGTGTCTACAATGTACAATATGACTGGAACTATTTTTTTCCTCCATCCTTCACTTGTATGTCTGACTCCCAAGCATGGTTCACTGGGATTTGGAAATGGGAGGGGTCCCCACAAAACAGCACCTTGAAATGTCATCATTACACCACCAAACATTCTTCCAGGTTATCTTTTTTCCTCCTTGATTAAAATGGGGTAATTTGTTATATGATTATATAAATTGCTTTTCTATTTTATGGCTTAAATCTGATTACATGTGTACTTCATCTTTTTATCATATTTCTTTGATTTTAAGTTTTCTCCCTTTGGAAAGGTAGGGAGCCAAAAAATCTGTCTTGTCATACGTTATCTCAAGGGAGTAAAATCTCTCAAGAAGGTTTTCTGGGGACATCTGTATTGTTTGGCTGATTTCAACAGTCCAGTTATCAAAAAAATGATAGAAGATCTTGGGATGGACCTAACCCTGGTGCCGTGATGTTGTTTGTTCATTTGTTTGTTTGTTTGTTTTCCAATGCCAAGCACCGGGGGCAACAGTACAACAATTTTAATAAAGCTGGACACAGCTAGTGGCTGCTGCTCTCCCCAGCAAGACGACAACGTGTAGGTTAGATCTTTGATTCAGATCCAATCCCTGACCTCATCCTGGGCGGGTGAAGTATTTCCTTGAAACAATAACCTTTTCACGGAGCAGCTACCAGAATATCCAGAAGCAATGCCTCAAGGAGGGGCCTATGCAGCTAAGACAGGGATTCTGTGCCATTGCTCATGGCCTGGAGAGGTCCAGAACAATGGTGTTTACATTGACACAAGTGTTTTCCTCTTGATAGACAGAATTGGCTAGACTGCTGGGTCAGGTGCTAGGTTGTAGAGTGCTGTGTATTCCTCTATTGTTGGATGCAGGGGTCTAGAAAGGTCAATTATGTCAAGTTAATTGGTAGTGTTATTTAAGTCTTCTATATTTTTACTGATTTTCTTTCTATTTGTTCTATCTGTTATTCAGAAGATGATAAGGAATCCCTCATAACACTTGTGTATTTGTTTATTTATCCTTACAGTTATATCAGTTTTTGCTGCAAGTGTTTGAAAATTTGATTTGGTGCATAAATGTTTAATATTGTTACATCCTATTGGTTCATAGACTCCTTTATCATTATAAAATGATCCTCTTTAATCCTGTAATATTTTTTGCTCTGAAAACTGCTTAGTCTGATATTATAATATAGCCACTCCAGCTTTCTTTAGATTGGTGTTAGCATGGCATATAGTTTTTCTATCAATTTACTTACATAATACCTTATTTGTGTCTTGGTATGTAATGTTATCATTGATATGGTTGGACTTATATCTACCATCTTTCTACTTAATTTCTTTTTTATTTCAAATTTTATTTTAGATAGGGGGTACATGTGCAGATTTGTTACATGGAAGTATTGCATGATGCTGAAGTTTGGAATACAGACGCTGTCACCCTGGTACTGAGCATAGCACCTGCTACATATTTTTTTAACTCACAGCCCTCCACCCTCTAGTAGTCCATAGTGTCTACCATTCCCATATTTATGTCCATGTGTGCTCAGTGCTTAGCTCCCACTTATAAGTGAGAACAGGAAGCATTTGGTTTTCTGCTTCTGCATTGATTTGCTTATCTACTTGTTTTCTGTTTGAATTGCCTATTTTAGTTTTCTTTTTTCACTTTTTCTGCTTTCTTTGGATTGATATTTCAACGATTTCATTCTAACTCTATTTTTTATGATTAGCTACATTTCTTTGCTTGGTTATTTTAATGGTTGCCCAGCTAGCCGATGTGACCATTTTGATTAATTTAATGGTTCAACTATTTTAAAAGTCAGTTGCACACTATAAATATATACAATTTCTATTTGTCAGTTAGACCTTAATAAAGTTGGGGAAAAGTAAATGATAAAAAAGAAGATACTCAATCATGTTGGTGAAAAGAAAGTGAACTGGAAATGTCTCTATATTAACAGTTCTGGAATCCTGAACTAGAATCCACACTATGTTGAAAATATCTTGTCTAGATGTCTGTGCATATAAAAACTTAAACATGGCAGGCATGCAAGATGGCCAAATAGGAACAACTCCAGTCTACAGCTCCCAGCATGAGCAATGCAGAAGATGGGTGATTTCTGCATTTCCGACTGAGGTACCGATTTCATCTCACTGGGGAGTGTCGGACAGTGGGTGCAGGACAGTGGGTGCAGTGCACCAAGTGTGAGCTGAAGCAGGGCGAGGCATCACCTCAACCAGGAAGCGCAAGGGGTCAGGGAATTCCCTTTCCTAGTCAAAGAAAGGGGTGACAGACCGCACCTGGAAAATCGGGTCACTCCCACCCTAATTTTGCACTTTTCCAACGGTCTTAGCAAACGGCACACCAGGAGATTATACCCTGCATGTGGCTGAGAGGGTCCTATGCCCATGGAGCCTCGCTCATTGCTAGCGCAGAAGTCTGAGATCAAACTGCAAGGCAGCAGTGAGGATGGGGGAGGGGCTCCCACCATTACCGAGGCTTGAGTAGGTAAACAAAGTGGCCAGGAAGCTCGAACTGGGTGCAGCCCATCGCAGCTCAAGGAGGCCTGCCTGCCTCTATAGACTCCACCTCTGGGGGCAGGGCATAGCCAAACAAAAGGCAGCAGAAACCTCTGCAGACTTAAATGTCCCTGTCTGACAGCTTTGAAGACAGCAGTGGTTCTCCCAGCACGCAGCTTGAGATCTGAGAATGGACAGACTGCCTCCTCAAGTGGGTCCCTAACACCCAAGTAGCCTAACTGGGAGGCACCCCCCAGTAGGGGCAGACTGACACCTCACACGGCTGGGTACTCCTCTGAGACAAAACTTCCAGAGGAACGATCAGGCAGCAACATTTGCTGTTCACCAATATCTGCTGTTCTGCAGCCTCCGCTGCTGATACCCAGGCAAACACGGTCTGGAGTAGACCTCCAGCAAACTCCAACAGACCTGCAGCTGAGGGTCCTGACTGTTAGAAGGAAAACTAACAAACAGAAAGGATATCCACACCAAAACCCCATCTGTACGTCACCATCATCAAAGACCAAAGGTAGATAAAACCACAAAGATTGGGAAAAAACAGAGCAGAAAAACTGGAAACTCTAAAAATCAGAGTCCCTCTCCTCCTCCAAAGGAACGCAGCTCCTCACCAGCAATAGAACAAAGCTGGACGGAGAATGACTTTGATGAGTTGAGAGAAGAAGGCTTCAGACAATCAAACTACTCCAAGCTAAAGGAGGAAGTTCGAACCCATGGCAAAGAAGTTAAAAACCTGGAAAAAAATTAGACAAATGGCTAACTAGAATAACCAATGCAGAGAAGTCCTTAAAGGACCTGATGGAGCTGAAAACCATGGCACAAGAACTACATGGTGAATGCACAAGCCTCAGTAGCCAATTTGATCAACTGGAAGAAATGGTATCAGTGATGGAGGATCAAATGAATGAAATGAAGCAAGAAGAGAAGTTTACAGAAAAAAGAATAAAAAGAAACCAACAAAGCCTCCAAGAAATATGGGACTATGTGAAAAGACCAAATCTACGTCTGACTGGTGTTCCTGAAAGTGACGGGGAGAATGGAACCAAGTTGGAAAACACTCTGCAGGATATTATCCAGGAGAACTTCCCCAATCTAGCAAGGCTGGCCAACATTCAAATTCAAGAAATACAAAGAACACCACAAAGATACTCCTCAAGAAGAGCAACCCCAAGACACATAATTCTCAGATTCACCAAAGTTGAAATGAAGGAAAAAATGTTAAGGGCAGCCAGAGAGAAAGGTCGGGTTACCCACAAAGGGAAGCCTGTCAGACTAACAGCTGATCTGTCGGCAGAAACTCTACAAGCCAGAAGACAGTAGGGGTCAATATTCAACATTCTTAAAGAGAAAGAATTTTCAAGCCAGAATTTCATATCCAGCCAAACTAAGCTTCATAAGTGAAGGAGAAATAAAATCCTTTACAGACAAACAAATGCTGAGAGATTTTGTCACCACCGGGCCTGCCCTAAAAGAGCTCCTGAAGGAAGCACTAAACATGGAAAGGAACAACCAGTACCAGCCACTGCAAAAACATGCCAAATTGTAAAGACCACCGAGGCTAGAAAAAAACTGCATCAACTAACGAGCAAAATAACCAGATAACATCATAATGACAGGATCAAATTCACACATAACAATATTAACCTTAAATGTAAATGGGCTACATGCTCCAATTAAAAGACACAGACTGGCAAATTGGATAACGAGTAAAGACCCATCAGTGTGCTGTATTCAGGAAACCCATCTCACATGCAGAGACACACATAGGCTCAAAATAAAGGGATGGAGGAAGAACTACCAAGCAAATGGAAAACAGAAAAAGGCAGGGGTTGCAATCCTAGTCTCAGATAAAACAGACTTTAAACCAACAAAGATCAAAGAGACAAAGAAGGCCATTACATAATGGTAAAAGGATCAATTACACAAGGAGAGCTAACTATCCTAAATATATATGCACCCAATACAGGAGCACCCAGATTCATAAAGCAAGTCCTTAGAGACCTACAAAAAGACTTAGACTCCCACACAATAATAATGGGAGACTTTAACACCCCACTGTCAATATTAGACAGATCAATGAGACAGAAAGTTAACAAGGATATCCAGGAATTGAACTCAGCTCTGCACCAAGCAGACCTAATAGACAGCTACAGAGATCTCCATCCCAAATCAACAGAATATACATTCTTTTCAGCACCACGCCACATCTATTCCAAATTTGACCACAGAGTTGGAAGTAAAGCACTCCTCAGCAAATGTAAAAGAAAAGAAATTATAACAAACTGTCTCTCAGACCACAGTGCAATCAAACTAGAACTCAGGATTAAGAAACTCACCCAAAACTGCTCAACTACATGCAAACTGAACAACCTGCTCCTGAATGACTACTGGATACATAACGAAATGAAGACAGAAATAAAGATATTCTTTGAAACCAACGAGAACAAAGACACAACATACCAGAATCCTGGGACACATTGAAAGCAGTGTGTAGAGGGAAATTTATAGCACTAAATGCCCACAAGAGAAAGCAGGAAAGATCCAAAATTGACACCCTAACATCACAATTAAAAGAACTAGAGAAGCAAGAGCAAACAAATTCAAAAGCTAGCAGAAGGCAAGAAATAACTAAGATCAGAGCAGAACTGAAGGAAATAGAGACACAAAAAACCCTTCAAAAATCAATGAATCCGGAAGCTGCTTTTTCGAAAAGATCAACAAAACTGATAGACCACTAGCAAGACTAATAAAGAAGAAAAGAGAGAAGAATCAAATAGACGCAATAAAAAATGATACAGGGGATATTACCACCAATCCCACAGAAATACAAACTACCATCAGATAATACTATAAACACCTCTATGCAAATAAACTAGAAAATCTAGAAGAAATGGATAAATTCCTCGACACATACACCCTACCAAGACTAAACCAGCAAGAGGTTGAATCTCTGAATCAACCAATAATAGGCTCTGAAATTGAGACAATAATTAATAGCTTACCAACCAAAAAAAGTCCAAGACCAGATGGATTCACAGCCGAATTCTACCAGAGGTACAAGGAAGAGCTGGTACCATTCCTTCTGAAACTATTCCAATCAATAGAAAAAGAGGGAATCCTCCCTCATTTTATGAGGGCAGCATCATCCTGATACCAAAGCCTGGCAGAGACACAACAAAAAAAGAGAATTTTAGGCCAATATCCCTGATGAACATCGATGCAAAAATCCTCAATAAAATACTGGCAAACCGAATCCAGCAGCACATCAAAAAGCTTATCCACCATGATCAAGTGGGCTTCATCTCTGGGATGCAAGGCTGGTTCAACATACGAAAATTAATAAACATAATTCAGCATATAAACAGAACCAAAGACAAAAACCACATGATTATCTCAGTAGATGCAGAAAAGGCCTTTGACAAAATTCAACAACCCTTCTTGCTAAAAACTCTCAATAAATTAGGTATTGATGGGACGTATCTCAAAATAATAAGAGCTATCTATGACAAACCCACAGCCAATATCAGACTGAATGGGCAAAAACTGGAAGCATTCCCTTTGAAAACTGGCACAAGACAGGGATGCCCTCTCTCACCACTCCTATTCATCATAGTGTTGGAAGTTCTGGCCAGGGCAATCAGGCAGGAGAAGGAAACAAAGCATATTCAACTAGGAAAAGAGGAAGTCAAACTGTCCCTGTTTGCAGATGACATGATTGTATATCTAGAAAACCCCATCATCTCAGCCCAAAATCTCCTTAAGCTGATAGGCAACTTCAGCAAAGTCTCAGGATACAAAATCAATTGCAAAAATCACAAGCATTCTTACACACCAGTAACAGACAAACAGAGAGCCAAATCATGAGTGAACTCCCTTTCACAATTGCTTCAAAGAGTATAAAATACCTAGGAATCCAACTTACAAGGGATGTGAAGGACCTCTTCAAGGAGAACTACAAACCACTGCTGAAGGAAATAAAAGAGGATACAAACAAATGGAAGAACATTCCATGCTCATGGGTAGGAAGAATCAATATCATGAAAATGGCTAGAAATAACACCACACATCTACAACCATCTGATCTCTGACAAACCTGACAAAAACAAGAAATGGGGAAAGGATTCCCTATTTACTAAATTCCCTTTAAATAAATAAAGGTGCTGGGAGAACTGGCTCACCATATGTAGAAAGCTGAAACTGGATCCCTTACTTCCACCTTATACAAAAATTAATTCAAGATGGATTAAAGTCTTAAATGTTAGACCTAAACCATAAAAACCCTAGAAGAAAATGTAGGCAATACCATTCAGGACATAGGCATGGGCAAGGGCTTCATGACTAAAACACCAAAAGCAATGGCAACAAAAGCCAAAACTGACAAATGGGATCTAATTAAACTAAAGAGCTTCTGCACAGCAAAAGAAACTACCATCAGGGTGAACAAGCAATCTACAGAATGGGAGAAAATTTTTGCAATCTACCCATCTGACAACACGCTAATAACCAGAATCTACAAAGAACTTAAACGAATTTACAAGAAAATATCAAATAACCTCATCAAAAAGTGGGCAAAGGATAGGAACAGACACTTCTCAAAAGAAGACATTTATGCAGCCAACAGACACATGAAAAATGCTCATCATCAGTGGTCATCAGAGAAATGCAAATCAAAACCACAATGAGATACCATCTCACACCAGTTAGAATGGCGATCATTAAAAAGTCAGGAAACAACAGGTGCTGGAGAGGATGTGGAGAAATAGGAACACTTTTACACTGTTGGTGGGACTGTAAACTAGTTCAACCATTGTGGAAGTCAGTGTGGCGATTCCTCAGGGATCTAGAACAAGAAATACCATTTGACCCAGCCACCCCATTACTGGGTATATACCCAAAGGATTATAAATCATGCTACCATAAAGACACATGCACACGTATGTTTATTGCGGCACTATTCTCAATAGCAAAGACTTGGAACCAACCCAAATGTCCAACAACGATAGACTGGATTAAGAAAATGTGGCACATATACACCATGGAATACTATGCAGCCATAAAAAATGATGAGTTCATGTCCTTTGCAGGGACATGGATGAAGCTGGAAACCATCATTCTCAGCAAACTATTGCAAGGACAAAAAACCAAACACCACATGTTCTCACTCATAGATGGGAATTGAACAATGAGAACACATGGACACAGGAAGGGGAACATCACACACTGGGGCCTGTTGTGGGGTGGGGGAAGTGGGGAGGGATAGCATTAGGAGATATACCTAATGTTAAATGACGAGTTAATGGGTGCAGCACACCAACATGGCACATGTATACATATGTAACAAACCTGCACGTGGTGCACATGTACCCTAAAACTTAAAGTATAATTTAAAAAATAAGACTTCAACGTAATTAAATTCCACTTAGTAGCCAACTTACCCTAGGCAAAGAAGAGCTGTTAATGAGTTTGAGTTGATGATTAGGAGATGAATGTGAAGGATACAATCACCAATTAATGAGTAAGAGACCTACTATGTGTCCAGCACTGAGTATTATACACATCATGTACGGAATCCACACCACAACCCTATGTGGTAGTTGGTATTATCCAGTTTTAAAGATACATAAAGTAAGACCCAGATGACAAGTTAACAGAATAAGTTTTACTGGGTAACAGAAAAAGCAAACAGGGGAGAAGGCACCAGAACCCAGGTCTGTCTGATCTAAAGTCCATGTACAGACTACAGCACAGATGGCCTTGAGATCCGGGACAATTGTTGGAAATGCTGTGTGTGGTCCCCAGCATATAGCACAGTATCTGTCTGGTACCAGAAAAGTGCTCAATAAGTATTTGCTGAATGAGTGAATAATCAAATAAATAAATAAATGAGAAGTAGGAATAAAGAACAAGATAGAGATGTGAAAACAAGGTGGACTTAAATACTGCCACCTCATGAGGGTGTCACGTGCTGATCCTATGAATAACCAGTCACAGAGGTATCTCCTTTTATAAAATGCTTTCCCACCTCCTCAAACTCAACCTTGGCACAACACACAACTTTTTTGGGGGGACTGTCATTCCTTTCCCTTCCCTAGAAAAAAATTTCTGCATTTCTAATCTACTAAGGAGCCAATAAGGCCCACTTTCTCTTCCTTAACTCAACATTGGGATGAATTCCACTAATGATGGCTTAGCTGAAACAAATAGCAACTTTTCAGACATTAGAAACTAGCTCTCAATATTAACAAGTTAAGGGCATCTATAGCCATATATACTGGGTCTGTTCTATACCAGCTGAAAGAAGACAATTGTATATGGGACCCTGTTTTAGTTCAGGTCTAAACTCATTAGGACTTCTTGATGAGGAGGCAGAACTACTTAAACAGAATGAAAGTCCTGTTCTCAAACCACTTTAGGATTGATTTTTTTTTTTTTTTTTTTTTGAGATTGAGTTTTGCTCTTTTTGCCCAGGCTGGAGTGCAATGGCGCAATCTCGGCTCACTGCAACCTCCGCCTCCCGGGTTCAAGCGATTCTCCTGCCTCAGCCTCCTGAGTAGCTGGGATTACAGACGTGCACCACCACACTCAACTAATTTTTTGTGTTTTTAGTAGAAACGGGGTTTCACCATGTTAGCCAGGCTGGTCTCAAACTCCTGACCTCAGGTGATCCTCCTGCCTCTGCCTACCAAAATGCTAGGATTACAGGCATCAGCCACCGCACCTGGCAGGATTGATTCTTAAAAGGTGATGTGAATTTGTAGAGCAAGAAAGTCAACAATAGTATTGCCCCAATGTTGTCACAGAGTCTAAAACAGGATCCCTGGCAGAGCACAGGATTCCTTTCATCCAGTAACCAGGAGGAGGGTGGGACCTAAGACTCATTCCAGCCTGGCAGGGTATTTCAGGCCTTCAAGATAAGGGTGTGGGCACAAGCTAGAAATCAGACATCAAACGAGACCAGTCAGGTTGTTGGGCTTCCCGGTGTGGGTCCTCTGTCTCCTTTCTAGGCTCTTGTCTGTATTCTCCAGATTAGACACAGGCCATAATCCATGTTCATGGAGAGTCTAGGACTGTAACACTAGTTGCTAGAGCTATTATGAACTAGGCTCTCAGTGCATAAGGATGACCCACCTGTCCAATTAGGTGCTCCACTTTGCCCTTGATTACAGCAAGAAGACTCAGAGCTACAAACAAGGTTATTATTTTTAATAAAATAGTAATCATCTCTTACATTTGAAGAGTGCTTTACATCTTACAAAGCACTTTCATTTCCATTATCTCATGGACAAGGCCAAACAGGCCTGACAGCAGGGCAAATAAAGCAAAACAAGAACTTTTTTTAAAAACAGCCACCTTGAGTGCAAATGCTGAAAATCCAAGAATAAAAGAAAATAGAAAATTAGAAACATAAACCTATAACCATACCAAAGAGGAGAAAAACAAGAGGATCAAGAACCTATAGAGCAAAGCAGAATACAAATTGAAGCAATCAATATGAATCACAAGAAAACCAAAGCTACAGATCCAAATCTAAACCACGCTGGCTAGTTCTAAAATAACCACTTAAGTCTCTGAATACAGGAACAATGCAACTTCTCTGAGATAAATCATTGACGCTAATTACCTGCAAAGATTTGGTGAACACAGATTCTTCGTTTTACTTAGGTAGCAAGACAGTGTAAAAAGAAATCTTAACTCAAGCAGAGTGTTCATTCCTGGCATTGTTTTTCTAATTCCGATCTAAGTTTAAAATGAAGTGTCTCTATACCGGTACACAGTTAGTACATGCACTCCATCCCAGTCAACAACCCTCACTGAGGACCTACCTACATTGCACACTGCTGGGCCCATCCTGGAACCTTATCTCAATAAAGTACTATACAACTGCACAAGTTGATTGCTGTTTTATTAAACATACAACCTCATTTGTAGCTCTGAGTTCTCTTGCTGGGATCAAGAGCAGAGTGGAGGACTTGGTTAGACTGGGTCATCTTCGTGGACTGGCAACACTCATCCTGGTGGCATCTCTGAAGGCCACCAACTCACAAAAATGTTCATGCTAGGACACTTGTGCTCTCCACAGTGAAAAAAATTAAAAGTTTAATTAGTTCAGATAAAATGAGAAACAGGGAAGGATGGAGATTAATCAAAAGTCAAATTATTTGACTATTATGTAGAAAATATTTGTATTAGTCAGGGTATATTCAATAAATTTAAACAGGCTATCACCCCACGGTTTGTTGATGTCCTTCAGTGCTCTCTCTAACAAAGAAATAAGAATGGTCTGTAATAGTCTTATTAATATTCGTCCATGTGGCCTTCTAATATTCTCAAGAATAGTTGGCCCTCTAAAGCTGACAGAGCATTTTTTGTTGTTGAGTTTGTTTGAACAGTGTGCAGTTTCCTCGTTTTTAAAGAGTTCACCTTATAGAACCATTTAAAGATTAAATGAGATAATGTGTCTAAAACAACTATCTCAGCTCCTGGCACATGTTCTATACCAAGGAAATATTACCCTTTTTGTTTTCTTTGAGAACTCTGTTTTTGGCCCGAAACAAAATATCAGTTTCCATGTTGCAGGTCTAGATCATCACAAATTATAAATTAGTGGAAAGCCAAAGAAGGAAGTGTGTATAGTTATTCACGCCTCAGTTCATTTCTTTTGCCTGTGTTTGTGGCTACACATTTAGTTCTGTCGTGCATTTTCATAAAACTTCAGGCTCCTCTGGGTCAATAATTTTATTGCCTACTTCTTTCATAATTCCCTTTGAAAATCTAGTGTACTTTGTTCTTGGAAAGTACTCAATTACTTTATCAGGTATATTTAACAATATGTGCCTATATACAACTACATTCCATGTGATCTGTAGTCATTGGGGAATGAGCTACCCATACTTGTAAATATCTCTGATAACTCAACCCTACTTTATTTTTAATATTCTTTGGAATATTGTGACAACTTTAGATGGAGACGTTTCTATCATTCTATACATTTCCTTACCTTTTTATACCTACAGGTTTACCTTTTATATACCATTTTATATACCATGTGTATCTTGATCTATTTGATTGCTCAAGAACAAGAATTTAGTGTTCCAGGATTAGTCTATAGCATAGCTATGCCATCATGAATGCTGACAATGGAGGGTCTTCTGCACAAATATTTCATCCTGCAAGCAATAACTATGAGCTAAAGCTTGAAAAGATGTACTTGATGTACTTGAACAGCTCTTTTTGCATATTTTATGGCTTTTAGTCATTGTGATGGTTATCATATGTCAACTTGACTGAGCCATGGAGCGCTCAGACATTTGGTCAAATATAATTCTGGGTGTGTCTGTAAGGATGTTTCTGGATGAAATTAACATTTGAGTCAGTAGACTGAGTAAAGCAAAATACCATTCCTAATGTGAGTGGACCTCATCCAATCAATTGAAGATCTAAATAGAACAAAAGGCTAAGTAAGAAAGAACTTCTTCTGCCTGACTGCTTGAGCTAGACATGGGTCTTTTCCTCCCTTTAGACTCAAACTGAAAAATCAACTCTTCTTAGGTCTTGAGCCTGCTGGCTTTTGGCCTGGAACTTACACCATCCATTCCACTGGGCCTCCAGCTTGCCACCTGCAAATCTTGGGGCTTCTCAGCCTCCATAATTGCATGAGTCAATTCTATAGTTAGTTAGATGGGTGGATGGATGGACGGATGGATGAATAGAGAGATAGATGATAGATAGATAGATAGATAGACAGACGGATAGATAGACAGATAGATGGATGATACATAGATAGATCCTGTTGGTTCTATTTATTTGAGAACCCTGACTAATATAATCATGTATACCCACTCTAGCCCTCAGTAAGAGGGATCCCTGCCCTAGGCCTCATACTTTAGAGAAACCTACTTACCAAAAACAAAACAAAGTAAATACGCATGTATTAAAGAACACCTGGGCACTGCTGTCCCTCAGGACTCAGCACTCATTACTGCCACCACACAACCAGTAACCCTAAACATCCACTGTCATGGTCAACACTGTTCAGGCCCCAGGGAAAGTCTTTCCACATCTTTCTCCCTGTATTGTCAAAGCAAAAAGCAACTGTGTTTGAATGCCATGGCCATTGTGGGCTGTGCTGCTGACATTGATATTGACAACACTTTAGAATATGGAAAACCTGAGCATTAGAACTGCTTGGCCAAAAGAATAGAGTTATCTTGTCAAATCTTTTCTCTTAGATAGCTTGAATTCAATAGATCTTGCATAACTTTTGTTTCCCAGAAGTGCTGAGCATTCTTATCATGCTTTTGTGTCCCAATTCATGATTTTAGAGGAACTCGATGAATAAGCATGGTATTTACAACAGTTGCAAAAATATTTACCAATTCATATTACTCTTAAATTTATGTATGTATATAAATCTAGGTGTAACATTCATGAAGCATGAGAGTAAATCTTCAGCTTAGCAAGCAGATGGACAGTACTTCTCTGAAAAATAAGATTTAGTTCTTTTTCAAAAATGAAATATAAAATGTTAGCTTCATTTATACAACTTCAACTTAAAAATTTGATATTATTAATTGAAGGTTATACTTTGTCTTTTATTATAATACTTCTAAATATTTTAGAAGAAAAAAACTTTTGAAAGCATACATAAATATAATTTTAACCTGTGTTTTATGTTTACTATGCATTACATTTTTATAAAAACATGTTTGTATAATTTTATTACAATTATAGCTTTTATTTCTTAGATCACTACTGTCAATAGAAAGCCAAATGTGTGAAAATTTTGATCTCCATAATATTTTTTGTTAAAATTAAAGAAAACAAAGTACACATATGCCTTTATTTTATTACTCAAGCAAACATCATCAACCATAAAAATGATGCAGATATGCTCCATAACAATTAAATTCTGTCATCTGTGATTTTCTGCCAACTTTCAGTCATATGAAAAGAATAGCTTTAAACATGTTTGTCAATTTTGCCATTAGGAAGGTACAACTGTCAAGCTAGGAGGATAGACATATTTTAGGTAATAGTTCATTAGTTTGATTTACAACTTTGAAGTATTTGGACCTATGTTATATGGGCCTCCTTATGCACTCTTGCCTTAGACTCCACAAATACAGGCCTACAGCCATGTTCCCAATAATAAAGTAACATTCAAGGGTGAGTTGTAACTATTTACACAAGGCCACACAAATAACATCTTTTTCATTCTTTAAGATCAAGAAGAAACATATTGAACTGAGAGATCATGAAAATATGGGGAAATTCCGTGGATCAGCCGGTGCTTGAAACGTCAAACATATGAACGGGTAAGAAGGAGGCTGCTAGGTATTCATCATGGAGGCTGGCTTCTTTTTGACTCATCAGGCTGCCTCTGTGTGGTATGACACAAGGTTTACCATTGTAAGCCTTCCCACCAGTCTGTCACAGTGACTGTGATTCCCAAGAGTTTTTTTTTTTTTAATTATTGAGTCACAGTAAGCTTGAGGGCTTTCCTCCAAATGCAAATGTCCCATGGCACAATAAAGCATGATCAACCACTACATTCTCTCTTATATCTGTCCACTGGAGTAGACCCTATTGGGTCCTTGGCAATGGGTCTGTATAAAGAAGGAGTATTAGGTGGGGAGCATGGCCCACTAAGCACTCTGCTTGAGGCAGGTTCAGGAAAGTGAGGACTGTGAGTGGTCGGTATCTTGGTGCTTGGGAAAGAAGCACATTGAAAGAGGGACGGGTAACATGATGGGCAAGAGGGCCTGAAGACAAATGCCACCTGCTTGATAATGACTCTTTGGGCTGGCCAACTCCCTTATTCCTAATTACCCTATCTGACTCTCTGGCCCCAGACCTCCTGGTGACGACACCCTCTCCAGAAGGCTGATAGATTCTTAAGAGAGAAAGGGGAGGAGCCAGAAGCCCAATGAGGGGCTCGAGTGTAAAGACTTGGGTCCTGATGACCATGAGTCATCTCCTCAGAGTAGTCACCAGATTCTGGTGCTTCTGTGGCCCCTGTCTCTGAGAGGAAGCAGTCAAAGTCTCCTCCCTCTCAGGGATGGACAGCAGTAAATTGTAGGTGTAGTACTTTCTATTCCAGATATAGACTCAGGAGAGCCCATTAGGCCCAATTCTCAGAGGCAGGGAGGGAGATACAGAGTGTGGCTGGAAGAATGCTGACATGGGAGTGAGATCTGAGTGTCATCAACTGGGTGCATGACCTTGACTGAGTCATCATATTTCTTTGTGCCTCTGTTCCCTCATAAAAAGGTTGAAAACAAATGTTGCCAAAATCCCACCTACTTTTTTCTTTTTTTTTTTTTTTTTTGAGATGAAGTCTCGCTCTGTCACCCAGGTTGGAGTGCAGTGGCACGGTCTCAGCTCACTGCAACCTCCGCCTCCTGGGCTCAAGTAATTCTCCTGCCTCAGCCTCCTGAGTAGCTGGGATTACAGGTGTGTGCCACCACGCCCAGCTAATTTTTGTATTTTTAGTAGAGACAGGGTTTTGCCATGTTGACCAGGCTGGTCTCGAACTCCTGGTCTCAGGTCATCCACCTGCCTTGGCCTCCTAGAGTGCTGTGATTACAGGTGTGAGCCACTGCATCCAGCCACCCATCTGCCTTTAACATGCTGCAGAGGGGAACCGGAAAAAGTGAAATTCCTATGTCCAGTTTTAGCAGTGAAAAGGGCTAGCTCACAAAGAAACACCACCAGGTGCCCCATTCAGCCTGCCTGCTGAGAACTTGCTGGCCAAGAGGATAACAGAGTACAGCATAACCTTGTCAAAGCCATTTCTAGATAACTGAAAGGCAGTCACATTCTTGACAAAATTGTTTCCTTCTCTGTTTATCCGAGTGATTCAGATGTCCCTGCAACAGCTGGGGATACACAAGATGCAACACGTGATAGAAATCTGTACTCCTAAGAGCTGGGAGGAAAAGGGCTGGGACTTCTTTTGGGTTTTTCCTCTGGCAGGAGTCAGCCTTCTCTGGCTAAAATCAACCCCCACTGGAGCTGGGCCCCTGAGTCCTGGAGTCTCGCCAAGGTGGTGGCCTCAGGGACTTGATGTTCTAAACAGATGACCATTTGTTTTTGTCATTACACTTGTGATTCTGAAAAAGACCTTTGGCCTCTTTTATACCTCCATTTTTCCATCTATATAATGAAGATAGCACTATCTATCTGTTCCCTTTACTGATTCACAGAAAAAGCATGAAAATCAATGAGGTAGCATGTGTGAAAGAAACTCTCCCTAGCCAAGAGAATCTTGCTGCTTGGTCTGGTAAGAGACTGCTCCTAATGGTAGACCAAGACACACCGATGAGCTTGCGAAGAAAGAAAAGAATAGCGGGAAGCTTAAAGGAGATAAAAGACAAGTTTTCAACAGGAATACTGAAATGACTCAATAAACTGCCTCCCCTGGTCAGGAATGGCCCTAGCAATAAATGAGAAAGTAAAATTTGTCATTTCCTACCCACTTAAATGCCCTCAATTTGCCTATGTGTGGTCCAGAGCTCTGCATTCCCGACCACTCTTTCCCATACTCATTCTCTGCCCACATTCTGAAGAACTTTTCTAGAAAATGGTCATATTTATACATCAATTTCTGGGTGACTACTGCGAGGTAAATGTAGTTGCTCTTTTAAAATTGATGGCACGCTGTCTTAACTCAAAGTAGTGACCAACACTAGGGATTTCAGATATATGGAGGAGGAATGGGGAAACGTTGCCACCCCAACTCACATAATGTATAGGGTCACCTAGTCCATGCAGTGAAGGATCATCCCTCTCTAAAGACATGTGGTCTGGAGAGAAAGACAGCTACAAAGGTCTGGCAGAACTTTATGCTTTCAAAGCTGTGCAGCTCCCTTCAGTTAATTCTCAGAATAATTGAGGTAGGTAAGCATTATTGTTAACATTCCTCTTCCACAGAGGAAAAACACAGAAACTCATGGATGAAGTAGCATCCCCAAGACATACAGGTTAGTACACAGAGAAACCTGGATGTGAACACAGCCTGCCACCCCAAAGATACTAACCATTGTGCCTAATACCTCTTAGGAGAGAAAGCACTCTAAGAAGCTAGATCCATACCTATGAGGGCCCTTTGATGACTTTTTCTTAGCAAAACAATTCAGGACTTCAGAGCTGTTCTTGAGGCCTAAGCTCTATGATATTACCCTTTGGCTTTGCTTTTACCATCTGGATTTATGAACCAAAGGCAGGGAAGGAAAGTTAATTGCAACTGTAACTTGTCTCACTGGATTCATCTAATCGTTCACCTTTGCTCAATGGGCCTGTCTTCACTGAGGGATCATAACGGGAGATGGAGGGGATGTGGAAGGTGGGAAAAGAGAAATTGCAGGTGCAACTTTGGAACCGCAGGCACTAAGTAAATACCAAGGGCAATTCTTCACCTCCAAAGTCTCAAACAGTTGCATCTCTCAGCAAAGTTAAGGCCTAAAGCACAGAACATTCCCTTCTAGGGGCTTATGCTTGATCACATCTTTATAGTCCTCTGTGGAGCCTTTAAATTTGGCAGTGACCTCCCGGGTTATGTCCCTTGGCCCTCTTCTCATGTATGTGAAGCAGAGATCATGTTTTTAAATCTCATTTGACAGATGAGGAAACTGGAGACCCAGAGTTGTTAAATGTCTCGCCTAAGGTCACACAGTTAGTAACTAGGAAAATTGAGATTAAACACAGATTTCCTAACTGCCAGACATAGATTATTTCCAATCATCCCCCCAGCTTCTTAAAATCCTTATAGTTCCATATTCCACTCCTAATTTTGTATCTAATAGAAAAGACTATATATATATTATCAATACAAAAGATAATATATATTAGCCATACAAAGACTTGTACACAAATACTGTAGTGGCTTTATCACCTAGCCCAAACTTCAAATGCCCCAAATACCCATCAAGAGGTGAATGGATAAACAAATTATGGTATATACATACAATTATTATTCCTCAGCAAGACATATTGCCATATCCAACAACATAGATGTATCTCAGAATAATCATGCTGAGTGAAAGAAGTCAGACAAAAGGAACACATGCTGCACAGTTCCATTTCAGTGAAGCTCTAGATAATGCAAACTAATGTATCATGGCAGAAAGCACATCAGTGATTTCTTGGGATGGGGAAGGGGACTGGAAGGATAGGAGTGAAGGATTAAAGAGACCCAGAAGACTTTCGGGGTGGGATGTGTTCACTACCTTCATTGTGGTGATAGTTTTACAGGTATATGCTCTTGTCAAATTTTATCAAATTGTACACTTTAATTATATACAGTTTATCATATATCAATTATACCTCAATGTAGCTTTTTTTTTTTTTTTTTTTTGAGACGGAGATTCACTCTGTCACCCAGGCTGGAATGCAGTGGCGCGATCTCAGCTCACCAAAACCTCCACCTCACAGGTTCAAGCAATTCTGCCTTAGCCTCCCGAGTAGCTGGGACTACAGGTGCATGCCACCATGCCCGGCTAATTTTTGTATTTTTAGTAGAGACAGGGTTTTGCCATGTCTCGAACTCCTGACCTCTGGTCATCCACCCACCTCGACCTCCCAAAGTGCTGGGATTACAGGCGTGAGCCACCGTGCCCAGTCAATGTAGTTGTTTTTAAAAACCATATAGCTCCTTTTGAGCCATCCTCTACCTAACCCAATCCCCAAAGACGCTCTCCTTCCTCAGGCTTGGGTCTGTAACAAGGTCATTGCTGATGCCATAGTAGAAAGGGACCTGACCAATACTGATTAATCATTATTCTAATCACAATATAGTCCTTTCCTCCTCTTTGTGAATACAAATTTAGGGTGATTGCAGCATCACTCTAGGCAAAGGCTTTCCTTTTTTCCTGCCTGGGGATCACTTAGTAAAACAAACAGAAGCAGTTATTATTATTTTTCCCATTAAATAAGCCTAGTAAACAGTTGGACTAGCCTTTGAGGTTTAAGAGACATTTCAATTGTAGAAGGCTGAAAAGATACAGAGATGGAACAGATAGAGTAAAAGAGGGGACAAAAAAGGTGGGGAAGAAAGAGGAAAAAGAGGAGACCTGAGAGCTAGAAGCAGACTAGCTGGAAGGGCTAAAACAGAGCTGCAAATACTCTTCTTGCAAATCAGGCAAGTTGCTGGTGGGGCTGCTTTTGAGCCACCCCATGGCTCCCAGATCCAGAGTGAATGTCAAGAGCCTGGGGACCTTTCCCATCTCTATCCATGAAAGTAAACTGAACTTCAGCTGAGCCGCTCCACATTCTCCGCCAGCTCAGGGACACATATGCAATCCAAGATCAAGAGACAGGACACAGCCGGGCGCAGTTCCTCATGCCTGTAATCCCAACACTTTGGGAGGCCAAGGCAGGCGGATCACGAGGTCAGAAGTTTGAGACCAGCCTGACTAACATGGTGAAACCCCATCTCTACTAAAAATACAAAAATTAGCCAGGCGTGGTAGCGCATGCCTGTAACACCAGCTACTCAGGAGGCTGAGGGAGGAGAATCACTTGAACCTAGGAGGCAGAGGTTGCAGTGCGCTGAGATCATGCCATTGCACTCCAGCCTGGGCGACAGAGTGAAAATCCATCGAGAGAGAGAGAGAGAGAGAGAGAGAGAGAGAGAGAGGACACTAGAATTGGGTTGTCAATAAGTAGGCATGATGGCAAAGTTGGGGGACAGTTTTCTGCCCCATTGCCTGAGTGAAGACAGAATTAGTTTCAAAGTGATGGGTTTCCTCTAAGGAGAGGCCAAGACTCTGCCCTGGGTTGTCTCCACTCGCAGAGGGGATGCAGCTCTTGTGAGGGTAATCCCTGGCTAGGGGAGTCCCTAGTTCATGTGAGGGGAGTTCCTGGCTATTTTGTTACTGCTGAGCGCTTGCCTGGAAATGCTGCCTGATGAAGAAGGAAACTTCCTGCCTGGCCATGTATATTAGTCAGGGTTCTCCAGAGAGACAGGGACACATATGCAATCCAAGATCAAGAGACAGGACACAGCCGGGCACGGTGTCTGATGCCTGTAATCCCAGCACTTTGGAACCCATAGGAAACCCACAGATACATATGAGGGGATTATGATGGGAATGGCTCGCACAGTTTTGGAGATCAAGAAGTCCACAACATGCCTTCTACAAGCTGGAGAACCAGAAAAGTTCATGGTGTAATTCAGTCGGAGTCCGAAGACCTGAGAATCAGGGGAGCCAGTGTCCAGGGCATGAGAAGATGGATGTCCCTGCCCAAGAAAAGGGAGCGAATGTGCCCTTCCTGCACCCTATTGTTCTATCTGGGCCCTCAACATCCTGGGTGATGCCCACTCATGGGGTGAGGGTGGATCTTCTTTACTGGGTCTACTGACTCAGGTGCTGTCTCTTCCAGAAACACCCTCCTGACACACCCAGATATAATGTTTTCTCAGTTATCTGGGTATGCTGTAACTCAGTCAAGTTCACATGAAGTTAATGTTCACACCAAGACACCTCAAACACCAGGGAGGAGGTTCTGAGGACCTAAGGCAGTGGGGATGCCGGCATTGCCTGTGTTGCGGACACTCAGTGCAATCTCTTAAGAAAACCAAATAAAATCAGTTGGTGGAGTTTATTAAAATGTAGATACCTGCAAAATCTGAATCTCTAAGAGCACTGCCAGATAATCTGCATTTGAACAAGCTCCTCCAGGTAACTCTTACCCATATCAACATTCAGGAATCACTGCTCTCCTGGTTTAGAAAGCTGGGAGCCTGGTATCCCTTTCAAAGACAGTTGAATACTGGACTTTCCTCAGTTTACAGAAAGGAAAGGGAACACCTCCCTATAAAATAACCAAGATCTTTCCTGCCCTGGTTATTTCTCACAAAAGGCTTCTTATGCATACTCAGTTACATATTCCACACAACAGACTTAAAGGGGGAAATCTCTTCTTTCAATTATTTGCCATTCCATGGAAAAGCACGCAGGCAGACAGGAAGGCAGAAGGCCATAGTGAGCTGTTGCTGAGTTGAGCACAGTGCAAGGCCCAGGCCTCTCGTCTGATATAATCCCAATTTGTCCGCATAACAGCCCTAGGAGCTACAGGTCATTACTCCTATTTTATGGTAGAATCTAACACTCTTGCTGGGCATTCCTGACCATGCAGCCTTTGCTCTCCGTGTAGAGTATGCTGCAATCACTAGGACCCCAGAAAATGGAATGTCATTAAGGAAGGTTCGAGGCCAGAGAATTAATCAGGATCTAGAGAGCATAAGCCTGTTCCCTCCACCAGCACTTTCTCCTCAAAAATCATCCCATTTTTCTCAGTTTCATACCTGGCTTGGGTTTCATCGCCCCCACTGGTGATCAGAGGCAAACCTCTGCCCCTCCCTCCAACACTGTTGGCTAAAAGATTTCCCCAAAAGGATATGCTTCTACGCACACACAGCCCAAATGTCTTGGGGTGGGGTAGAGACCCTGGGAAAAAAGAAGGTTACACCTGTACCTGAGTCACTGCAACATGGAACACAGCAGGACAAACATAGCCTGTCAGGTCACGTCTGCCCAGGCTTTGAGGCAGGTGTTTCCAGAATGTGTGTCATGCTGTTTCCAACCAGGTGGGTCCAGACGTCTTGGCTGCATGCCTCACTGAGAGCCCCACCTCCAGCCCCATGGGGGTGCCCTGCCCCTTGCCAAGGAGCAAACTTTCATATCTTACAATATAGTCAAAGGCTTTCATGTTGTAGCAATAACTAGGGCATGGGCCCAAGAACCACAAGAGATGGTCTGTGGTGACGGAAGCTGGGTACAGTTCATCTGGGGAGACGGGAGCCAGGTTAGGAAGCTCCAGCCTGCTAATAGAAAGAGACATGAATGAGAGGCATGGCGTTTCCTTTCTCCTTCTCTCTGCAGTGTCTTCATCTGCAAATTTGGAATCAATTATTGCCTTACTTTGGTTCCCCCAAAAGCAGACTATGAGAAAAGGATTTGGACACAGGTACTATTTTATTTCAGAGGCAATCAGAGGAAACACAAGCGAAGGAGAGAGGAAAATGAGATAAGGAGCACAGAACAGCCAGGAAATAAGCTGGGTACCATGAAGTTCTATCCCTCAATCCCTTTAAGACCCATGTATAATGGACCAGAGAATTGTCCCACCAAAGGATGGAGAAATGGGTATGCATCTACTAACTCCCATCCTGGATTAGTTGAGGATAGTCCCTGAGGACAAATTAAAATCCCTATAATTCTGTGCTGCCTTGTACATGGGCAGAGCAAGCTACCACATAGAAGAAGAAAAAGGCTTCAGGCATGGAAGCTAAGAGAGAAGGGGACTTGAAATGGGAAGCTACTAGTGGGCAGGGGGGTTATGCCTACTATACCTACAGGTTTCCTTGGAGTGGGGCCAGGGAGGTGGTTGATACACCAATATCATAGGCTATACTTATCTTCCCCATGGAGTGTTAAGATTAAATGAGGCAACATAGAAAACCTTGGCACTCTGGCACACAGCACACATGCAAGAAAATGCCTCAATTATTATTAACTTTGAGATTTACATCACACTCCATAAACTCTTCTCGCCAGACCGGCCACACAAATGCCTCTCTCTGCCTAAGTTCAAACCAAAAGCTCCTGGAGACCAGCACCTGCTGAGGCCAACGTGTGAATAAATAGAGAGGTCACTGGGCACAAGGCCCTGTGGAACTACCCAGAGAATGGTCAGCCCAACTCAGCACATACTCTCCACAGAGCCACTGGCTGGCTGAGAATTCACTCTGTCTGCTCTGTGAAGTCATCTTACCCTGGACAGGAGCCTTAACTAAATTCCCTTGTGATCTCTTGGCACTCACATCCTCAAATGTCCACAGCATTCTCAATTTATCTTCTACTGTTCAAGTTCCATGACTAGAACACTCGAGCCAAACAATGCAGAAACCCAGCCAAGCGGATGCCTTCAGGATTCACATGGAACCCGTGGAACTCATGGGCATTAAACACACACTAAGCCTGTGCCTGGATCATAGACAATGACTGTGGCTACACAAATGCCTCTCATTTAGGAAAAATAGAACCTGGAATAAGCATTAGCTGTTGGGGAGCCAATAATCTTACCCTGACATCAATAAAAGTGATTTACCTAAGGTCATTCAGATGGTCCTAATTTTGTTCCTTCTCGCATTTATTCAATAGGCATTAGTTTAGCATCTACTATACACCAGGTGATTTTTAACTATATGCCAGATGCAAATAACACAGCAAGAAACAAGACAAGTCCTCCACTGTGATGGTGCCCACGTTCTCCTGTGGAAAACAGACAGTAAACAGGTAAATAAATAAAGATGGTATTTCAGATAGTGATGTGTGCTATTAAAAAAAATAAAGCAGGCTGAGAAGATAGTAAGTGATAGGATGGAGAATGGAGTTCTCTTTTTAGATAGAGTTGTGAGGAAAAGTTTGCTTAGAATGTGGCCTGTGAACAGGATGAGAAAGAGAGAGCCATGCAAAGATCTGGAGGAAGAGCACAGGAGACAAGTCAACAGCAGGTGTAAAGGCCCTGAGGCAAGAAGGACCTTGAATGCTTGAGAAATGAGACAGGCAGTCTGGCTAGAACCTAGTGGGTGCCGAGCTCTGTGAAGTCAGATGTAGGCAGACTCCACTCAGAAGGAAGACAGAACCTGTGGGTTCAGATGCAGGTAGGTTCACACATTTCATGCTAGACATGTAAAGTGATTCCCATCTATGGCTTTTTTGTCTTGGGGAAATAAGAAGTAAGATCCTCAGCATAAAGGGAGGAACAAAAAAAAATGCTGATGCTTTGAGGGGAGAGGAGGTTCGAAATATCTTGAAGAGAGGGCAAGTAAATTCACAAAGGGAGTGTGACAAGATTGTGGTACTGATAAGGTGTCATCATAAATTTAAAGTCAGCACAGCTCTTAATTTTTACAGCCACATCTAGCTACTTGAGTATGGGCCCAGGGTAAACAGAGACTTGGGATTTTTGACAAGAAAGTTCAATGGAGAACAAGTGGATAATAGGGCTCAAACATCCCTGGATGTGTGCTTGTATCATTAACCATGAATCCGAGCCTGAGGCAGGCAATAGAGTCAGTGAATCCAAGGTCCCACGGGGGGTTGAACTGGAGGTGCTGAAAAAGTAGGGTGCGATGTTCAGAAAGGAGAAGCTTGAAATCAAAAGCGTAGAAAAGGAACAGTTAAAGGTTATGAAGAGGACTAGGTACAATCATGGAAATGTGTGGCACCTACTATAAGCCACGACATGGTAAATAAGGACCAGATCAGAGTGAATGGTACAAGGGGATATTAAAGACCTGCCTGAAATCAAAAGCGTAGAAAAGGAACAGTTATAGGTTATGAAGAGGACTAGGTACAATCATGGAAATGTGTGGCACCTACTATAAGCCACGACATGGTAAATAAGGACCAGATCAGAGTGAATGGTACAAGGGGATATTAAAGACCTGTAAGACACAGTGTCTGCCCACCATGAATATAAAATGCAGTTGACAAGACAGACCCATAAGCAAGTAACAATAGCCAATAATTCCACATTGAACAATGGTGAAATGTTAACTTTATTTAAGGTTGAGTTTAGCCAGCTTTCATAAATGTTCTCTGTGACACATATAACATTATCTCCACTAGTTTATTATCCTTACATTATAAATGAGGACATTGAGACTCAAAAAGAAGCAAAGCCACTTGTCCAAAGCCCAACAGTTAAAGTAAGGCAAAAACCAACACAACTGCTGTGTCTTCTGACTCCTGGCTCGGTTCTCTGTAGACTAAAAAACAGAACTTGACACACGACATCATTAGATCATAATCTCTGAGATCAGATTGCTTGGATTCAAATCCCAGCTTCCCACCTTTGGCCAAATAAACATGAACAAGTGACGTCTTCTCATTGTGCCTCAAATTTCTATAAAAGCAGGATATTGTAGTATCTACCTCAAATGGTGATGTGAGAATTAAATGAAATAAAGCTGGAATAAACCTTGCCTGGTACATAATAAGCACTCAGGTGTTACGATACTAAAGTGAAGATTTATGATGCCTGCTATAAGCACTACTATCCTGCCTTCTCAGATGCTATCAAGAAAATCCAGAAGACAAGCCACCTGCCCTCTCCACCCCTGTTGTCCCTTTGATAGAGGCTTCATGGAAGATTAGGGTCTTGAGCAAGGTGATGATGGTGGACAGAGATTCTCAGACTTATATCCATGGAAAGGTAGAGGGAGGGCTTGTCATATGAAATAATAGCATGAGCAAGGACCTGAAAGGGGGCCTTGGTGGGGGAATGTTCATGATGCAGTGAGGAAATCAGGCATCCCAGAAAAGGTAGGTCCTGGGAGCCCTGGGCCAGGGGAAAACTGAGCAAGTCTGGGGATGGGTTCCCTGTCAAGCTTCTCTGCTCTTTCAGGTGCACCCATGGAAAAATAGAAAATAATGCTGCTTGCCCTCCCTTCTTCTTCTCTTCTGTTGGCCTCTGTGAGCAGGGAGCCATTCCACATAAACATTGAGCCCAAAAGAATCCATCTGAAACTGTCTCCTAATGAACCGAGTCCATCAGAAGTTATGGGAGCATCAAGGCGAAAGGGCTCCTCATCTCATGTTGAATCCAATATCCATTTTAATGCCCTGTGCATTTCCCCTGCCCCCAGCTGGGAGATGAAGAAAAATAGTGTGTGAAATAATGTTGGCTTAAACTTCAATGAGAATAAGAAGATTTTGAATGATAGTGGACACTCTGTTCTTAACTGACCTTATTATGAGCAGCTATTGAAGAATTTTCAGGATAATGAGCTATCTCATCTTCCATATAACAAGCCGTGAGCAGATTGCTCAGATATTATGGTCTCAAAAAAAAAAAAAGAAAAGAAAAGAAAAGAAAAGAAAAGAAAAGGATATCAATGGCTTCCGTAGTAAAAAAAAAAAAAAAAAAAAAATTACACTGTGGTTGGGGCTACTTCTCCAGTCAGGCTCTCTGCCATGAGGGATCCCAGGTCTCACGAAGGCACATCTAAGGTAGTGTTTGCCCCACCAGCCGCACAGCCCCAGTCCTGCTTACCCTGGAGTTGTTGAGCTCCCAACACATTGCCACATAGGCAAAATCTGTCTTCAACACAACTCTCCATCCTCTTTGGTATTTGCTAAACCACCAGCAAGGAACCCCACCCCCCCAAACAACATCTTCCCCAAAACCCAGCCTGAAATGGCCATCCCTGACTTAATATTTATTTATTTTCTCATGGAAAACCATTGATGAGTATCTTATATGTGTTCATCATTGAATATAACAAATATAGTTTCTGCCCCCACAAAGCTAGCATAGAAGATGGATGTTAAATTTACAACCCCATAAAATACGGTAAGTGCTGTGGTCAAGGAACTACAGGAATTAGCAGTACTGAGCAGAAAGGGACCTAAGCTCCCCTGTCGGGGGTCAGGAACAAGTCAGGGAACATCTTTGCTTAAATATCTAGTGCTTGTTGTTGACATTCAGGGCATGCTCATGCCGATGTAGGCCAACCTACATAGACACGCACAGAATTACACACCTTGGTCCTGAAGATCACCGACCCTTTATTTCTGTGCCTCAGGCAGGTCCTTCAGAAGACAACTTGCTGAGCAGCTAAGTGAAGAAGAGGAAGTACCAGGATGGAATCCTCGTTTCAGATCTGCCAGTGACTTGCTATGCAAATGTGGGTAAAATACTCAACAGCCCCTCTGAGTCTCAAATTCTTCCCCCTAAGAGTGAGGGAATTCAACAAAACGGCCTTTATACAACAACATTCTATAAATCCACAATCATTGAGGGCTTGGGAGAGATAGCTAATATCCCTCGCCCCTTCCCCAATTTAGCCCTCTCAAACCTCAAATATTATAAGCTCCTTATAACTAGCCCTCTGTAGACAAAGTTCCCAACTTTATGTCAGAGTTTCTATGGAAATGAGACTTGGGCCCTGCCTTCAAGTTGTCTACACTCAATTGGGAGAAGAGAAGTTAGTTGAGTTACCACTACATGAGACAGTAAATGACAAAAAGCTGTCGAAAGCAGACTACAAATCCATGCTAGTGTGGCACAGAGGCAAGCATGACTCTTCGCTGCCTTCCCTGATACCTCGACACTCTACTGAATAGGTTGACATTCAAGAGAGAGCAAGTACATTTCTCAGGTGGCCAAAGAAACTTTGTCCCCACATGTAAAAGGAAACATACTCCTAGCCTGGGTTTCTCAACCTCAGTACTACTGATACTTTGATATTGTTGTGGGGGTGGCCCTGCACATTGCAGGATGTTTATTTAGCAGCACCCTGACCTCTAACCACTCCCCAGGAGCAGCCCCGACCAACCAAAAATGTCTCCAGACACTGCCAGATGTCCTCTGAGGAACAAAAGCATCTCCAGTTGTTCTAGCCCAATACACGAAGAAAAAAATAGAGGATTATCCAAAAAGATATTAACCATTTTAGATACATGAATAGAAAATCACTTCAAGACAGACGAGTTTTGCTCTTTGAAAAGCCCCTCCTGGTACACTCAAGCTTCCTTGCTCTCCCTTGTGGCAAAAATATTTGAATTATTCAATTATACCCTGAATTTGGAATGGGAATTGAGGGTGTTAGGAAAGTAACGTGTAGAATAAAAGTTTTTTTTGTTGACAAGAAAATAAATTCCTTGCTGTGACTTCCAAAAGTCACCCATTCAGCCTGCATGGTAACTGAAAACAGTGTCAGTCTGGCCAGAAAGGCATCAGTGACCAACCGAATCATTCTAGACCATTACCCCCTATCCACCGGGTGATGCTTGTCAGAGGAGAAATCATTAGGGGACATAGGGATGGTAGGCATGCTAGGAAGCCGCCTTGGACATTTGTCCATTAATAAGCACTTTCACCAATGACCTCGGAAGAGAGTTTTACTAAGTGGTGACAAAGTTTTTACTTTACAAGCCTTAAGAAACTGTTCCCTTGCTACTAGCATTCACTTTGGCTTTCATTCTTTCTTTTCTTGATCTTTTAAATACATTATCTGTGGCAACTGAATTTGCAAATAACACATCTGTAAGTTATAAAGCACAATATAATGAATAGGTGTGAGCCCCCACCCAATTCAAAAATTAGAACATTATGATTAACTTGCACACTCCTGCATGTATCTTTCTTTTCTTTGTCACCTTCTTCTTCTCCAGACATAATCACAGTATTATTTCTACTGCTTTTTAAAAATTTTTACTGCTTTTCAAAAGTTTGTTTTACAACAAATGTATGTAAGCTTAAGCTTGTTGTTCTTGCTCTTGAGAACTACAAAAATGATATGTGTTGTGTTCTGGGGCTGTTTTTATTCAGCATTAGTTTTGCAAAATTTATCCATATTATATTTTATATTCCATTCCATTATATACCAGAGTATATTTACCAATTTTCTTGTTGGACATTCAGGTAGTTTCCTTATTTTTGCAATTATGAGAAGGACAGTAAAAAAAAATTCATGAACACATGCCAGAGTTTTTCTAGAAGTGTCTCTGCTAGGCCATAGGGTGGGCAGATGTTTACCATATGAGATAGTGCCAAATTATTTCCCAAAGTGTGTGCACTGCTAGCAATACATAAGACATTGTATTGACACACATCCTCTCAAACTTGATTTTCTTTGATTTCTTAAAATTTTCCAATTTCTATTAGAAATTCACTCACTTTTAATCCTTCTAAATTTTTCCCCAATTTCTGAACTGTCATTCCTATGAAAGGGATATGGCTCTTCAACCTTTTTTTAAATTTTAAATTAATTCCATTGAACAAGGATTCATAGTGTACCTACCTCATCTTAGTACTATGATTTCTGTTTCAAAAAATGGGAAACATAGTCCCTGCTCCCAGGAGTTAAAGAAAAAACATTATAATGCAAATCAGAGCAACTGGAGAATGACACCAAATACAGATTCTAAGGAAACACTAAGAGAAATCAAGAAGATACAAACCAAAACAACAAGCCAATTTTCACCTACCAAATTAGTACTAATTTTTTTAAAATGACAATGTGGAAAGTGTTAAGACAAATGCATTATCATACATACAACTGGTAGTAGTATTAATTGGTAGAGTCATTCTGTTGGATGACGTGAGAAAATTATTCAAAAGCTTTAAAATGTATGAATACTTCTTAATTATTTTATTCTACTTCTAAGGATTTATACTATAAAAATAATCAAGGAAGTAGACAAAAACTTAATGACAGTGAAATTTTATGTGACAAATGACAGTGAAATTTTGTGTAATATAGCAACTATGGATCAAAGACAAAAATCAAAATTTACCAAATAGCCGACATTGAAGAGATTGAGTAAATAATGTTTATTGTAGCCAAACACTAGAATACTGTGTAGCCAATTAGAGTGACACTGTAGAAGTATATTTATCGAAATGGAAAGATATTCTAGTTATATTATTCAATGAAAAACATCAATTTACAAAGGATTGCAGCTTCAAGTTTGCAAAAAAGAAAAGTGCCAGTGGTACATATGCATCAAAAAAGAGAAAACTTTTAAATAATCATATGCTACAAAGCTTGATATTTTCTAAATTCAAGCATAAATTGGAAAGGGTATAGGTAGAATGAATTAGAATTATTAGGAATGGCCGTATCAAGGAGTAAGACCTTGAGGGATTAGCTTTTTGAGAGTGAGAAAATAAATAAAATGAGTATGCAACTGATGGAATCCCACCTTCCCATCAATTTCAGCATCAAAGGGAGAGCAGGGATCTAAACTAGAAAATGGTCATCCATCTGTTCAGCAGCCTGCAGGAGACCTGGCCAGGCACATGTTCCCTGGCTGGAAGGCTGTGCAGACTCCAAGGACCTGTTCTACTGCACCACTGGAATGCTAGCACTAAGTTAGTTGGTCAACAACCAGCCTGGGTCATTTAACACATGGGCAGCCTGTTCAACTGAATTACCCAAATCACCCCTTCACATATGATAGCCAAAAATACCGTTAGTTACCATTTACCTTGAATGTATTCATGTTCCATAAAGGAAGCTTGTTGTGGATTAATATTATCCAGACATGGCTATAAATAAAGTGCCTTTTGTCCCTACTGACATAAATATCATAATGCAAATGCATCATAATTTCATAACCAAAACTTGTCTTCAGTATACTGTCTCATAGAAAACGAAACTCAGCTTGATAATCTGCTGGGGAAGGGGGTAGGAGGTAGGGGAATCCAAGAGGAGGGAAGATGACTATTCAATTGATAGTCTCAAACTTCCTTCAGAAACCAAATAATCAATAAGATTTTAAGGCAAAAAAAACATGGAGAAGGGATATTACACATTTACTCAAACATTATATCTCAATGAAATGGGTATTTTCAAAAAAACTATTCAGCCTTTACACTTAGGAAACTCTAATCAATATAGGTATTTTAATGTCTTGATTTCCAGAAAAAAAATAAAAATAAAAATAAACCTCCTCGAAGAATACAGACTCTTGAGACTCTGCCCTTTAAAAGAAATAAGGCCCGGGCATGGTGGTTCACTTCTGTAATCCCAACATTTTGGGGAGGCCAAGGCAAGAGGATCACCTGAGGCCAGGAGTTCAAGACCATCCTGGACAACATAGTGAGATTTTGTCTCTACAAATTTTTTTTAAAATCATCCTGATGTGGTAGTGTGTGTCTGTAGTCCCAGGTACTTAGGAGGCTGAGGTGAGAGGATTGATTGATCCCATGAGTTTGAGGTTGCAGTAAGCTACGATCACACCACTGCACCTCAGCCTGAGCAACAGAGCAAGATCTGTTTCAAAAAAAAAAAAGAAAGTAGACGATAAATAGATAAGTAAATAGATGATAGACAGATAAATATATGCCTCTGCTAGAATTTTCTTCGGCAAAGTTATACCGACTTCTAATGCAGACCCAATGGAGTTGCCACCCCTTCACACTGACCAGTCAGTGAGGCCAGATTCCCATTTTCAGTGATCATAGCATCCAAATGACCAAGGAAAGATCATATATACTTGATAGATTTTAAAAGTATTATGTGGACATTGATTCCAACATTTATCCAGTGGAGAACAAATGTGATCAACATCATTAATCAGAAAAATGTTATCTTCATATTGCTCTACATGACAGGTAACTGTTCGACACCATTTGGGAGTGGGGTTCCCTGGCATGGCAGGAAAATCTCTGCAGCCACTGCAGATACAGAGAGGCCGTTGTTTTCCCAGGTTTTGGTTTCTAATAGGTTCTATTCTGTGAAGAAAAGTGACTGGTTTCACATATCTATGAGCAACATTAAAATTCACCATTGTAGTCTCACTTAATAAAAACATGGACACTGCAAGAGTCTCTACAAACACACCAGACTTGAAATTAAAGGGTGAGTTTATTGTTGTTATGGAAAACATGGATCTCTTTGCATTAGGACTTGGTGAACAATAAATAAATTTCCAGGAGAGGTCTCCTAAGCTGATATGCATTCAAGGTATTATCTTTGCTCTGACTGTATGTGCTTCTGGGTGAAAAAATTCTAATTGCACTCCCATTCAAAAATCAACCGTGGGAATAAGGAATCATGCTCATTTTATGCACAGCTGCCCGAAGGCCTTATCCTTAAAACAAATTACAGCACCTCCTATGCGATACGCACTCTGAAGCTAATTCTAACCCTACAGCAAAACTCCAAAATTAAACTTTAATCTGTGACCTAAACAATTTGGTGTTTGTGATCAATCTTGGTATTTTTATAAAATGCCAAGGTAATTGTTAGAGCAGAGGAAGACTGGGTTGCCCAATAGCACATCAGGGTAAAACCAAATGAGGCTCCTGGGGCAGGAGCTGGGTAGGAACAGACTTTTGGGCTGCACCTGTAGGGAAGTTAGGCCTCTGTCAGAGTCAAGGATGAGGAGAGAAGGGGAAGGGAGGGAGAAAAAGGGTAGGGAGGCAGAAAGATAAGAAGATGGTGGGACGCAGTGGGGAGGGGTGGAGGAGGAGAGGAGGGAGGAGAGGGGGAAGGAGGGAGAAAGAAAGAAAAAAGGAAAGAGAAAGACAAGAGGGAGGGAAGGAAGGGAGGGAGGGAGGGAGGGAGGGAGGGAGGGAGGGAGGGAAAGAAAACCTCCTATCACATATTCTATTTGCTTCCCCCTGTCAAAGACCCAGGCAGTCTGCCCCTCCATTAAAGCAATCGCTTTGGCCCTATTAGAAATAAATTTGGTCTCTCGAAACTGTATACTCAGAAGCCAGTAGGGTGAAAGCAAATTTGACATGATATCTCCAAAAGCAAAGGGGGCCAGGGGATGACAGGTTCCAGAGCAGGGAGAACACCACCTGAGAAACATGCCCCACAGAAGAGAGTTCAAAGAGTTTCCAGAGAAGGTCTGCCTTTTCCCAACTGGCTGCAGAGCCTCTGCGTCCTGCAGCAACCTGCTCAGCCGCTCTGGTAAGTCAGACAGAATTCATGGGAGATTACCACACAGCTCCTGCCAAGCTGTGCTGCAGCGCGGGTAATAGATATGCTCCAGTACTAAATCCTAAAAGGCCCTGATACATCTGTCAAGCATGCCCTGGAAAAGCACCCTCAGTTCAGATGTTATCACTGCTCTGCCTGCATCAGAAGATTTAGTGTCCACCCTGGAGGTTGCTTTTGCTGCACAGTTTTCAGGGGCAAAACAACAAGAGAGAAAGATGAGAGAAAAAAGGCAAATTATTCTTGCTTAAAGCAAAAGAAATAAAGTGATGTGCTTGCAGACTAGTTCAGCTTCTCGCCCTGCATCCAGAAGGTCCCAAATCCCACATTAAGGAGGTACTGATGTTCTAAGCTGATTAGCTAGGACGGTTAGAGTCCCTGGACTGTGACATCATGCAGATGATCTTCTATAGAGTGACTCTTTCCCAAGGAAAGCTAAACAACAAACCCAGCAGGGATCCATAGGCAAGAGATAGAAGATGCAAGCTTTTGATAATTAACTTTAAAACAGGTTCGAGAAAAGGCTGTTCTGATATAAAATGAACTTTTCAGAGCATTTGCTTAGGAAAAGAAAAAAAAATAAACCCCTCCAAACAGTTGTACTTCCCACTAACCATGTTTCCAGATGCAGCTTCTGTTTGTTCAAAATGTATTTTAAGCACTACTTTGGACATTTTGTTCATTATGAGCAAAGAAGAGTGTTACAGTTATATGTATTTTTAAAGTGTAGAGAAAAAAAAAAAATATATATATATATATACTCTCAGTGTTTTAAGCACAGGAACTCTGCATATTAACTGCCTGTTTTCTCACCAGAGCCTGTAATGAATCCAAGAGAAAGGCAGGGGAGTCTTAACCTGACCTACCATCTCAGTTTTCTGGAAACTGCTCACTCTCTTAGCCCAGGATAAGTGCCCAGGGTATAGCTGGAGTGTCTGCGGGTCTTGGAGAGGTATAGATGGCAGGGGCATCTAGTGACATTGCAATTGCAGACCCTTGTAGTGTCTGCCCATTCATGGAGCTGAACAAACAATCCGATGGCTGAACTGACCTATAACAGGACACTGGGCAGATGTTTAGACACTGAATCAAGAAACAGAAGCCAAAGACCCATGTCTATGAGCATCACAATTACCTAAAAATATTAAAAACTTCTTGAAGAAAATTAGATCATTTTCCTAATAACACCACATGTTGTCTTCATGTGAACCATGTGCCCACTCCTGAAAACAAACTTAGGGAGAGAACCGAGGATTGTCCATGGGATTAGAGCTTCCTAGTCTCGGTGATCTTCTCATTCAAAAACCAAAAGGATCTTCTTTTCAGAGTGCCTCCTCAAAGCTAATGATACTAAATTCATTACATGAATTGTCTTATTTAATCCTATCAACAGCCCTGACAGACAGGTAATATTATTATCTCTATTCTTCAGAGGAGAAAACAGAGGATCAGAGAGGTTAAGTAATTTGCCCAAGGTCACACAGCTTATCATTATTCTGTTATTTGTAGTAGGCCACCCAGTTCTAGGCATAGATTAAGCCCTCAATCAGAGCTTCTTAATTGTTTGATTGGATCAATATTTATTTCCATACTAGATGCTTGGAGTGCTTGCTGAAAACCAAGAAGCATATTTTGTCAAGAAGTTGGTTTGGTTGCACAGGAGCTGAAGATGTTCAGGCCCCTGGAAGCCCCACCACTCCCCGGAAAAACAGTAGAGGCAGCGATTGAAGAAAGTAACAGATGCTTCCAATCAATGGTAAGGCATTGCCTCCTCCTAGCCTTCTTCACCCACACCTTGCGAAACTGTCACAGGCTGGGAGGAGTCAGCGCCTCATCCCAGAGCTCAGCTCCAGGCATCCTTGTCAGAGAGCACTGGTTTGAGGTGTTTATGATCAGAGTCCAATTAGCCCAAGGGGAAATTAAACAATTGGCTGGCAGCTCACTGATTAGCAATTATTTTCCCAGAAAGTTGGTAGAAGCGGTGGTGTCTGCTGAGCCCCAAATCCCCATGGCCTCTTAGCATCTTTGTGTAAAAACGCTCCCATCCCTCTGTTTCCCCAAACAAGCTGCAGCTTCTTTGATAAACATTCTGGCCTTAGATTTTCATTCTCATTCAAATACCCCTTGGTATTTGATTTCTCCCTGATTCATATATGGTATAGCCTATACGATGGTCACTTAATTATCACTCAGCCCTTTCTTCAAACCCACCATCCAGAAGAGGTAAGTTGGTGGTCTTGTCCTAGGGTGGAAGATGCATTTGTATCAGCAGCTCTACACTCTTATCTTGTGTGATTCCAGACCCACACAGCTAAGCCGCCGCAGGAGTTACAGAATCCAGTTCCCCCCGCCCCCCAGATACAACTATCTGGTCCACATGAGATGGAACCCAGGAGCATACTGTGGTCATTAGATCATGACTCTGGAATTTACAAATCTAGTGTGAATTCCACCTCTGCCACTTACCATTTAGACAAGTTAATTAATTCATTCTGGATCTCAATGTCCTCATCTGTAAAATGAAATAAAAGTACCTATCTTGTAAGATTGTAATGAGGATTAAGTTGAATAAATACATGGAAATCACTTAGCGCACAAATGTCTAGCACAGAATAAGAGCTTAATGAATGGCACCTGCTCTTGTTGCTGGTATTTTATTACAATTTATTATCACAGGCTCTTTAGCACTACTTTCTAACCTGCTAACCTAGCTAAAGATTGTGGGGTTTTGGGGGGATTTTTTGTTTTGTTTTGTTTTTTGTCAACTGGATGACTTTAAAGAGAACTTTCAGAACTACTTTAAGAACATAATCTGATTAATAGGCAACTAAAACTGACAGTCTTCCTGACCTCATAATTAGGTCTCTCTTTACATATCCTTAGAACATTTGGGGTCTACCTCTTAGGCCACCTTGTATTGCTATTTAACTTTTTCATGTATGGTTTTCTAATGAGACAACCTCTTTGAATGCAAAGATACTACTTTATACTTGTGGCTCTCTTCCTCAATGTCTAGCACAGGGTCAGGCACTGGAGGTCACTCACTGTATCAGAAAGACAGGAAAATAAATGAAGACCTCAAATGGCTAATTTAATTGGGCCTCATGACCAGTTTCTCTAAACGTAGGAATTCTCTACATGTGAGGAAATGAGGTGATAACTCTGTGGTGTGGCACACTGTCTTATTGACTTGCTTTATGTCCCTGAAGCTAGAACAGGCCTTGACTGTAGGGAGTAGCATCTTACAAGGCACCAACACCAGCACTCAGCACAGATCTGGGCACACAAGCATTCCAATATATTCATGATTCACAGATGGAGTGATTTTACATCTGCAAGAGATTTGAGACTCTCGGGACTCAAAAGATGATTCTTTCCTCTCCCCCACATCTCCACCTGGGGTAGGGAAGGCATGCTGTGAAGGTATCACGAGCTTTTCTTTGGACTTCTGGCCCTCCTGTCTGCAGCCACAATCAGGGAAAGAACTAGAAGTCTGATTTTACTTCAAGATTTCCGGCCTCTAATATTAAAGTCAAAATCATGTTGGTGTTTTTTAAAAAGCAGGAAGTGCCACCATTGTTTCCCTGCAATGTTTCCAAGGCAGTGGGATTTTTTTAGTTGTTTTCCAAAAGCAAAGCTCGATGGTGACAGTCCATCATTCTCTATTCACAAACAGAGCGGAGTCTTATACTGAAGAAAGAAAAGTGCATACATCAGTGGGAAAATGCTACTAATGTATTATTTCCTTGAAAATAAACCAATTCTTGAATGATTCCCAATAAAGAGATTGAGTCTCATTTGTGTTTTTAAGTCTATTATGCATTTAGGTCCATCCAACTGAATTTAAAAAAATGATATGACGTGGGTTTGAAATACGGAATCCCTGCATCCAGCCCGACTTACCCTGCATTCTCTTGCCTGGACAATAGCTTCAAACTCACACGGAGCAAGAAGCAATTGCCAGCAGTTGGGGGCTTCCTCTCCAGCCCCTTAGACCCCAAATTGACTCTTCCAGCTTTTAAAAGCAAACAGCAATTGCCAGAAAGTGACTTATTTCATAAAAGAGACTGAAACACAATGCCCTGATTGGGTTCCTCTTTCTTATAGAATGAGAGCACATTCACACTCCAGCAAAGCCATCGGCCCCATTTCAAGAACTTCAATTTGACTCACAGAGCAAAAGTGGACTGTGGGGAGCGCACTTAAGACCCATGGTTCAACATCAAAGGGGGAAATGTTCAAATATGTTAGACACTCTGCGCAAAGGGGTATTATGTGTCTCCACAGATAGACTTGGGCATACAGGTGGAAAACATTTTTCCCCATTTGTCATGTTCCAAGCGTCTCTGCTTTAAAGGAAAGCATGAAAATGGGGAGTTAAAAACAACGCCTGCCCCTTTCCTCAATGATTTCTGCATGTTTGCTACATTTGATGCAGACGTGTGTCCTACAATGGTTGAAAAAGGACTTTGATTCTGACCTTCTCCTGTCAAAAACAGCTACTGTCAAGAATAATCTAAAACAGCTTCATAAGGGACGCTTTAACTGATTAATCTCTGAAGGTCACACCGTCTGTTTAGACTCTAACATTGGTGCCACTTGCAGAATAGCTAAACTTGGGAGGGCCCAGCCAGCTCACTATGGGAAGCTCAGCTCCCAGGGGTAGTTACAGATAATTAGCACAGTTAAAAGTTCAGCCACTTCAGGTAGTTTTTACAATCCCATTTCTTCGAGCACAGGGGCCATGTCTCATCACAGTTCTCATCATCATCAAGAAAACACATTTATCCTCTATCAACTTGTGAGCTGACCTACAAGGGGAGATAAATGCACCCACCATTGCCTCCAGAGGCGGCGTCTCAGACAATGAGGCAGAGGGGGCCTTTAAGGACAAACCCAGGAACACTGAATGCAGACCTGGAGATGAGATGGAGACTGTGTTTAAATAGAGTGGTCTTAAGTGGAGCTTAACCAAAGGGACCGAAATTGTTATTATTTTTTAATTCATCTGTGTGCAATTATGTCCCACTCTGCTGAATAAGGTTGTGTCCGACGTCATATCATGAGTAGAAAATAGTGACCCAATTCCACAAACAGCCAGAGAGTGCTTGGTGTGCCAAACACTGTGTTAGAAATTGTGGAGGCTACCGAAGCAGAAGAAGAGGGCCTTCTCTTTCAAGGTGAAAGCAATGATTTCTGAGGCATGGCACATGTGTCTTCTCTGGGCAACAAGACTTGGAAGAGCCACTCAAGGAACTAGGCAGGGAGACATCAGCAGGCAGAATGGGAGCCGCACATTTCTGATTCCTCCCCTGCCCCGTAAAATCTATTTGTTTTTTAAAATTGCAATTGACGTGTTCTCCACCAACATCTCTGGCTTTCATTTTCTTTCTTTCTTCCTTTAGAAACGTGAGAAGCTGGTGGAATTGGAAAAGTTTCCAGGACAGAAGAGATGACGGGGACTTGCTGAATACAGAGGCACTTCTTCACCAACGTTTGCATTAAGCAAACATAGCCAGGCTGGCAGGCTCAGCCTCTCCACCCCCGTGCCACATACCAGCACAACCAGAAATGGCTGAGGATGAAAGATCAAGACTTAAATCGGAGCTATGCTATGGGATATGGAAAATAAAGTGATAGAACCATCTTGCCACTGCCTGTCTCACTTAGAGATGATAAGGAAACATTATCACATTATTTTAAGGTAAAGCCAGCATTTCCAGAGCTGATTGAGGCAAGAATTAGACAGTGTTTAGGGGATTATGAAAAACAGCTTCTACTACAGGTCAACAGCTAATCAGAATTCTCAGGAGATTTTCCAAAGATTTTTTTTTTTTTCCTCCTTATGAATAATTTCACCAAAGGCACAAAAATGGGCACATTATTTAGAGAGAGCCTTTTGATGTATTTTCTCTGAATAAGCATGGGTATTCGAGGATTTCTGCTAGTTCAGAGCAACAGGGACCAACTTATTAAATGTTCCTGCTGCAATGCCTGCAAGCTAGCTGAGATTAATATCAGCATAACCTGTTACTTAATTCATTATGGGGATACAGGCTAATTTGATTTGATATTATTTTAATAAAGTTCTGTGATATATAAGATTGTTTCAGGCTATCAAAATAATTTTCCAGTTATTACAGTTATTCAAGCAAGTCCTTTGATAGCAGCAGTTGGTCCTCGTCTGTTGTGAATACATTAGCGCTGATGATTCATAGCAGCTGAGAAATGTTAAGCCTGTGAAGCATTGTGTTGATGCTCAAATTTATTCTGCAGGCCATTAAAAAAAAAAGAAAAAATATTTTGTATGCATCAAGCTTACACGTGTCATTAACACAGTTCATTTTTTAAAACCAGTCTTTCATAGAAGACAGGGTTTTTGCAAAGAAAAAAATCTGCTGCTCGCTTTGAAATTCATTGATGCTGTTTTACATGTTTTTTATATACAGTTTGCATCAGCCTGTATATTAAGTGAATCAAATAGTTCTAAAAATGATGCATTCTCTCATTGCAGGGGGTATTGTAAGCCATTACAATATAAACTGTTCCAGTCCACAACCCTATATGTTCATTTGGCTGTCATGCAGACAAAAGCTTTTAATGTTGTTAATGTGCTCTGTTTAAAAATCCCATTTCTGCTTTTATGCCATTTGCAGATATTTCATTTGGTCTTTACCCTTCTTTCAAAAGGGAGGAGGAAAGAAAACAAAAATGCCTCTACCAGCAGTACAAAAAGAAGCACCCTGTTAGAGACTGTCCCTGTCCTTCCCTCTTCACACCCCATTCTTCCTTCTCTACTCCCCCTCCCTCCGCTTCCTCTCTGTCGCTGCTCAAGTGGGTTGTCATGTCTGTCGGTCCATTCCAGGGAGGATGGTAGGAATAAAAAATGCATGCTATCATTTGGCAGATGTTCAAAAGCTTGAGCTAAAAAATATTAACAGACCTCCACTGTCACCTCCTCCCTTCAGACTCCGAGCGCTGCTTCTCTGAATCCCCGCAGCAAACTTCCTACGCCTGGGGTGGGTGCCCTGCTGTCAGTTCATAATCCACACTGTGGCCAGAGTGGTCCTCTTCCCAAAATAGAAAAAGAACCATCTCGCTCCGACAATTAGAATCCCCTCATTGACTGCCCACTGCCTGCATGAAGAGGTTCAAGTTCTCAGTCTGGCATGCAAAGCCCTTCAATACCTGGCCCCCACCTGAAGCAACAACTTCATCTCTGCCCACTCTTTCTTCACACTCTCACTTCGGGCTTTTTCTCTAAACTGCCCATGTGCTGTCCGAGCCCAGGCATCACACATCACAGCTGCATCTATACTTTCTGCCCTTTCTTATGCGCCCAACCCTCATGCAGCCTTAAGGACAGCACAGGTGCCCGCTTCTCAGTTACCACACTTATGTGATGCTGTAACTGTTGCTTTCTTTTCTAATTCTCACACTGGACTGAGAGCTCCTAGAGGGCAGGCCCTGGGACTTTCTTTTATCATTATGTCTGCAGCAGGGCAAGAGGTCTCCAAATGCCTTGATGGATGTTTGTTGAAAGAATGCATTGGTCTTCTGCCCAGCGTGCAGGAATCCACTTCCAGAAGGGCCTTTATATTGTAAAGGTGCTATTCTAATAAACTTGAGTTACCATATATTTCCCAAGATAAATACCCTCTATTTATTTTAATTCCACTTACAAACCCCTCTTGAGCTAGGACATCACATTCCCATCTTAGGCAATAAGAAACATTATCTCACTGATAGCATGGAATAACAAAGTTGTTCCAAGTATGAAAATGCCAAGGCCTTGGGGACCATAACATATAATCAGGGACGAAAGTGAGGCAGCATGCTATGGCAGAACAAGTATAGCCCAGGAGTCAGGAGCAGAGGGGCCAGCCCAAGGCACTGAAGGCACATGCGAAGCCTTGGCTCTGGCAGAAAATGTTGCCCCCTTCTCCCAGCAGACACCGTCCCATGTCAAGGCACACAGCGTGGCAGGCAGAGTGTAGCCTGCATTTCAGTTCTTCCTCATTCTCCTGGTCAGGCAACTTTGTGTGTTACACAGACTGATGCTCCATACACAGCCCTGCTGCCAACCCCTGCTCACAGCGGAGGAGTCCCTACACCCCTGTGTGTGAGGTTGCCTCTTGTCCCGCTGGAAAGGGCTACAGAAGACTCTCTACCTCCTTCCAGTAGAACTGTTAAAGGGATCAGTGAAAACAAATATGAAAATATTTTGAGAATGACTGTAACAACTATGGAAAAATCATTTTGGGAACTATACCTTGGGGTACTATGGGAGGAAATGTGCTCTTTCTCTTCCTGTGGAAACAAGACTTCCTGTCTTGAGCTCAGTTTCCTCATCAGAAAACAAATCCCATGGACCTTCTGGAGTGGAGAGAAGCACCATTCCTGGCACCCAATGGGCCGCATGCTGTAAGCCCTGATTATAGACTTACTGCTGTGTGATTTTTCCATATGGTTTTCCCAAACAAGAATCCTGAACATCCGATCCCCGCTCTCCCCGCGTGCGCGCTGAACAGCAGGGGTATGAGAAGTTGGCTTTAATGGTATTTAATCTGAGATTCCCGATAGTCCTCTAAATCTGCCTCGCCAGCCGGCACCCAAGCACAAAATGCATGGCCTCAATTAACACCAGAACCTTCCACCCCTCCTCCAGTAGGCCTCCTGTTCAGCCTCACCAAACGTACATGCACACACACACACACACATACACACACACGAGTCTGCAGTGGGGGAAATGACCTGAACCTTACTGAAGGCTTGGAGGTGGTGGGAATCTTCCCTAATCCCTGTGTTTCGAAAGGCAGGGTGGGTGGGTAGATGTTGTGAGGCTTTAGGGGAAAAGGGGGAAGACAACCATGGGAAAAAGGTAGAATTCCAGGGCACTGGTAGAGAGAATATTCAAGAATAATTCTATCTCAGGCAAAGGGGGGAAAAATAACTCTGTGAAAACCTTGCAATTTCAAAGTAGTGAAAAAGCAAATGTCACACAGGGGACAAACAACAGCCTCTAGGATCCTCTTCCAAGCAGAGGCCACCTGAATTCCTCCTCAGTGTTATTGAGCGTTGGCAATGGGGCATGTCTGCCCATTCAAGGACATTTTATAGTTGTGCCCCTTGCATTTGACAGATACATTGCAAGCTCCTGAGAGTGGAGAGAGGTGTCCCTGGCCCTCTTCAGCACTCTGAGGACGGCAAGTTGGAGGTCGAGGTTTCTCTGGAGGGGGAGGGCTGAGATTGAGCAAATAAGTGACTATGGTGCCTCTCCCAACTGTAGACCACTGGCAGTGGGACACTAAATGAAGGAAGCAGGCTTGCTAAGTGGAAAAAAGGGCAGTCATGGTGAGGGAGACCATGCCTGGAGACCAGTGCTACCTGGGACCATGCCTGGGAATGAGGTTTACCTAAAGCCCATCACCCTTCAGTACTATTTCTAGCAACCTTGATCAAAGTAGATAGAACAGGACAGAAAAGCCGAGCCAGCCTTGAGTTGGGACCACTTTCTCTAAACTGGCTGGGCATCTTCTCCTGGTATGTATGCACCTGGTGAGAGATCATGGAACAGGAAACATATGTGCTTGAGGATCGGAAAAATTAATTTACACAGGCCTCAGTTTTTTGTCTTTAATATGGGTAGAATTCTATCTTTGCAGAGTTATGATGCGACAAATGAGAAAATAAAAATATATATACGTGGCAAAGTATCTGGGGACATATGGATGTCCAATAAATGTTTTCCTTCCTTCCTTCCTTCCTTCCTTCCTTCCTTCCTTCCTTCTAACGACAAATGACTTCAGCCACTTCTTTCTCCAAGAGCATAAAAGTGCTCTTTATCTTCCACTGGACACAAGGCCCAGTTGCCCCCAAATAATCACATATGGGTCAGTTCTTACAGGATACAGCTTCTGTTGCCTTTAATGGAAAGGCAGAAGCGATGAGGTATGTTCGTATTCTTTTCATAAAGCCGCACACCATGGTTCTGGGAGAGCCCTAGTGCACTGACTCTAAAACTTAAAAGGAAGAGAGAAAATGGCAAGGTCAAATGAATGTCACAATGGTGCCCATGCACACTCAAGACAGGTTCCTGCCATTGGGCAGGGTGGGAGCCCCAGAGAAAGCTGCAGGACTGGAAAGTAAAGTGGCAAAGCTCTGGGACCCAGCTGCACACAGAAATGTTGTGGGAACATGCTGGCCTCCCCCATCTCACCTCCCCATCCCCAGCTCTGCCCCCTCTGCACCGCTGCCGCATGGATCTTCGGGAGGCACAACTCCTCCTGGCTCTCCTTCCTGTGATCCCTGTTGCCCACCAAAGAAAATAGACGTTCTCTGGCATCTGAGGGCCTCTGCAACACCATCATGAAGATCTGTCAGGCCTCTCCTCTGCGAACCTCATGCTACAGTCAAGTGTTATCTCTTACATCTACATCAACTGGAAATACCCTCTGCCAACTCTCAAGGCCTGTTCCAATTGTCACCTCCTGCAGGATGCTTTCTCCCCAGACCAGCAGCTGTGCCCAAATCGGATGAGAGGCCTGAGTGCTTAGTATTCTCATAGGAGAGGGTCTCTCATGGCACACAACAGACTTTTTAGGATAGTAATTTGTGCTCTTGCTCTCTTCTAGCACAAACAAGCATATGCACACACACGTACACATACACAAGTACATGCATAGGTACATGGATACATGCACACACACACACACACACACACACACACACACACACACAAGAGATTTACCCTTCCAGGGCAGGGACTGCCTCTTCCCTCACACACATGAGAGACTCAAATAAATACTTGCTGAGGTAAATGCTCAAATGCAAAACTACACCCAGAAGAACAGTTAGTCCATGCCTATCAGTGTATGGCAGGTAGAATACTAACAAATGCAGGAGTTCTAAAGAAGGACATACTCCACACCAGTGACTATAATTTAGTCACAATAACGGCTACTAACCATCAAGAGAGCGCTTGTTCAGAGTACTTGACAAGCACAGTCCAAAACACTTTCTAAGTATTAACTTGTTGAGTCCTCACAACAACCAAATAAGGTCACTATTTTTATGGGCACCATTTTACAGACAGGGAAAACAAGCCATAGAAAGCTTAATAACTGGCTCAAAGTCACATAGGAAAGATTACAGAGGGCACTCTGGTTAAGAATATTCCTCCTCTATGCAGCCACGAAAAAGAATGAGTTCATGTCCTTTGCAGGGACATGGATGAAGCTGGAAGCCATCATTCTCAGCAAACTAACACAGGAACAGAAAACCAAACACCGCATGTTCTCACTCATAAGTGGGAGTTGAACAATGGGAACACATGGACACAGGGAGGGGAACATCACACACCAGGGCCAATTCGTGGGGCCGGGGGCAAGGGGAGGGAGAGCATTAAGCCAAATACCTAATGTATGTGGGGCTTAAAACCTAGATGACGGATTGATGGGTGCAGCAAACCACCATGGCACATGTATACCTATGTAACAAAACTGCATGTTCTGCACATGTATCCCAGAACTTAAAGTAAAATTAAAAAAAAAAAAAAGAATATTCCCCCAGAAGTTAAAGCAAAATTAAACAAAAGAAAAAAAATAGAATATTCCCCCCCTAAATAAACCGCATCAGTACCTTGCAGACTCGCAGGAGGAGGAAAACATCACTGAAGGAAAGCCTGGGACAGTCCACACCCACTGCAGGGCAGATGAATAGTGGAATCAGGTTTTTCTGTTTAAACTTATTTTGTAGAAATGAGGCAGAATCTCCCCTGGCCTAGGTCACTGCCTGCCCTGACTTTTCCCTTTGAAGATAATAGATCTGGTCAATTTAAAAGGGCCAGAGGTGAGGTGAGAAACCAATAAACCCCTTAAAGTTTGGCTGCCTAACTAATCAGTGAATTATGTGCTCATCAATGAATCATAGAAATGAGAGATAGCGGAGGCCCCCCTGGGTCACATGCCCATCCCCCCAATGTGGGGGATTTTCTCTGCAGCATTTTCTCTGAGTGCTTCTCCAGTCTAATTAGAAATGACCAAGCAATGGGGTTCCCACCATTGCCTCTTGGGGAACTATTCTGCTGTCTAAGAGACCTAATTATTAGGAAATTGATCATTATATTCATACTAAATTCTTCTCCACACAGTTGTATCACATCACTTCTTAATTGTTCTCCTTTTGACCCTGCCTCCTCCTCCCCCAAACAATTCCTCTTAAGCACTTCAATTACTTTTTCCCTCCGCTGATTCCCAGCCGGCCCACCAGGGAATGAAGTCGAGAGGAAAAGGAGAAATGAGCGATGGAGGAGGAAGGAACAGAGGCCTGGCAGCCTGGGAGGGTCGTTCAGTCTACAGGAAGGCCCTTCATGTTGCTCACAGACTTCCTCCTACATGCCACAACCCAGAGCAGGCAGCAGACCACTGCACACCAGAGTCCCTTCCCATCATGGTGCCCAGCAGAGCACAGGCAAGGCCCAGCCTCTGGAGCTTCCCTGGGCACACCCCACTACCACCACCACTGCTGTAGCAGGAGGGTCCCAGACAGGCCAGGGAAAGTCAAGCAAAGCAGATGTATGGGAAGTGGGAGGGGGAATGCCATCACCAGCATTATACCCTTTGGCATAAGAATGTTGGCCTGGAATCAACAAGTCCTGCAATTCCAATTAGGCAAAAGCGAAGGAAAAGTCAAGAAAAACAGAATCAAGCTCACAGTGACCCTGGCACAGGTTTGGTCAGCCCCACCGTGAACGAATCACTATCACAGAGGCATGTCCCCAATCAGTGATCCTTTCTCATGGCATGTCTGGGCATTATGACACCAAAGCCTCTCAGAATGTCCTCCCTAAGACCCTGGCTGGGAGGGAAGCTAGGAGCAGCACCCCTATACAGAGTTTTGTGGGTTTTACCCTGAATAGGCCAGGGCAATGGCCAGTGGAGACTGAAACCCATTCCACAGTCCAGCACTCCCTTATTCAAGCCAGACGAAGGGGCACCTTTTTGTAATTCACACAAATTCACCATATGTGCCAGTGGCTGCCCTGGCTAAGAGGCTGTCCACCTACCCATGAAAGACTGTTTTTTCTGATCTTTGACAACATCAAATCATCCTTATAATCATGGCCTGATGTATCTGTGGTTCTAATACCCTTGAGCACAAGCTCACTGAGGACAGTGATCGTGCCTCAAACTTGCAATCCCCATAGCATGCGGCACCATGGCCTCTATGTAGCAGATACAGCGTAAATGTTTACTAGTCAATTACAAGACTCTGAAGCCATGAGATTCAGCACGGACACATTTCCCATCTTTTTCTTCCTTAATGGTTTCTCATTTTATCTTCCCTTTTACTTGCCTTACCTCTTTCTTGCTTTCCCCACAAGTTTTTTCTGCAGTGCTTCAGTGTACTTCCGAGAGAAGCTTCATGTACATGTCACCCAGTGGCCTCTTAGGCAGTTCCAAAATCCAACCAATGAGAGCACAGGATCACAACTCCCTTCTCTTATATATTGCCTGGCCTCAGGAGGAAACTGAGGCCAAGCAAGATAAGTAACTGCCCGCCACCCATTGTTTGCATCAGTGTAGGAACAATCATTTTTTCAAGAAACATGTGTGAATACCTACCACATGTAAAGCTCTATGTTAGTTGCAGGGGTTACTACAGTGACTAAGCTGGAATTCCTGATATTAAGATGTTCATAGCTTAAGTAACAGACTGACATATACACCACTGTCTCCAGCACAATGAATATATGCTTTAATAGAAGATTAGGCAAAGTCCTCATAAGCCATGGGAAAGAAAGCAAGAGACAAAGGAAACCTCTTGAGAGAGGTGACATTTGAGCCAGGTATTGAAGGATGAATACGAGTTGACTAGAAAGAGAATGCTGGGGAGATACTCTATAAAATAAAAGGATGCACAGAAAGCAGCTAGTAAGCAGTGTGGTGGAATTCCAGAGAGCATATGGTTAAAAGGGAAGAGGTAGGGAACAAGCCTGGAGAGGTGGATTGCGAGGGATGTCTCATAAATGCCACACTAAGGAATCTGGATCTGAGTTTCATGTAGTCATTGGGGCCCATGTGACTACATTTAGTTTTGAAGGAGAAATGACACCTTTATTAGCCCCTAGAGCATTTTTCAATACTGAGACAAAAAGTAAAATTTATGAACGAGGAAAACCAAGGCACAAAGAAGGACCTATAAGGGCCCCAGAACTCACCACAGACACACAGCAGAGGCCTTCTCTTCATATCAAGGGTAAGGGTAGGTGAGAAAGGCTGCTTTGTCCCACTGAGATATGCCCGAGCACTCCACAGGATTCTGATCAGGGAAATGACTGTATCAAAAATTTTACAGAGAATAGGGACTACAGTACAGGCAAGGCCAATTGACCAACTAGGGATTCCTGAATTTTTTCGGTCAAGAAATACTAAGAAATTAAACTAAGATGTTTACAGAGGGTAAAAGAGGATTGGTCAATTCTAGGGAACATTTTGAAGATTGACTCAACTGATTGTATTTGAAGGAAATCAAAAAATACTAATTCAAAAATGAGTTTGAGATTTTCTAACTTGGTTAGCTAGGTGAATATGCCTTAATGGAGAGTAGAACATATAAAAAGAGAACAGGGTTAGGGGAAAAGATAGTTCAGTTTTGGAAATATCACTCTTGAAGGCCTGGAGCTGGAGTTCAACAGGGAAGTCTCAGCTAGAAATAATGATATAGATTTCATGAGGGAATGCATGGGTGGTAGCTGAAAGCATGGGAGTCGGTGGTCACTCGAGGGAAGAGTGGATTATAAGATGAGAAGGCTGGAGATGAGACTGGGAGCAAGCTACATGTAAGGACCAGGCAAGAGAAAGATACCAGAAAAGGGAATTGGGGAAGTAGCACCAGAGAAGTGAGTGGGGAACCCAAAGAGGGAACACCTCTGACACCAAGGAGAGGAGGGTCAAAGTCACTGCCACAGAGAGGTTGGATAAGAGGAAGACTAAGAAAAAACCCATGAATGTGGCCATTGGAAGATTGCCAATCACTGACACACAGTGAAAGGTACAGTGATGGAAGATGTCAGATCAAAAATTAGATTGTACTGCTTGGGTAGCAATTGAAGATGAGGAAGAATACAGACCATTCTTCATACACATTGGAGACTGGAATTCACTCAAAAGGCAGACAAGACTGAGGAAAACTTTACTTTTAGTAAAAGGAGACAATAATATTTACAAAGAATCAACACAAGAGAGGAAGAGGATGATTGATAGGTTAAGGATTCCAGAGGGCTTATGAAGTGATGTGACCAAGAGAAAAAATGGAAGAGTGTGAAATATCCTCCTTCTTAAGGCAAAGAGAATGAAAGAAGGTGATCAATGATTAGCATGTTTGGTGGTAGGATGGAGGAAAGTTGAGGGAATTCCAGTCTGTTGACCAGTATTTTTCATTGAAATAGGCAATGGCATCTTGTATATGTGGATGGACAGACAGATTGAGGACTGTGGTAAAGGCTAGAATGGCCACCTCTCATAGCACACAAAAGGAGTAAGGAGAGGTGAGTAAAATGTCAGGGTCAGGACTAGGGTGAGACAAGTGAGGCACCTAAGGCACAAAATTTAAGGAGCCGCTCATCCCCGGGGTCACGGGAATGCAAGGTTGGCACCAGGAGTGAGGGCCTCTTTAAATTCTAGGCACTTCAAATTGCACTCTAGGCAACTCCCTCACCCCACTCGCATCCTGGCCCTGGGATTACTCAGCAGCTCCAGCCATTTAGGTGAGGTTGGAAATCATCGATTTTTAATAAAGTAGATCATCGTTTAGAAAATTTTCTTCCATAGCGCTTAGAAGCTCAGGACAAGCAATGAAAAGCAAGAGGGGAAGAGAGAGAAGGAGGGGGGATACTGGGAGTGGGGAGAAAGAGAGAGAGAGAGTTAGTTCATTAGCCAGACATTGGAGAAACAGATAAAACAAGAAGTCAAAAGAGCGAGAAAACTGAATGCTTGTGAGAGTAGAGTTGAAATGGTTGCTCACACAAGGTAGGAAGAGGAATGAAGCTAGGAGGGAGTGGTATACTGCTAACATAAGGAAAGGTCAAGAGACAGGGAGTCCCAAGGAGACCAAAGAACATATTTCAAGGGCATGAAAGAGTGAGGACTGATAGAAGGATCAGAGGTTGTGGTCAGAAAGGAGAATTTCAGAGTTCAGGATTTCAAAAATGGAGCAACTCCAGTTGATGACAAGGTCTAGTAGTTGCTATGGGAGCAGTTGCTAAAGTGGAATTGAGTGGAGGTTGTTGGAGAAAGAGGGTGTCAGAAGCTGAGCCTGAAGCATTGGATGGGTTCCTCCATGGGACATGGCTGCAGTAGTTGGAGGGAAAAGAAACCCCTCTGCTGTCCAACTACTTTTAACATAACTAGCAGGGGATAAGAACAATTCTTCACATACATCCATCTGCCCTTCTTTTGCCCAAATCAAAATCATACTGTGATATCCTGGAGTGGTTTTACTAGCATAAAGTACAGTAGAGTCCTAGTCTCATACTGTTGTGTGTCTTTCTAGATCAGCTCTTCTAGATTATGCTTTTACTGTATATCACTACATATCTTGAGATAATATATGACTCAAAGCTTATATTAATCCATGTAGTCAGATGGGGTCATTAAGTGCTACTGTAATATCACCAAGAACGAAGTTTCTTCCACCTCCCTCATCTAAAATCTTTCTTTCAACGCTGTGGAAAAGGTTGTATATGGAAGAGGGAGATTTCTATTCCTTATATTTCCTTCTCCACTATGTGAAAAAGTTGTGTTTTTCCCCATCCTGAGCCCTATTTCCTATCAATGCTTCAGTTCACATTGAACTTGCTTCATGAATAAAGAAAACCATCTGGTCTAGCAGGACTTAACTTTTAAAAAGATAACAGGTCAAGTCTAGCCATTTTTATTGGAACTAAAACAAAGTCCAGGATTTAAAGACCAAAAGACCCTGGGTCTCAAGTAAGCACACTTGACCTGAGAGTTTGGATAAAAGGTCATTTTCATATGATGATGACCCAGCTGACGCTAATAAACACTTTTATGAGACTCTGTCCATTAAAGAGCCTGTCCCAGGGCTGACCCTAGTCATTCTGGCCACCCTGTTTTAGGTGGAAGTTTAAGAGCATCTCAAAAATCTGTGTCTATAGACTGGCCAAGACTCTTCACATAAAAGAAAAGCAAGAGTCAAAAAGCACCACCAAACAACACTGGAGAGCCCAAGCATGCAGCTACCTCCACAGGCACTGAGGATACAATTTGCCCCAATCTCTACTATTTAAGTATTTACAGACATTTTATAATTATGACTATATTGGTATAAGCTTGCTTGGCTCTCTCTCCCTTCATATATAAAACTTTAAGAATGTTTCAAGCAAATATCAACATTTTGGGGAGTATGAATAAAGGAAGCATATCTTTGTAATATTAGGGAAATCTATCACAGTTTTAAAAATGATAGACATCAGGCCTTCCAAGAATAATGGCATTTAAGAAACCCTTTAGGACCCCATCTCTGAGCCTAGTTTCTTTCTACTGCATTTCCCAAAGAGAAATACAAGAATCCCTCCTTTGCACCCAAACAGCTTCTGTGCTTTAAGTACCAGATCAAATGCTACCTCCTCCAGGAGGCCTTCCCCACATATTCTAAGCTCTTGACACTTCTCCTTTCTGAAGGAAAGACTTTGCATGATTTAGAGACTCATGTCTGAAATAAGCAGCATTTATTCAGACTGTTAACATATCTACGTAAATAAATTAGCATTTCCTACATCCAGTGTAGACTAACCAGGTATGAATAATAAGTAAAAAGAATAGAGAAGAAAAAGAATGAAAGCTTTTTATAATTCTTTGAGCTACGAGAACCTAAACTTCCTTTTTTATTTTAACTAAAATAGTAGTCACTCTAACATTTGATTATATACTCTTTTGTATGGCACTGACCTATATTAATCTTGAGCGAGGGAACATCATACGCCTCTTTATATGACCAATAAGACATAGTTATGTACACAAAAGTTATATTTTTCAGAAATGAAAAGTCACACCCAGTACCTAGATCTTGGTTTCTAACAACATTGTCCAATAAAAGCAACCAGGGCTCCTTGGAGAAATGGCCAATTCTAAGGCTAGGGCAGAAAATATACATAATGAGCCCAAAGCATCGCGCAGTACAGAAAGTAAGGAAGTGCTCGCAAAACAAAAGGATGGGGACATGTCAAAGGGACCCAGAAGCCAACTTGAAAGAGCTCCCTGTGGCCAAAACTGAAATAATTTGAGGAGCAAAATAAATAGCTAAGTATCAGATTATAATCCAAAATATAAAATGAATATCCACAAGTCCACTTTGGTATAAATAAATGACTGAATAAATAGATGGGGAGAAGAGACAATCTCCCAGAAGTATTTCAATAATTCATGTAGATACTCCCCTACCAGGAGGTGGAGATTAACTCCCCTGACCACCCTCCCCACCAACTTTGAGTGTGGACTGCACTTAGTGACTTGCTTCCAAAGAGCAGTGTATGGAAGAGGAGAAGAGGCTTTACAGTCCAGAGATCTGGCAAACAATACCTTAACCAGCTGACCAAGGTTAACATCATCAGTTGACAGCATGTACCCTTGATATGAGGCAATGAAAAGGTCACTTTACTTCTGTGATCTTCCTCCTAAAAACATTACCCTAGTCCAACCATGAGTAAAGCATTAGGCAAACCCCAATTGAAAGACATTCTGCAAAATACTTGACAGGTATTTCTCCAAACTGTCAAGGTCATCAAAAACAAGGAAAATTTAAGATACTGTCGGGGGAGGAGCCAAGATGGCCGAATAGGAACAGCTCCGGTCTACAGCTCCCAGCGTGAGCGACGCAGAAGACGGGTGATTTCTGCATTTCCATCTGAGGTACCGGGTTCATCTCACTAGGGAGTGCCAGACAGTGGGCGCAGGCCAGTGTGTGCGCGCACCGTGCGCGAGCCGAAGCAGGGCGAGGCATTGCCTCACCTGGGAAGCGCAAGGGGTCAGGGAGTTCCCTTTCCGAGTCAAAGAAAGGGGTGACGGACAGCACCTGGAAAATCGGGTCACTCCCACCCGAATATTGCCCTTTTCAGACCGGCTTAAAAAACGGCGCACCAGGAGACTATATCCCACACCTGGCTCAGAGGGTCCTACACCCATGGAATCTCGCTGATTGCTAGCACAGCAGTCTGAGATCAAACTGCAAGGCGGCAACGAGGCTGGGGGAGGGGCGCCCGCCATTGCCCAGGCTTGCTTAGGTAAACAAAGCAGCCAGGAAGCTCGAACTGGGTGGAGCCCACCATAGCTCAAGGAGGCCTGCCTGCCTCTGTAGGCTCCACCTCTGGGGGCAGGGCACAGACAAACAAAAAGACAGCAGTAACCTCTGCAGACTTAAGTGTCCCTGTCTGACAGCTTTGAAGAGAGCAGTGGTTCTCCCAGCACGCAGCTGGAGATCTGAGAACGGGCAGACTGCATCCTCAAGTGGGTCCCTGACCCCTGACCCCCGAGCAGCCTAACTGGGAGGCACCCCCCAGCAGGGGCACACTGACACCTCACACGGGAGGGTATTCCAACAGACCTGCAGCTGAGGGTCCTGTCTGTTAGAAGGAAAACTAACAACCAGAAAGGACATCCACACCAAAATCCCATCTATACATCACCATCATCAAAGACCAAAAGTAGATAAAACCACAAAGATGGGGAAAAAACAGAACAGAAAAACTGGAAACTCTAAAACGCAGAGCGCCTCTCCTCCTCCAAAGGAACGCAGTTCCTCACCAGCAACGGAACAAAGCTGGATGGAGAATGATTTTGACGAGCTGAGAGAAGAAGGCTTCAGACGATCAAATTACTCTGAGCTACGGGAGGACATTCAAACCAAAGGCAAAGAAGTTGAAAACTTTGAAAAAAATTTAGAAGAATGTATAACTAGAATAACCAATACAGAGAAGTGCTTAAAGGAGCTGATGGAGCTGAAAACCAAGGCTCGAGAACTACGTGAAGAATGCAGAAGCCTCAGGAGCCGATGCGATCAACTGGAAGAAAGGGTATCAGCGATGGAAGATGAAATGAATGAAATGAAGCGAGAAGGGAAGTTTAGAGAAAAAAGAATAAAAAGAAATGAGCAAAGCCTCCAAGAAATATGGGACTATGTGAAAAGACCAAATCTACGTCTGATTGGTGTACCTGAAAGTGATATGGAGAATGGAACCAAGTTGGAAAACACTCTGCAGGATATTATCCAGGAGAACTTCCCCAATCTAGCAAGGCAGGCCAACGTTCAGATTCAGGAAATACAGAGAACACCACAAAGATACTCCTCGAGAAGAGCAACTCCAAGACACATAATTGTCAGATTCACCAAAGTTGAAATGAAGGAAAAATGTTAAGGGCAGCCAGAGAGAAAGGTCGGGTTACCCTCAAAGGAAAGCCCATCAGACTAACAGCGGATCTCTCAGCAGAAACCCTACAAGCCAGAAGAGAGTGGGGGCCAATATTCAACATTCTTAAAGAAAAGAATTTTCAACCCAGAATTTCATATCCAGCCAAACTAAGCTTCATAAGTGAAGGAGAAATAAAATACTTTATAGACAAGCAAATGCTGAGAGATTTTGTCACCACGAGGCCTGCCCTAAAAGAGCTCCTGAAGGAAGCGCTAAACATGGAAAGGAACAACCGGTACCAGCCGCTGCAAAATCATGCCAAAATGTAAAGACCATCGAGACTAGGAAGAAACTGCATCAACTAACGAGCAAAATCACCAGCTAACATCATAATGACAGGATCAAATTCACACATAACAATATTAACTTTAAATATAAATGGACTAAATTCTGCAATTAAAAGACACAGACTGGCAAGTTGGATAAAGAGTCAAGACCCATCAGTGTGCTGTATTCAGGAAACCCATCTCACGTGCAGAGACACACATAGGCTCAAAATAAAAGGATGGAGGAAGATCTACCAAGCCAATGGAAAACAAAAAAAGGCAGGGGTTGCAATCCTAGTCTCTGATAAAACAGACTTTAAACCAACAAAGATCAAAAGAGACAAAGAAGGCCATTACATAATGGTAAAGGGATCAATTCAACAAGAGGAGCTAACTATCCTAAATATTTATGCACCCAATACAGGAGCACCCAGATTCATAAAGCAAGTCCTGAGTGACCTACAAAGAGACTTAGACTCCCACACATTAATAATGGGAGACTTTAACACCCCACTGTCAACATTAGACAGATCAACGAGACAGAAAGTCAACAAGGATACCCAGGAATTGAACCCAGCTCTGCACCAAGCGGACCTAATAGACATCTACAGAACTCTCCACCCCAAATCAACAGAATATACATTTTTTTCAGCACCACACCACACCTATTCCAAAATTGACCACATAGTTGGAAGTAAAGCTCTCCTCAGCAAATGGAAAAGAACAGAAATTATAACAAACTATCTCTCAGACCACAGTGCAATCAAACTAGAACTCAGGATTAAGAATCTCACTCAAAGCCGCTCAACTACATGGAAACTGAACAACCTGCTCCTGAATGACTACTGGGTACATAATGAAATGAAGGCAGAAATAAAGATGTTCTTTGAAACCAACGAGAACAAAGACACCACATACGAGAATCTCTGGGACGCATTCAAAGCAGTGTGTAGAGGGAAATTTATAGCACTAAGTGCCTACAAGAGAAAGCAGGAAAGATCCAAAATTGACACCCTAACATCACAATTAAAAGAACTAGAAAAGCAAGAGCAAACACATTCAAAAGCTAGCAGAAGGCAAGAAATAACTAAAATCAGAGCAGAACTGAACGAAATAGAGACACAAAAAACCCTTCAAAAAATCAATGAATCCAGGAGCTGGTTTTTTGAAAGGATCAACAAAATTGATAGACCACTAGCAAGACTAATAAAGAAAAAAAGAGAGAAGAATCAAATAGACACAATAAAAAATGATAAAGGGGATATCACCACCGATCCCACAGAAATACAAACTACCATCAGAGAATACTACAAACACCTCTATGCAAATAAACTAGAAAATCTAGAAGAAATGGATACATTCCTCGACACATACACTCTCCCAAGACTAAACCAGGAAGAAGTTGAATCTCTGAATAGACCAATAACAGGATCTGAAATTGTGGCAATAATCAATAGTTTACCAACCAAAAAGAGTCCAGGACCAGATGGATTCACAGCCGAATTCTACCAGAGGTACAAGGAGGAACTGGTACCATTCCTTCCGAAACTATTCCAATCAATAGAAAAAGAGGGAATCCTCCCTAACTCATTTTATGAGGCCAGCATCATTCTGATACCAAAGCCGGGCAGAGACACAACCAAAAAAGAGAATTTTAGACCAATATCCTTGATGAACATTGATGCAAAAATCCTCAATAAAATACTGGCAAACCGAATCCAGCAGCACATCAAAAAGCTTATCCACCATGATCAAGTGGGCTTCATCCCTGGGATGCAAGGCTGGTTCAATATACGCAAATCAATAAATGTAATCCAGCATATAAACAGAGCCAAAGACAAAAACCACATGATTATCTCAATAGATGCAGAAAAAGCCTTTGACAAAATTCAACAACCCTTCATGCTAAAAACTCTCAATAAATTAGGTATTGATGGGACGTATTTCAAAATAATAAGAGCTATCTATGACAAACCCACAGCCAATATCAGACTGAATGGGCAAAAACTGGAAGCATTCCCTTTGAAAACTGGCACAAGACAGGGATGCCCTCTCTCACCGCTCCTATTCAACATAGTGTTGGAAGTTCTGGCCAGGGCAATCAGGCAGGAGAAGGAAATAAAGGGTATTCAATTAGGAAAAGAGGAAGTCAAATTGTCCCTGTTTGCAGACGACATGATTGTTTATCTAGAAAACCCCATCGTCTCAGCCCAAAATCTCCTTAAGCTGATAAGCAACTTCAGCAAAGTCTCAGGATACAAAATCAATGTATAAAAATCACAAGCATTCTTATACACCAACAACAGACAAACAGAGAGCCAAATCATGAGTGAACTCCCATTCACAATTGCTTCAAAGAGAATAAAATACCTAGGAATCCAACTTACAAGGGATGTGAAGGACCTCTTCAAGGAGAACTACAAACCACTGCTCAAGGAAATAAAAGAGGACACAAACAAATGGAAGAACATTCCATGCTCATGGGTAGGAAAAATCAATATCGTGAAAATGGCCATACTGCCCAAGGTAATTTACAGATTCAATGCCATCCCCATCAAGCTACCAATGACTTTCTTCACAGAATTGGAAAAAACTACTTTAAAGTTCATATGGAACCAAAAAAGAGCCCGCATCGCCAAGTCAATCCTAAGCCAAAAGAACAAAGCTGGAGGCATCACACTACCTGACTTCAAACTATACTACAAGGCTACAGTAACCAAAACAGCATGGTACTGGTACCAAAACAGAGATATAGATCAATGGAACAGAACAGAGCCCTCAGAAATAACGCCGCATATCTACAACTATCTGATCTTTGACAAACCTGAGAAAAACAAGCAATGGGGAAAGGATTCCCTATTTAATAAATGGTGCTGGGAAAACTGGCTAGCCATATGTAGAAAGCTGAAACTGGATCCCTTCCTTACACCTTATAGAAAAATCAATTCAAGATGGATTAAAGATTTAAACGTTAGACCTAAAACCATAAAAACCCTAGAAGAAAACCTAGGCATTACCATTCAGGACATAGGCACGGGCAAGGACTTCATGTCCAAAACACCAAAAGCAATGGCAACAAAAGCCAAAATTGACAAATGGGATCTAATTAAACTCAAGAGCTTCTGCACAGCAAAAGAAACTACCATCAGAGTGAACAGGCAACCTACAACATGGGAGAAAATTTTCGCAACCTACTCATCTGACAAAGGGCTAATATCCAGAATCTACAATGAACTCAAACAAATTTACAAGAAAAAAACAAACAACCCCATCAAAAAGTGGGCCAAGGACATGAACAGTCACTTCTCAAAAGAAGACATTTATGCAGCCAAAAAACACATGAAAAAATGCTCATCATCACTGGCCATCAGAGAAATGCAAATCAAAACCACTATGAGATATCATCTCACACCAGTTAGAATGGCAATCATTAAAAAGTCAGGAAACAACAGGTGCTGGAGAGGATGTGGAGAAATAGGAACACTTTTACACTGTTGGTGGGACTGTAAACTAGTTCAACCATTGTGGAAGTCAGTGTGGCGATTCCTCAGGGACCTAGAACTAGAAATACCATTTGACCCAGCCATCCCATTACTGGGTATATACCCAAATGACTATAAATCATGCTGCTATAAAGACACATGCACATGTATGTTTATTGCGGCATTATTCACAATAGCAAAGACTTGGAACCAAGCCAAATATCCAACAATGATAGACTGGATTAAGAAAATGTGGCACATATACACCATGGGATACTATGCAGCCATAAAAAATGATGAGTTCATGTCCTTTGTAGGGACATGGATGAAATTGGAAACCATCATTGTCAGTAAACTATCGCAAGAACAAAAAACCAAACACCGCATATTCTCACTCATAGGTGGGAATTGAACAATGAGATCACATGGACACAGGAAGGGGAATATCACACTCTGGGGACTGTGGTGGGGTTGGGGGAGGGGGGAGGGATAGCATTGGGAGATATACCTAATGCTAGATGACACGTTAGTGGGTGCAGCGCACCAGCATGGCACATGTATACATATGTAACTAACCTGCACAATGTGCACATGTACCCTAAAACTTAAAGTATAATTAAAAAAAATAAAAAAGATACTGTCACAGACCAGAGGAGGTTAAGGAGACACAACAACTAAATGGTATCTCGGGTAGGACTCTGAAACAGATAAAGGACAATGTGGAAAACTATTGAAATCTGAATAAAAGGTAAACTTTATTTGATAATAGTAATGTATCAATGTTGGTTCCTTATGACATATGTATCATAAGAATGTAAGATGTCATTCATAGGAGAACTGAGTGAGGGACATACTGGGAAGCTCTATACTGTCTTTCCAATATTTCTATATTTGTAAAGCTATTCTAAAGTGAAAAGTTCATTTTTAAATGGAGAAAATGAAAAACTACCTGGTCTGGAATGTTATAACTAGAAGGAATCTTTAGAGACCACCTAAACAAACCCTTTGTCATCTGTGGAAACCAAGGCCCAGAGTGGCTCAGTGTTATGCTCAAAGTTACACAGTGAGGAGAAGAACTAGAACTGAAGCCAGGGTCTCTTCCACCTCAGTGCGAGCTGTGCCCTGTTGCAGCATGCTAAGAATGGAGGGATGAGAACCCTCCAAATAGAAGTTGAATGTTAGCTTTGGAAGACAACGCTGCCCCTTGAATCAAATGGTCTGTCTTTTAGGGTAGGACCATGAGGAGGAAGACCCAGTCCCACACACTGCCTGGCAAGGTGGAGAGTCATCACAGGCAGAGGCAGGAGGCTCTACCATGGCCCCTTGGGCAGAAGTGGTCTGAATTTTTCATTAGCTTCAGAGGCTAAAAGCATCTTATTTTGCTTGTTGTGCCTGTTTTCCTCTGGGGGAAAAAAATAGAACCTTGGTTCAAGAATTAGTTGGGAGCCAGCAAAAATGAATAGTGATGAGGCTATTTCTATCAAAATAGCTTCATTACCATGCCACTGTCTGATAAAACCAAATGTTCAACTCTCTCTAACAAGAAAGTTGTTAAAGGCAGCGTCCTTCCACCTTTTGGCATGAAAGAATCTATAGCTTAAATATTTGAAAGATCTCCCCATTGACACACACCCATTTCTGATTGAACCAAATTTGGGTACACATTTTCTCCAGTACAATTTTAAATAATCTAAGAAGATAATAAAATATCACTAGTTTGGGGCTTTTTTAAATGCTTGGTTTTATCTTTAAAAAAAAAAGCATACACACTTAAGAATGCTATATAAGAATGATTTGCCTTAATTCTGGAGGGGAAAATACTTTTTAAAACTCAGAAAGCTAATGCGCTTGGCCATAGGTCAGGCTTCAGGAATTGTGTAAAATTATTCAAATACTCCCTGATGTTTTTCATCCACAAGACAATAGAGACTGTTCATTAAATGTGGTAGGGGGAGAGTCTGTCAGCTGAACACTTCTGCCATCTTGATGTATCCCAGATCCAAAATAAAATGAGAATCTGTTTTTCTATCTCCAACAGAGGAGAGGTGGTCAGATCTCTAGTATCCCCAGAACGGGAACTAGAATTCACATTTGACAAGACTAAATTCCCATGACAGGAGCCAGTTTCTGTGCAATCGGGAGTTCATCTGTCATTCTTCCTCTGCCCTTCCTCATTGTAACCTGTGATCAAGAAAGTGTAGAAGGAAATAACTACCCAAATGAAACAATATCTCACAAACCATAGGAGCTAGACTCCAAACCAAAGTCCTCCAGTGGATCATTATCATTTTAGCAGGATAGTTTGTTTCCTCCAAGAAAGAAATGAATGGGCAAAACTCCAGATTGGAAAGTCATGAGTCACTCATCCTCTATTTCCACCTGCCCCTTCCCCTTGCAGAGGAGTCTCAGAAGTTTATCACTCAGCCCGAGTCAGAGCAGTCCATCTGTCTGCTTGGTCAATCCAGGAACAGTTAACCTCGATGATTATTTTCCACTCAGTAGTAAAACCTTTCCCTTCACACAGCTTGAGAGTTCTGACTCTTCACTTTCACTCACTCTGCCAGCCATTTAAGCCAGAAACTCCAGGCAGGCTGAGTGGAAGACATCATTTGTAAACTCTGCTTGCCAAGGCAGGAGGTCTAGGGGGCTCTCCGAACCACTGCAATAGAGCCTTTTAACACGGAACAGTGCAAATTGTCCACCAGGGATGACTTGAAATATATCTTCAATGCACAGTGCCTGGTGCCTCCAACCTGGCTCCAGCTGAGTTTCTACCACTTACGAAGGACTCTTACAAAACAGCCCTATGGATCCTCTCTGGCTGTAGTAAAAGAGGCAGCTTCAAATAAATTAGGGAAAATTCAAGATGGGAGACAAAAGAATGGGAATGTTCTTGTAAAAATTTGAGTCACTTGTCCCTGAACAAGATACTGTTATCTTGCTAAATACACGCACACACACACACACATACACACACACACAGAGGCAGCTACTGAAAGCAAATCCACTTGTTAATGTTCAACTCTCCTATCTGGCTACGGAATAGGCTAGCAATAAAGGGCAGTTAGATCAGTTCTTTTAGGCGCACACACCACTGATAAATCAGAAACAATAAAGCTGGAGACAGGCTTGCTGGGCCCCAGCTGGTATTGCTTATATCTGTCCTAAGCAATCAGGAATCATGGAGAAACTTCTTTTTGGAACGCCTAACCGCAAGACTTCACAGTGACCGCCTCAATCCCACATGCCCATGTGCTGAAGGGGGTTCTGGGGAGTGAATACCTTTATTCTTTCTGACAAGATCAATCAGTCTCTCTGGAATCTCCCCATGGCCCACTTCTCACTGGCCAGCTCCCTTCCTCTATCCCACCCCCACATCTAAGAAAAAAACATTAAAACAATGAGGCATTGCCTTTTTCCTTTTCTTTTGCCAGAGGCTAGCCAAACTCTGCTACACTCTGACGCAAAGCACACCTTAAGGAGTCATCTCCAAGAGGGTAAAGGGAGGCATTGTACCCTAAAATCCAGAGAAGTCAAAATCGCACACAGCACACCCGAGTCCTCACACAATAGAGTCTGTACTTCCACCAGGCCAATTAACTGGATTTCTACCTGAAATCTCTCCCACATCAAACTAAAAATCCTGGCAAGGTACAGGGGTTCAGTGACACAAGCTCATTTTCCCACTGCAGGCCCAAAAAGCATGGTGGTTCTCTGGCCAGAAACAAGCCCTCCCTCCCACAGCATCATTTCTCTCACACCTGTTCACACACAGAAACATGGGCCCAGCCTGTCCCAGGCTAGAAGCACACTCTGGGCACATCCCAGCCTTTGCAAATAGACTGGCTTCCTCTCCATCCTCTCATTGTGGGGGCCACAAATAGAATCTCATTTTCATTAATTACTGCAGCCTCTACCTATTGTCAGTCATCAGAACCTGCCATATGGTTACCATCAGGTGCGCTCAAGTTCCTATCATGTGGCATTCCCGGATGCCCTAAATAGATATTGCAGAATCTGCTTGTGTTTTTACAGGGCCATTTATATTTCAAAGGAGCTCATTCTGCTTCAAGAGGTTGCTAAAGGGGGCCTTTCTGTTCAGCACTGCACTCTATTGAAAACCCCATGCTTCCTATTGAACATTGCATCCCTTCTCTCAAACACCACTGCCATAATGGGGAGCATCCTGTAGACTATTGCCTTTGAGAAAGACAGTCTAGGGGTTTTTTTTTTCTATCATTTTAGGCAGGGGAAGCATGGGAGAGGATGCCAGGAGGATTGGTGAAAGGGTATATCAACTCTCAGTCAAAACTAGATTCATGAAGAACAAGAATAACTCAGGAGAGCCTCAAAGAAATCACGTCCATAAACTATGTCATGTCTTACATAACTATGAAGAAATCCCTTTAAATATTTTTATATCTGCCACTGACCAAAATACAAATCCCTCCCATCTTTGTGCTTTTGGGAATACTGTAAGAAGAAGGACACCTCATGAGAAACCTCCAAGCCATATAATATGCTTATAGAACAACCCAGTCCATCCTGCTCTCCATGATTTCATCAGCTGTCTAGACCTTGAGTGTGTCCGTTCATTTTCCGTCACCACAGGTGTAATCATTGGAAAATGCCCCTCTGAATCCTGACACTCTGAAGGAGGTATAGCGTCATGTGGCCTGGGTAGGCAAAGCCCTGTATTAAATTCTGAAACAAACTTGGCATCTGATTGGATGTGATCTTCTATCCGCAGTTGCAGTGGCTTTTGAGTTACAGGCCATATTTCTAGTGGTTGCATACAGCCTGCAGGACTGGATTGATGCCCAACTTTAGAGTTTTGTGATGACATTACCATCAGTGGGACATTTCTAGAAAATTTATCCAACATATAATTTTGTAAGTTGGGTTTACATAGACATGTGTTTGTTGTCTATGTCTATGCTAAACATATAAACACTTCCTATTTCTGGGTTTAACCTGAAACTCACACCTCTTAGGACTTGGTGGCGCTGGAGAATAAACCATTAGCTCTACACAGAGACCCAGAAGTATACACACACATACATATGTACATACATACACATATACATGCTTCCTCGCAGTGATTAGTAGAGAGAATTAAGATGAAGTGCAGAATGCTGGCTTAAATTCCACAGTCAGTACAGTTGTAAAATATTCACTGTCTTACCCAAGGTGATTCTCTGTTCTAAATTATTTCCTATTAGCCAAAGATTTTCAGCATTGCCCAGTAGCTTCCCAGGATGGACTAAATTATATTTTTCCAGCCTGAGAACAGAAGAGTCTTTGGAACAAGGCACTTTCTGTTTACCCATAGGCATAACCTTCTTTAAAAAAGCGAGTGTGACACAGGCATGCTATATTTGCTTGCCCTCTTTGTAGACAAACTTGTGGGTGACAAGGGGTGGCCACATCTCTGGCAGACAGGTATCAAATGCACTCAGTAATTTATCTGCTCTTGGGAGGGGAAGCACTCACATATACAACAGTAGTGTCCAAGCTGGTCACTGTGGCCTCACAGCCATTTCATAAATAGAAACCAACTCCATTCAAGGAAAAATGAGTCACCAGAACAAAAGAGCAGGTCTGTAACCAGGGCTCAAGGTCACATTTCTACAAACACCTGCTTGTTCTCAGATAACACCTGCTCATACTCTCAAACAAAAAAGGGCAGGGCTCTGTCGATAAAGTCTTCTGCCCTAGGCTCTGAAGGGAGTTGCAACCCTCCTGGTATGGTTAAAGGACAGATAATAGGTAGAGCTGACTTTCCTCTCTGCTTGAGCCCCATGTGGAGATTCTTTGGCATGCGGTCAGGGCAGCTTTTAGGCGCCCCACAGCCTGTGCTAAGATCTTGCGTTCAGTATGACCAGAGCAAGTACCCAAAGCGTATGTCATGTCAACTGGGTAGAATAAGTCCCTAGTTGAGGCAATATCCGGAGAAAATTACCATTAAATATATAGGACGCTTTTTCTCTGTTATTCTCACACAACAAACCGCAGTTACTATAGCTTTCAAATTCAAATTAGAATTCTAAAGGCTTTCGATGAAGAGAGTGTGGGTTAAAAGAGGAGACCAAAAAAGGAGTCTCTAAGTCTCTCACCTTGTATATTTTATATACTGGGCTTCTGAACATGACTTCATTCTTACCAAAGTGAGGTAAAGATGGTATTTGCTACTGCTCCCATTGACAGGTAAAATCTAGTTCCCCTCCCCTTGAAGTTGGTGGAATCTGTGGTGGACCTGTGGTGAGCAGTAGAATACAGCAGAAGTGACACTGTGCCAGTTTTCCAGGACCCGGTCTTAAGAGATTGGAAATTTTCATTTCCTCTTGTACAGAAACTTGCTTCTTGAGTTTCAAGTCAGGCTTGGACTAGAGCATTGCCTGCTGCCCCTGGTGTGGCTAATCCTATGTGGGCAACAACATTTCTCAAAGCCAAGACTGCAAAAGACCACAGCTACAATAAAGGAGGTCTGTGATATTAGAAACCCTTCAGAGTGCTCTAAAAGCAGAGCTCACCAAGAGTCTAAGACTTTAACCACAAGACATGGCATATCTACACTTGACAGCATGCCTATATTGTTCTTGAGCTGATTTCCATATGATTATTGGATGAGATAAACTAGACCACAATGAGGGGCTGAACTGAGTGACACAGATCATTAGGAAGCTTGGGAAAGGGTGGAGTCCCATGGCTTGCAGTGCGGATGGGTTTCTTAGAGGAGTGGAATATGTATGTGGTCCTGACTAGGGGTAGGCAAGACAGAGATGAGTGAGGATAATAATATCAACCAAGACATGTCACTAAGAGCAGACGTGGCCTGTCTTATCCTGTTCTCCTCTCACATTCTTGATAAACAACCCTAAGACAGGACCAACTAGCTAGTAGGTATGCAAGAAATGTGTTGAATTTGGACTTGGAATTGAATTAAAGTGAATTGGAATTGACCCCTACTCAATTTAAAAATAAGCTTGAAATCCTGACCACAATTAAACGGGAAACCAGAGCTTCCTGCCAGTCCAGGAGTTTGTTCCTTAAATGCAAGTGGCAGCCTTCAGCCTGCCTTCAGTTACTTTTATTGGGGCAAATCCAAGTTGATTCATGTGAAGTTAGTGTCAGGCTTAGGCCTACCTGGGGACATGGGGGAAGAATTCTGGGCATTCTCTTTTCCTCCCCAGGTCGAGAAACTTCCACCCCTAAGGCTACCTTCTCTGTCTAGATCCATATGCGTTCTCACCCACTTCCCCAGGGATTGTATTTGCTCCATTCACAACTTTATTCTCACATCTAATTTGATCCTCTTTCTTCTTTTTCTTCCAGGTCTAGGCTGGAGTTCACCTTCAATAGTATAGAGCAGAGAAAAGGAGATCTAACCCAGCGTTTAGAAGCCTGCCTCACCCTTGTTCTTCCCCATCCTCTTCTAGGTGCCACCGCCTCCCATGTGAGGAAGTAAAGGAGGAAAAGGATAGCCAGATTCCTATGTGGCTGAAGACCTTACCATAGTCTTCTTACTGTTCACAACTGTTATTCTAACTAATCGTCCCTAGGCTCACTAATATCAGGTGGGAGCATCAACCTGCCCTGTTGACAGGTCATGACCCCCAAACAGCTTCCCTGGGGGCTACAGCCAGGTAATTTGGAGCGTATTTTCTGACTAACGTCAACCACATTCCTTAGCTGCAGTAGTGTCTGGAAGTCAGTGCCTCCGCTGTCATCAACTGTCCGTGGACTGCAGGAAGACCTACAGGCAAAGGCAGGATCTGTCTTCTGTACTTCTCAGAGATTGACATGGGGACTTCATGCACACTACCCTTCCCCACAGCTGTCTCTGATCTACTGGTCCTTACATGGAGGAGGTGGGGTGGTTAGGCTGGTTCTCTGAGCTGACACCAACCCGGAAGCCCTGTAGAGAAGTGAGTGTCCTGAATGCATTTTGTCCTCAGCCTTAAGCCTCAGACACAACTAATGACCACAGGGCCCATCAGTCATTTTTTGACATTTGTTTTACATATTGAGCTTCCAAAATTTTTTCTGAAAAATTCCTCTCTTAAAAGGTCTAAAAACCACTGCTCTCCACCATCAAGCCCAGCCCCAATTCTATGGCTCTTGTGTTCTTTCTAACAGTTTCAGTTGTTTAAGTTGTACTTCCTCATGTGTTAGGGAAGGGCCTTGTCTTCCTCCTCCCTGCTCCAGATCTTGCCCCTTGCACATGCTTGGCACGCCAGTGCCCAGGGATGCCCATGGGTGGCCATTCTGCTCACCGTCCAGGTTCTACCCTGACTACTTGCTATGTGAATCGCAGCAGGGTCTTGCTAACAGCATATTGGAAATGCAGCTTTCCTGGCCCACATGGACAGGTTTTTTGTCTATTTTCGTCCTTTCCCTGCTCTGTTTAAATATGGTGTCTGTGACTGAGTTTCGTGTTCCGGAGGCACGCGGTCCAGAGAGAAAGAGCCAGAGTTGCTTCTCTGCCTTGGCGCTCAGGAAAGAGCAAATGGGGCTGCCACCTGCCCGGTCTGGGGATGGTTCCAGAATGGCTCAGGTTATTCACAGCACAGATCCACCCGGGGGTAAAAATACCATCCCAGAAGGACTCTCCTTCTAGCCACAAAAATACCTATATGGGTATAAAGACATACTCAAAAAATGACACAAGGTTTGGGAGAAATCATCTCCTTGGAAAAGAACTAAAGTAATTAGTACTGGCCTTACAAAAGAGAAGATAAAGAGATCCAGGAGGAAAGAATGAGGGCAGTTCAAGAAGGGTATAAACTTAAGCAAGAGAAATATTGTTTAGACTATAAGAAGAACTCCCTGACCATGAGACTTGGGAAGACATTTACAAGGTGTCACCTTTGGAGATGTAAAAGATAAGATCAGCTCTCCCCTGTAAGGGATCAAAAGGAGACTGGATCCAAAGCAAAGGGTTAAGCCAGGTTATTGTACAAAGTTCCCACTGGCCTTGGCCATCTACAATAAATTTTTGAGGATCGACTTCCTCAGTAGAAGAGCTTGTCCTTTTCAAGCCCCTTGTCCATATGTCTCCTTTTGAGTTTTATCTTTCCATTACAATACTATTTACACAATCTCTGTGTGACACATGAGACTCGGGGGTGCATGAAATGAAGAGATAGACTCACCTTTATAGAAGGTCCAAATTTCGACACATTCCTTCTGGGTTTCTGGGATTCCCTTCCCTGGACCCGGCTCTCACAAAGATTTCTCCACCTTATGCTTCACCACTGGCATCCTACACCCTCCTCTCTACTTTTCTCTACCTGCCTTAGAACCAGTCTCACACTTTCTGAGCTTGTCTCATTCAACCACTTGCATGTCATGAGAAGTAGTATTGCCACATTTCACACAACAACTTTGGAAGTGGATATTCCCAAGAATTTGTTACAAATTCTATTCTGCCTTTGACTTGGCCTTATCCCTAGGGACTAAGATGCACCCAGAGAATCTGTCCTTAAGCGCCAAAGAAGGAGTCATTACCAATATGGCTGTATTTCTAATTGGCTTCTTCAGGGTCCTGGCCCTGTAGACATTGATCCTGCATCTTTTACCAGCAGTATGTTTTCTTCAGCTCTGCAAAGTTATTCTGACTCTCAATGTAAATCCAGGGAGAAAAGAGGAAAAATAATTGTCCAAATTCTCAAGAAGGTATTAGAAAACAAATTGCTAAAATACAGAAAAAAATTGCTGTACCATTGGGTGGTTAATGTTTAAAATAAACTAAAGCATTTCCCTTCATGCCAGGCTGAGAAACAGAGTTCTGGCTCCTTCCCTCTGGACTGCATGCTTCAGGGACATGAAACACAATCCAGAAACCATATTTAAGCAAAGCATGAAAAGACTGAACATAGACAAACACCTGCCTTTGTAGAAAAGGAACATTTCATGGAGCGTGTAGAGTACAAACCTACTAATTAATGAGAAATGGCCTGATCACGCATTCCAAGGGTATTCATTTCTCAGGTTGGAGTTTTCTGATATTTTCATTTCCTTTGAATACAAGCTTGTCTCTTCATTAATGTTATACAATATTCAAATGCTGGCCAACAAAAAAAGGAACCACTTAAGACATTAAAACCTATTGTTGGAATTGTTCAGCCGGCAAACCCTCTCAAGCTCAAAAACATCCATGTTTCAAGAACACACTCTTGTAGCAGGTGACTGTGAGCTGCTGCCCATGATGAAGCAACAGCCCAAATGCAGGGGACAAGAAAGGAACAGTTCCAACTCCAAAGGATCAATACATGAAAATAGAGTCACGTGGCAAAATGCACTCAGTTCTGTTATTGCAGCAAGTTCTTTTTGTTCCATCTGAGGAATTAATTTGAGAATAAAGTATTTCAAATATCAAACTAACTAGAAACAGCTGTTGCTATTTCCTCTGCTTTGGAAGCCCCCACATAATTTCAGATCCACAATCAACACAAGGAAATTCTGTGGAAACATCCTAGGTCAATGTCCATGGACCTCAGAAAAGAAAAGCAGCAATAATAAAAATAATGAAAGCTAATAGTACCATGTTTGCTAAGAGCTAGGCACTGTCCTAAGTGCTTTATACTTGATTCTCATGAAATCTTGGTGATGTAGGTAGGATCATCATTCTCATCACCCAGACAAGGAGACAGGCTGCTTGTTTTGGCTGAAGAAAGATGTGGGTTCCCAGAGAGAAGCCATAGATCTTCCTACCTCCTGCAATACTAATAATAATAAACACTAAAATTTATTGAACCTCAAATGCGCCACACACCGTGCAGAATGCTTTAGCATTTTATCTCAGTCAATCCTCACAATAAACATAAGCTAGACATTTTCCCCATTTCACCTATTAGGCAACTGAGGCTTAGTGAGGTTAAAAAAAAAAAACATAGCCCAAAGTAACAAATCTAGAATGCAGTAGAGGTTGGATATGAATCCAGTCCATCTCATTTCAAAATCTTGGCTCCTAAATTCTACTCTATTCTCCCTGCTGGGTACTTCCCATTTCTAGGGCACTTACAGTTACCATCAAAACGTGGCCTCTTAGGTTATTTTCATCGAGTTTAAAAGTCCTTCCTGAGGCTGGAGACAGCCAAGCGGATTGCTCCCAGAGAGCCTGGTGGCACCGTTGCCATCCGTTGGCCTCAGCCACAGCTGTGGTTTCCAAAGGAAATAACTCATGCGGCCGTTAGTCGCACCTGTCACTCATTGGAGCCAGGACTTGCATCAGAACACTGGGGCCCCACAGGGAAGACAACAGCAGCTACGTCAAACTGATGGGCATCAACACATCATTATGGATGTGTGAGCCTGCTTCCCTCGATCAGTCCCACTGTGATCCATTCTCCCTGTTTCGGAAGGTCAGGGAGAACAGCACTAGACCATGTGCGTTCTGCATCTGTGGAGACAGCCTATCCCAATGCCCTGGGCAGGAAGAGGTATTGGAAAATCTACAGGTGTGGTCTAAATTAGGTGAAGCACCTTCAAGCTCCCCTTGATGAAAAAGGCAAGGAACTGAAAGACAATGCTAAAAGAAGTAACCCAAACAAGAAATGTCAACAAATGGCCTGTGAGAACTGGGGTCTTTCTAGCAGGCCCAGAAGGAGGAGAGGGCACATGGAACCTTCAGGCCCTGGTGAAGCGACAGGAATTAAATGAGGACACAAGGAAAGGAAAATCTTCAGGGTTGTTCATGATGGTGTCAAATTCAGAGAGATCTAGGATGAATAGTGTCAACTTGATTGAGTTGAATGCAATCCTGTAAACATTAATGGAGCATCAACTAAGCCTCTCCACCAAAATGTAAGGAATACATTTCAGAGTTATCGTACCTGCATCTTGACATACTCTTACTGAGGAGCCAAGCCATATGTGCTCATCGCCCTTAAATAACAAGAAAGCCTGGCGTGTGAGTAAGTGCTAGGATGAGTGGGGAGTTCCGTGAAAATCAGAGTATGGAGGTATGTGCGTGCTTAGGTGGGCAGAAAACTCTTTGTGAGTGAGGTAGGATTTGGTCTGGGGCCCAGAGCTGGTTCTGTAGAATTCTAGCACTCAAATCCTCTCTCCCTAGCCGCAGCCTCCAAATTTACCTGCAAAGGCATCTGAGAGAACCAACAGTCGTGCTCTAATCCTGAATTATTTCTGTTCTGTGACATGTGGTTTCCAACACTACCTTCATATGGATCTTTGAATCCCTCCCAGGACTCAGTCTTCCCCTGTGGATACTGAAAATCTTTAGTCCTGCACCCTACAAGCTCTATCAGCTGTTTCGTCATGCAGTAGTTTTCTGGGGGTCAGTACTCAGAAGAAGGGAGAAAAGGACTGAGTAATTGGGTTATCACGATGTCTTTTCAGTTGAAGAATTTTCCAAAAGTAAAGTAAAACTACATATTTTTTAAAGGAATGTCAATTTTTAATCTTTAAAATATAACCATGGAAATGGATTTGGCCAATGTAGCAATGCACAAATATCTTACCTACCTTTGTACTATTCAATCTATAGAGAGGACAGAGTAAATTTTAAATTTGTCATGTAAAAAGTAATGGCACAAGTGTCCCTGTAATCCAATATCTTCCCGTCATTGAGTCAAAACTACCCTCCATCATCCTTGATGAAGTTGAGAATGCATATTGCTAACAGATGAGAATGTCTAATGTCTTTAGAAATACTAGGTTAAGATGCCTTTGTCAATAATCTCTTCTTTGCTCTACACATTTAGATAGTACTCTCTCTCTACTAAATTGCCTGTCATAAATCCTGGAACTCAAAAACAGTCTAATGCATCCCATCCTAAAGGTTTTCTTCAGATGCTCTGAAGCCACCTGAGGACAGCAACACCCGCTGTGACTGAAAAATCCAATGCGTTTGTTTCTCCCATATGGCATTGAGGTTTCATTAAGCTCTCCTGAGCATCTGAGAATATTTTCCTTGGAAGACTGTGGTGTTTGGATCACTCAAGTAGAATATCAGCTCCCCAAACACAAACTCATCCTCAAAGTCTTCTCCTTTTGTGTCCTGTGGCACCAAGCACAGTGCCAGGCACACTAGAGGCATTGGATAAACATGTGTGCAACTAGGCAAATCAAAACAATGGCCAGAACAAAAATCATCACAGCAGAACCAGAAGGCAAGATTCAGGTTCTGAGACAGAGTTTGCGTCAGGAAGTGAACATCAGGCAGGGAAAGATAGTTGAAGCTCTTACTAACTTTGAATTCTCTATCTCCCTGTCCAGCCCTCCCTGATCAATAATCCAATCTTGGGATTCAGTCAAGATAAACTAAAATGTCAGCAAGCTAACAGTAGACTGTGATCTTTTGTCTATTTCTTCAGAGCATAGCACTATGTTTGGCACATTGTAAGGGCTAAACAATGTTTATTGCTTAAACCATCTGAGCTCTTATATAATAGAGACAAACTTCAAGAGCTGTTGGAAGGATTAAATTAGAATTCAAAAGGTTAAATTAAATTAGAATTAGAAGCCACTAATTCAGAGAAAGCACTAAATAGATGCTAGTTCCCTTCCTGTTTTCAAGAGGAGTCTTTTCTTTCCTACTTCCTCTCTCCTTCCCTCCTACCTCCCTCCCTTTTCTTTTCTTTCTTTTCTGTCTTTCTCCCTTTCTCTTTTTCTCTTTTCATCTTCAGCAAACACAATTATTTTGAATGTATGCCCCTTTTCAAAGAGCACAAATCTGTCATCTGACGTCAGTGACAAGTCAATGTGCCATTGCATGCCCAACAAGTATTATTTTTTCACCAAAAAATATGGAGCACATTGATGGGCTTCTTTTTACCATAAGCAATATTGAGCAGTAAAACTTTTTCTTCTCTCTGTTATTTGTTGTTAGTTTATGTAAACCAAACTTAATAACCTACAAGATTAAATTGTTAATGGTAAACAGTGATAAATGGCCCAAGAAGATGGAAGAGATAAGAGGAGCTTAGTATAATTTTTGAAAATGTGAGCACCAAAACCTTATGTTTTCACAAAGACGCTATACAATCAATTCTAATAACATCACCTACCACTTTTCAGAGTCATAGTCTACGTTTGCCTTCATAACCCACTTTTGCATAACAGACTTACCCAGAATGCTTCTTGTAGTGTTTTTTTTTGGGGGGGGGTGGGGGGTGAAGATTTGGCTTTATGGATGCTTTAAAGTTGCACTACATGAGTCATATAAAACTCTCCTCTGTCCCCTCCATCTGGGGAGAAAGGAGGAGAGAAGTGAAGAGGGGATGGAGCCAGGGTAACCAAGGGTAGGAGTGGGGGAGGGATGATGAGATTTCATAGCTTGCCAAACATTATAGAAGTCCAAAGGTTGATTTTTTGGCATCAGTTTTACCCAAGCGGAAAAATTCCAATTTTCTCTACTTGGTCCTTTCTCTCAGAGGAAATGCACCAGTTTTGTTGGACTCAAGTAAATGCATCTCCTTTTCTTAATTTTCATGTGCTGGATTCAATACTAATTTACATCCACATTTGTGCCGGAGATCTCAAAAATCTGCTGTTGTTTCCTTCCCAAGCTGTAAGGCGGGGGTTGTTGGGGGGAGCGGAGGAGTGGAGTTTAGCACGAGGGAAAGGAGAGAGGGAATGTGGTTGGAAAAGTGAGGAGAGAGAAGAAAGAAAAACTTCACCCAGTAAGCATTTTCCATACTTAATAATTTGATTTTGAAGGCTAGTCATATCAAAGAGCAAAATATTCAATATTGTTAATTCAGTTTTGCAAAATATATTCTTAATTTAAAAATGATTTTGCTCCGGGTGGTAGTGCAGTAATAAAGCAGTTATTGACCAGATCTTATTGATTGTAGAGTCTGCGGGCAAAGAGCACTGACCTCACTCACACTCTTATTGCTTCCTCCCTCCCTGGCCTTCTTCATCTATGCTCGCTCAATAATATATTATTAATATATATTTTTAGCAAAAACAGTATGTTACAAGGTTAAGGACTTCTTAATGATTTTTTTCAAGCTACTCTCTGCCTTTGGGGTGTTAGGAGAAGAATAAACTCAGTAACCAAGTGTCTGGATATAAATGTCTTTTCGTGGAAATACTTTACCCACCACTGGGAAGCATGTTGTCACCAACCACTTCTTCTGTCACATAGGGCAGAAAGAAAAGACTACCTAAGCCAAAAAGGGTTGCAGCTTGGGCAATGGTGTAAGTATAGAGAAGAAAACACACATGGCTCCAAAGACCAAATTCAGGACATGTCTGTGTCTCTTCCAGGAAAGGAACTCTGAGCCCCAGAGGAGAGAAATCTGTAGTCATAACAAACTCAATGACCAGTGGTGTCCAAATCCTTCCACTCCTTCTGGAATCTCTTTCATGAGGCTTTCCCCAGCAGCTTCCTGACCATCTTCTTTATGTCACAGTCATGTATGTCATGCAGCAATTGCTTACCTTCAGCATTTGCACATAAACTATCTTGCACGTCTGCCTGGGGTTTTTCCCAGGTTGGCCATATTTCCCTAATAAACATGTAAGTACTTTGAAGGCAAATACTATGCCACATGCTCCTTCAATATCCCTTCTGGACCTGTCATGTGCTAGGTTCACAGAAAGCATCTGGTAAATAATTATCAAATTGGAGTGTAAAGGATGTGCACCTCTGTACTGAACTTCCTTTCAAAGAAAGCAAGAAAACAGAGCAGCATAGTATAGTTTCCTTCTGCCCTTCACCCTGGAAACCCCGCGAAGCATGTGTTTTACTTGTCTCCACCTGTGCACCAGGTGAGGGAAAGAAGAGTGGGGACTGTTAAGTCAGATGAATGTGGTAGAGACCGATCTCACCCTGTTGCATTATGAAGTAGAGTGTTTGGGTGGGCAGTTTGCTCTCACGTCATGTATGAAGAAAGAGGAAAACGCAGTGATCACACCGCCCAAATGCTGAATTCAGAGAGGCTAGCAAATCCCCAAGTGCACGGAGAGATTAGAATTGAAAGTGAATGGACATGATCATCATCTGCTACTTCTGACTGTACGACTCCACCCACATCTCCTTGCATTGCACTCATAAATGTGGTACTTCCTCAGATGACAGAACAGACAGGTTTAAAAAAAAAAAAAAAAAAAACCTGAATTTCTCTCATACCATTCACACTGTCTATGCCCACGCTTGGGTTCCTGCTTCTACAAAGAAGTCAGACCATGAAATCCAATATTCATAAAGAGTGGGAAAGATGGGACAGGATCCAAATCTCTTATTTGCTGGTGGTTTCACAGCCTGCTGAGAAGGAATGAAGAAGACACCAGTGATGCAGTGATGAGACATCGTGACCTAACAAAAACAATCCAGATGAACAAGGAGGAATTCTGGGCTTTCCCTACTTAGCTGTGTGGTAACTGGCAAGCCACTCATCTTGCCATTTGAGGTCCCAGCAGGCATCAGCTGCTTACTCAAAGAGTTTAATAGAGAAGAATGCAGGAAAGAACTTTTTATAGATATGTGGGGAGAATTCAGGGAACCAGTAAGAAATGGCAAAGGGGCTAGCATCCACACTAAGTCTTTAACAGCTGTAGATCTGAATGGGGCAAGATGATTCAAAAAGGTTGCTGAAAAATAGTGGAAGGTGTAGGTGTGGAAAAGCAGCCACCAATAGCAATGTGGCCATCTATGGGAACACAGGTACTGCCACCACCAGACAGGTGGTAATAAAACCTCAACCTCTGCCTCCTAGTGCCGTCTAATCTCACATAAAATCTACAAGGGATGAAGGGGTCCCTTGAGGTCAGCCTACAAGAGCAGAGAGCCAGGCAAAGCAGCAAGGGGAAATGGATCTGGAAGAGCAAACCAATGAATAGCCCCATCTTTTTGCCTCACTTTCTATTTTTTCACACAGCAATAATTATGCAACCCTACCTACTCCATAGGGTTCTCTTAAAGATTGTGTGTAATCATAGCTGTGAATGCGCTTTGTTAAAGTTTCCAGCCTGGCACAGATGCTGCGTTGGAGAAGACCTGCTCCCTCTGCTCTCTGTGGAGTCCTCCACCCACGCCCACGCCCAGGCTACCCCACCCCCAACCAGAGCCCGAATGATGTGAACAGAGCAGAACAGGGCTCTGCAGGTGGCAGGGAGGGGGGAGCTGCACACGCAAGGAAATAATAGAGACTGGATTGTTTATGCTTGTGAGAAAGGGCGCATGAATATGGATAAAACCCTGTGCACATTTTGCTAATTACCCAGCATCAGTGTTAAAGGAGAAAAGAGCCCACTGCAGATTTTCAAGCCAATTCCATCCCTTCAAGCCCACCCCCACCTTTGCACACACGCAAACACACACGTGCACACACACACACACATCACTGCTGCCACCACCACCACTGCCACCACCACCATTTTCTCTCCTCTCATATAAATAACTGACAATGTTCCCCTGAATATAAACCACATGGACCCACTAAAGCTACATGCAAATTGACAGAAGATTCCAATCCTGCATCATGCCAGAGAGCTCAAGGAAGAAAGTCCTATCCTGCGGTCTCAGTTGGCAGGAGCCTCTGTCCTACAATTTCCTGACCCGGTCAAAGCAACCTTATAACCTCACGGGCAAAGACATGAGATGAATCAAGAGGGTTAAAGCAGTGGAGAGACAAAGAATCACACAGAAGTGGAGGCCATTTCTACAGAGAGCCGAAATCATGGAACAAAAGAAAAAAAATCCTCAGTCTTTGGTTCCAGTCTAAATTGAGGCCTCTTTCCTTTTGCTGCCCACCAGAACTTGATTGATCAAACTCTGGCAAGATGTTTGGAGTTGTGCAAACCCAGCTCTGAGCAAAGTTAAGATGGGAGTTCTATCCTTTGTTTCCTGGAAGCTCCTGGACTCCTCCAGACATCCCCCAGGTAATTGTCAGCTGATTCATCTAAACATCAGCAGAGATTGGGGCAGTTGGGAAAAGTGCTCAGGGGAAGGGCCTATTCAGGATACAGATGGAGGGAGGAGCTCAAGCCAGCTGGCTTTGGTCCTGACGTCCATCACCAAAGGCTGCCAGGGAACACACTGCACCTTCATCTCAAGATCATTGAAGCTAAGAGGTGGTCAGTGATCACCTGTCCTGAGCTACATGCTTTAGGGCAGTCACAAAGATACAGTCTTTTTATATTAACCCCTATATTTGTTCTCTGCAAAAAAATAAAAATAAAAAGGCAGTCAGATGCACTAGAAAGGCACCGTCCTGGGAATCTGGAAACCAAGGTTCTTATACTGGCTTCATCCCATGTAGCTGTGTGACTATGACTAAGCCATTTAGCTCTTCTGGGCCTCAGTCCTACAGTTCTCTTCATCTGTTAGATTTTAAAAGCTTGGCCTAAAGGACTCTCACTGTTCTAAACTTCAAAAACTCTATAAATAACAATGCCAGTAGCTAACACAGATTAAGTTTCTCCTATGTGCCAGATATTATTTTACATACCTTCACTCAATATTTCTCAACAACTGAATGAGTTATGTTATCTTCATTTAATAGATAAGAAAACCAAGTCCCAGAGAAGTGAAATCATTTTCCTGAGTTGGTAAGTGAAGTGGTAGGGTGAGAATTTGAACCCTACAACAGCATATTGATTGTATAGCATTTCTATTAAAAGCACAGACATTTTTCCAATTTTTTTATAGTGGTAAAATCATATAACATAAAATTTACTATCTTAACCATTTGTATGTGTACAATTCAGTGACATAAATTACATTCATATTGTTGTACGACTATCACCACTATCGGTTAAACAATAACTCCCCGTTTTCCTTTTCCCCAGCCCCTAGCAACCACCACACTACTTTCTGTCTCTATAATTTTGACTACTCTAGCTACCTCTTAGAAGTAGAATCATATAGTATGTGTCTTTTTGTCACTGACTTATTTCACTTAGCATAATGTCCTAAAGGTTCACTTCTGTTGTAGTATTGATCAAAGTAACCTCCCTTTTTAAGGCTGAATAATATTTCATTGTATGCATAAACCACATTTTGCTTATATCCATTCATCTGTCCATGGACACTTGCATTGCTGCCACATTTGGCTATCATAAATAATGCTGCTATAAACACGGTTGTGCAAATATCTCTTAGAGACCCTGCTTTCAATTCTTTTGGATATATACTTGGAAGTGGAATTGCTGGATCATATGGTAAATCTATTTTTAATTTTTTGCGGAACCATACTATTCTCCACAGCATCTGTACCATTTTACATTCCCACCAATGGTGCACAAGTGTTCTCATTTCTTCACATCTTCATGAACACTTTTTGTTTTCTCTGTGTGTGTTTGATAGTCGCCATCCTAGTGAGTGAGTATAAGGTATCACATTGTGTTTTGATTTGCATTTCCCTAATGATTAGTGATGCTGAGCATCTTTTCATGTGTTTAATCAGCCATTCACACACCTTCTTTAGAGAAATATCTATTCAAGTCCTTTGCCCAGTTTTGAATTGGATTGTTTGGGTTTTTGATGTTGAGTTTTAGAAGTTGTCTGCATAGCGTGGTGTTAGTACCTATCAGATACATGATTTGCAAATATTTTCTCCTATTTTGTGGGTTTGCCACTTTACTGCATTGATAGTGGTTTTTTTCATACCAGAGCTGATATCTGATGATAGTGTCTTTGGATGCACAATGTTATATAATGAAGTTCAATTTGTCTATTTTTTCTTTTGTTGCCTGTGCCTCTGGTGTCATATCCAATAAGTTACTGCAAAATTCACTGTCATGGGGATTTTGCTCTATGTCTTCTGCTAAGGGTTCTGTAGTTTTAGGTCTTACATTTGGGTCATGGATCGATTTTGAGTTAATGATTGTGTATGGTGTTAGATAAGAGTCCAACTTTATTCTTTCGCATGTAGATATCCAGTTTTCTCTGCACCGTTTGTTGAAAAGACTGTCTTTTCCCCCACTGAAGGTCTTGATGCTTGTCAAAATCATTTGATCACATATATATATAAGGGTTTATTTATGGACCCCATACTCTATTCCTTTTGTTTATCTGGCTGTCTTTATGCCAGTACCACACTGTTTTGATTAGCTTTATGGAAAGTTTTGAAATCCAGAAGTGTGAATCCTCTAGCTTTTTTCTTTTTCGGGATTATTTTGACTATTTGGGGTCCCTTAAAATTCTATGTGGATTATGAATTTTAGAATGAGTTTTTCTATTTCTGCAAAAAAAAACATTGGAATTTTTAAAGGGATTGCATTAAATCTGTAGATCACTTTGAGTAGTATTGACATCTTAACAATATTAAGTCTTCCAATCCATAAATGTAGGGTGTCTTTCCATTTATTTATGTCTTCTTTAATTTGAAAAGTGTGGGCTGTTCATCAATATGCTTTTCTATCTAGACTCAAGATTCCTTAGTCTAGTGTTTCTTCTACTACACTAAATAGCTCCGTGTCACTTTTCTGGAGGTATTCATTCATCTCCAGCTCAGTCTCAGAAAAAATCAAGAAAGGGCATTGCACCATGATCCAAAACTTCTGAACAAGTTCTGGTGGTTATTCCATCTTTAGTGGGCTGATATGGGCAAAATAGAACTTCTAGGTGAAAGCTGGTCTCCAGCTCTGGCATACACATTCTACACAGTTAATACTCAGTAAATGTTGCACATACATTGTACCCTGCAGATACTCAACAAATGCTTAGCACAATACCTAGCATACATTAAGTACTTGATAGAATCCTGGTACAGAGATTAGGAAACATGGCAAAGACTATCAGTTGGAATGGATGAGAAAGTTATTAAATGACATCAAAAATAAGATTAGATAATAAAGTGTACGAAGGCATTGTATTATTAACACTGGTAACTTCAAGCCATAGGATAACTCCTCCACCCCTGTTCCACCACTGACCCTATCCAGAGCCACCCATCTAAACCCACACTGCCTCCATGTGCCAAAAGAGAAAATTATCCCCTAAAACCAAAGCCTCCCTGGGCCCAGACATACTGCCATATTTCTGCCTTGGACTTTATATCTAACTTTTCAGCAGGGGAGGCTAGAGCTGATTGGATTATAGGAATACAAATGGATTAATTTGGGGTGGATTAGATACATCACAAAACATAAGTTTGACTTGCATTAACATAAAAATGTCATAAAAATGTAGATGCTGAGGCAGAGCTTATTTGTGATGCTGCTAATGCATTGTTACTCCAGCAAAAGATGTACACAATATTTACGCTGTATCTGACCACATAAAACATGCCATATACATATGCAATTTTTCATTATGTCGAGGGAAAAGAGCCAGAGGGCCCTTTAGAATTCCAATTCTTGGGCTTCTGATTTTTCATTCTTTTTTAAATTTTTTTCTTTATTTTCAAGAAACAAATACAGTTTTACCATCATTACTGTATTTTGAACAGTTAATATTTCATATCGTGACATCTCTACTCAGAGGTAACAGGTTTAGTTGATTACTATTTGTTTATAGAGCTGGAGAAACCTGCAATCACAGGGAACATAGAAGGATTGCAATTAGATCCATTGGCTGAGAGCTGCACCTCGCTGACCCACGGTTAAGTGGTTAGCGCTATCAGAGAGAAAATGCCTACTGGCAGCTGGCACATCTGCACATAATAATACGGGCAAAACTGACACGGCCACTAAAGGCTGCTGCTCTCCTCTTTACCCACAAGCTGAAAACAGATCATGCTTTTTAATAGTGCATCAACACATTTCTTCTGAATTAGCATAATCGTGTGAGTTATGGGAGGAAACGGGTACATCCTGGCTAAGCTGCTGTGAATTCTTCAATGTATTCAAATAACTTTTTATTTGAATATGGGGGGATATTCAAATTATGAGGTCCCCTCCCATAAACCTGATTCTATACCTAGCTCATATTTTATTAAAAAGAGAAAGGAGAGGGAGACAGCAATAGGAGAAAGAGAGTTAATCTAAGTGTTTTTAACAAAACAAGTAATGCCCCATATGTAGCCAATGTGGATACACATCACCTGAGGTAGAGGAAGGGGAGTGGTTAGCATAAATGCACAAACAGGATTCTATCAGAATTGCAATGCCAGTGGCAATGTTGGTGATAACTGATTTTAAATAAGACCTCATTGTGTGCCTGGTACTGCATGAAGACTTTACAGGAGCTATCAACTCTCTGGCCAACACTTTTATAGCCAAGTATCCCAGCTCATCTCTCTCCACCCATCATTTTTGTAGTTTCCAAGATGAACAGGATTGGGCAACTCAGCTGAAGATGCTCTAGCAGGTTTGGAAGGATGACCTCTAGACAGCAGGCCAAGAACATTTCCATGCTGCTCTGAAACAAGAAAGGGTGTCCAGGGTACTGGTGGCCTCTTACCCCCCACCGGGGGCACACAGAAGCCATAGGTGGTCTCTGGAATGTTATCAAACCAGCTGCCTTCTGAGTCTGGCCCTCTTGTGTCCCAAGAATATCACTATCCTATTGTAAAGGTAAGAGTTAAACTTTAATCCTTTGGAATGGTGATTCTAGTCCTTCGGTCTCCACCACATGGAGTGTCAATTGTGACTGGGCCCAACTGGCCAAAGCATCATATTTATTCACTCATAGGGATTCATTTAGCCATTCATTCTTTTATTTAAGATTTTGCACTGTAAGTCTTTAACAAAAAGAGAAGATTGTTGAAAAAACTGAAAACAAGAAATAAAAGAAGAGCCACAACAAAAAAAGGTTTTGCGATAGACTAAGATGCTGACAAAACAGACTTTAAACAGTACTTTGAAAATTATTCGTTGTGCATTCCAGATTCTGGGAAAATAATTAACAATGAAATAAATACATACTCAGCACCAGGGAAAATTCATACAAAATTTTTGAGGCTCCTTATAAGTTAAATTCACTTATATTACCAGTATGCTAGGAATCCCAGTTTGCACACAGGTAGAAATATCCTACAACAGGAAAGCTAGATTCCAAGGAAAATAAGTTATTTTCCAAGAAATTTTCAAGTTATTTTTCATGCTGGAGCAAACTGGTACCTAGACTTCCCAGAAGAGCCCAATAACAACCCAGCAAGACATCCACAAGAGCATCCGCTAGTAGGTAGCTGAGCTGGGACTAGAATCATAGTTTGCCATACATATAAGTATGCATTCTTGACATGTGTTAGGTGTAATAGACATAAAAATTGAAGGCATATGGTCACTGCCTTCAATTTTTATAAAGTATAATTCTGTACAAAAATACTTAAATCATTAAATAAGACAAGATTTGAAAACAACTTCACTTTCAGACCTCTTCAAATCCACAACCTCAGTCATAAAGCAAATCTTAGCAAATTTCAAAGAATTTCAATGGTCACAGCCTCTAAGCACAATGCAATTAAACTAATTTTAAAAAAAAAAAACAAAAATGGAAAACTCTTATATAGCCCTGACATATAACCAATTGAAAGTCTGGAATGACAATAAAAAGATGATGAAGTAGAGACAGTATGTAAAAATAAGAATGATAATGGAAACAAAAACTTACCAACACTAATAAATCAGATTCAAAATGTAGAATACATCCTGAGCTCAAAAAAATAAAAAGAAATACACACCTAGATACATGATTGTGATAATATTGTATACCAAAGACAAGAAGTAGATTTTAAAAGCAGCCAGAGGAAGCAATAACATTATTTCAGAGGAATGACAACTAGACTAACAGCTGAGCACCCGGCAGTAGCAATAGCATCCTGAAGCAGTGGGGTAAGTATCTTCAAATTGTTGATGAAAATATCTGTCATGTTTATCTAGAATTGAATGCCCTGTTAAGATATCTTTCTAATGTCAGGAAAGAATTTTCAAACAAACACAAGCCAAGAATTGCTACCAATGAATGTCTACCAAAGGAGATCCTACAAGATATGTTTCAAGCTAAAGAAAAATAATCTTAGATTATTAGATTAAAGGTTTGTGATGCAAGAAGGAATGTTTTCTGATGGCAATGTAACATGTCAATTTGACTAGGATAAACTACATTTTTCAAATTCTGTAGAATTCCCTTTCTTGTATGTTCCCAGGTAGGGTGGGTAACAAAGAAAGTTTCAGGAAATTTTGGAGGACAGCACAGTCCCCTTGTAATTGAAGCACACTGTTGCTGATCTGCTGACTCACTTCATTGGTGTGAAGCAGCTTGGGACCTGCAACTGCCCTACTTTCCCTTGGATTCTCCTTCAGCTTCTCTGAATGGTGGACCAGACGTGTATGTTTAGCTTCATGACAAAGGGCATCATGTTCTGCAGAACACTCATGCTGCCAAGGTCAGAGGCACCAAGAACTGATACGAGTTTCAGTCCAACTTCACAAGTTTCCAGCTTGTACTTGTGGGGCCGAGCTTGCTCTTCATCTCCCTCACTTTGCATTCATCTTTCCTTTCTGACCACTTGGGGACTTCAAGCTCCAACAACAAACACGAAGACAACAGGCTTACAGAGCCTACCTAATAAGGTCCTACAATTGATTAAAGCCAATTCCCTATGACAAATCCCTTATATAACATATATGTGTACAATATATATGATTATACATTGCCTGGTGAAAATCACATATCATGCTGACTTTGAATTTGTGGGTATTAAGTTAAAGTGTATAATATAACTATATGTCCTATTCACATTATTTCCTTCTTTCTGTTTCCTTTGGAATCATTCTAATATTAGTATACATTGTTAAGTTGGATGCTTAAATCATTCATTTTATTACGAATGTTTAAAACTAAATATTACAAATGTTAACAACTAAATATTACAAATGTTTACAACTAAATATTTTAAACACTAAATATTTAATGATGCTTTAGCATCATTCCATAGAGTAGTAAATATGTGGATAAATCTAAACAAATATTATTTAAAATGTAACAATAATAATTATGTCTTCTACAGTTTTAACAATCAGATGGGACTTAAACACATGACAAAAATAACATATTAGTTGGGAAAGTATTATAACAATACTTAAGTGTTAAAACTTAAGACGTAAGTTTATATATTATTCAGAAAGAGGATAAGGATTTTGATTAATTTTAGACTTTAGTAAATCAACTATTTGTGTTAAAATTTCTAATTAGAATGGGAATAGAGTTTACAATTGTTAAAGTACAAAGAGAACAAGAAAGAAAAAAGAATCAGCCCCAAAGTAGACCACAGAGGAAAGAAAGAAACAGACAGGTAGAAAAAATAGAAAACAACCCAGGCACAGTGGTTCATGCCTGTAAGCCCAGCACTTTGGTAGGCCGAGGTGGGAGGATCACTTGAGCTCAAGAGTTCAAGAGCAGCCTTAGCAACATTGCTTGACCTCATGCTGGGCATGGTAGTGCATGCTATTAGTCCCAGCTACTCAAGAGGCTGAAGTGAAAGGATCACTTGAGCCCAAGAGATCGAGGCTGCAGTGACCTATGATCATGGCACTGTGCTCCAGCCTGGGCAACAGAGCAAGACCCTGTCTCAAAAAAAAAGAAAGAAAAGAAAAAATAGAAAGTGCAAAACAGCGTGGTAGAAGAGAGTCAAAATTTATCAGAAACTGAATATAAGGCAGAATAGGGGCCTGTGGACCTGAAAAATAAATAAGCTTGAACAGCTACTTCACTAAATCTATAGATGGTACCAGAATTGGTATCATGACAAGTCAGGGCCAAGTAAGAGCTTCAGATGAGAAAAACACAAAGAGCCTCAGAGAAACAACCCATAGTCTGATAGTAGAATGCAGGAGGCTATCAAAGAGAAGCACAGTCATGAAACCACATTCCTAGAGGGTAAAAAAAGACCAAAAAAAAGGAACTTCTGGAGAATGTCCTAGTTTCCAGGAATCACAGCTTCTCTTCCTGCAGCCAACTTCTATAAGACACAGGACACATCAGAATGTACAGCACCTTTCTGAGAATTAGAAAAAAGGTATGCACTCTTAGCAAACCAATTGGAACAAGGCAGCTCAACTAGGAAAAAAAAATCATAAGTAAAGTCAAAAGACAAACAAAAATTGGGAAAAAATATTTAAAGAATGTTAAGAACCCCACACTTGCACAGGCACATATGTGGGTGGATAAGTGTGTTTATGAGTAAATTAAGAAAAATGTAAAAAAAGATATAAATATATTTAAAGAACTTCTAAAAGTTGATTTAAAAAGCAAAAATCATAGAAAAAAATGAGCAAAATATATGAACAAACAATTCCTCGGAATATATAAAAATAGCTCTGAAACATGCAACATTCAACCTCATTCCAAGTAAGATAAATGCAAATAAAGATACAATGAAATATCATTTCTCACTCATCAGGTTGACAGAAAATCAAAATCCTAACAACTCACTCTATGGCAATGTTACCAGGATTCACTCTCATACATTGCTGGTGGAAACTCAAAGTTGTATAGCCTGTATGAAAGGAAACTTGTCAATTTCTAACAAAAATTGCATGTACATTTTACCCTTCAACCCAGCAATTCCACTTCTAGTTATTTACCCTGTAGTTACACCTCTGACAATACAAAAATACATACACATCAACTTAATGCAGCAGTGTTAGTAATTGCAAAATACTGAAAACCATCTACATGCCCAAACATAGGAGATGAGTTAGACTTTGGCATATACACATAATGAAGCAACTATTTAAAAACAAGCACACAAAACAGGAAGATCTTTATGAAGAAATATGGAACAATTTTTTGTGTGTATTGTTAAGTGAAAGAGTAACGTACAAAAAGGTGTTCTGTATGCTATGTTTTATACATGAAGGAGGGCAGTCAAGCATACACAAATATGTTTTTGTTGGGTTTTTTTTTTTTCAAAACAAAAACACAGAAAAGATAAAACAGGAAACAATAAAACTGGTAACCTACACAGGTAAGACTGCTGCAAAAGTCATTGTGGTTTTTGCCATTACTTTTAATGGCAAAGACTGCAAGGACTTTTGCACCAACCTAATAAAAGTTTGGGTTAAAGGAATAAGAGCAGATGAAACTTCTCTCAGTGTGCTTTTGTATATAATTTTGATTTTTAGACATGTGCTAATGTTTTAATATTCAAAAGATAAAATTAAATGTAATTAATTGAATTTTTAATCTTCAAAAGATAAAATTAAAAGTAAAATATTAAAATTGAATGAAAACAGAAAAAATAAATCTATTTTTAAAATTAATAATATAAATATACTGAATGATATTTTAACAAAGGACTAATGCAAGTGACACAGCACAGGCAGGCAAGCTCTAAAATTGGGGCTTAGTCCGGGAGGGTTCTTGGCTTTGCCCAGGAAGGAATTCAAGGGTGAGACAGTGGAGTTAGACAGCAATCTTTTATTGAACTGGAGCTGCTCCTGTGGAGCAGGGGTGACTCATACACAGTGCACCCAGAGCCACATCTGTGGGCTATTGCAAACTATATTTATATCCACTTATATTCCACTTTTTTCATTATTATTTTTCTTTTTTTTTTTTTAGATATATGTATTAGTTCATTTTCATGCTGCTGATAAACACATACCCAAACTGGGAACAAAAAAAGGTTTAATTGGACTTGCAGTTCCACATGGCCGGGGAGGCTTCAGAATCATGGCGGGAGGCAAAGGCTCTTCTTTCATGGCTGTGGCAAGAGAAAATGAGGAAGAAGCAAAAACAGAAACCCCAGATAAACCCATCAGATCTCGTGAGACTTATTCGTGAGACTTATTCACTATCATGAGAAGAACACAGGAAAGACCAGCCCCCATGATTAAGCTACCTCCCCCGGGTCCCTCCCACAACACATGGGAATTCTGGGAGATACAATTCAAGTTGAGATTTTGGTGAGGACACAGCCAAACCATATCAATATACAATCATTTTGTGTTTTATTTTTTTAACTTTTATTTTAGGTTTGGGGGTACATGTGAAGGTTTGTTACATAGGTAAACTCATGTCATGGAGGTTTATCGTACAGATTATTTCATTGCCCAGGAACTAAGCCCAGTACCCAATAGTTATCTTTTCTGCTGCTCTCCCTCCAACCACCATCCCCCATCAAGTAGACCCCAATGTCTGTTATTTCCTTCTTTGTCTTCATAAATTCTCATCATTTAGCCCCCACTGAGAGCATGTAGTATTTGGTTTTCTGTTCCTGTGTTAGTTTGCTGAGGAGAATAGCCTCCAGCTTCATTCATGTTCCCACAAAAGACATGATCTCATTCTTTTTTACGGCTGCATTGTATTCCATGGTGTATATGTACCACATTTTCTTTATCCAATCTGTCACTGATGGGCATTTAGGTTGATTCCACATCTTTGCTATTGTAAATATTGCTGTAATGAACATTTGCATGCATGTGTGTTTATGGGAGAATGATTTATATTCCTCTGGGTATATACCCAGTAACAGGATTGCTGGGTGGAATGGTAGTTCTGCTTTTAGCTCTTTTAGTAATCACCATACTGCTTTCCACAATGGCTGAACTAATCTACACTCCCACCAAAAGTGAAAAAACATTCCTTTTTCTCCACAACCTTGTCAGCATGTTATTTTTTGACTTTTTGATAATAGCCCTTCTGACTAGTATGAGATGGTATCTTATTGTGGTTTTGATTTGCATTTCTCTAATGATCAGTGACACTGAGCTTTTTTTCATATGCTTGTTAGCTGCATGCATGTCTTCTTTTGAAAAGTGCCTGTTCTTATCCTTTGACTGCTTTTTAATGGGGTTGCTTTTCTCTTGAAAATTTGTTTAAGTTCCTTATAGATGCTGGATATTAGACAGTTGTCAAATGCATAGTTTGCAAAAATTTTATCCCATTCTGTAGGTTTTCTGTTTACTCTGTTGATAGTTTCTTTTGCTGTGCAGAAGCTCCTAAGTTTAATTAGATCCGACTTACCAAATTTTATTTTGTTGCAATTGTTTTTGGTGTCTTTGTCATGAAATCTGCCTGTTCCTATCCAGGATGGTATTGCCTAGGTTGCCTTCTAGGGTTTTTATAGTTTTCGGTTTTGCATTTAAGTCTTTAATCCATCTTGAGTTGATTTTTGTATATTACACCTTCTTTCAATTACATACAAATTAAGAGATAAGTTACTGCAAATTGAGGGGTGGGCTATTCAGAACTTTCTAGGAAAGAGATGGTAACTTCTGAGTCATTGCCATGGAAAGGGGCAGTAACTTCTGGGTTGTTGCCATGGCATTTGTATAGTGTCGTGGTGCTGGTGGGAGTGTCTTATGCTAATCAGTAATGAGGAATACTAGGAATAACCTTTTGTCACCATCTGCTGGTTCCTGACAGTTTCTTTACTTATTCCATCAGAACAGGGCAATAAATCCTGTGGTCTCCTCCCTCACAAGTAAGTTTTGAACACAGTACTTTGATGTAGACCTTAAATCTAGGGAAAAATAAAACTACAAACAAATCTTGGACTCCTCTTAACTTTGTTTTTATAGCAGTATGTGCATAGCAATTTTGAAAGTATTATATGTGTATCATAGGATTGAGCAAATGAGTAAACATGTTGATGTTTTGGGGATCTGAAGTTCTCAATGTGGAAAAGACACAAATATAGAATAAGAATAAGAAAAAATACAACTCTGTGGGGGAATATTAATTAAAGGTATGGGTATAAACTTCTTTCATAGTCTAGCTTCATCTGCTAAAAAGACCTAGAAGTAATTGCATGCCAATAACAGTGAGCACAGCTAGCATTTGGATTTTGGTTTCTAAATTCCATTCTCCTCGGAAAGGAACCAGGGGTCTCCCTGGAGAAATAGACTATTGCATGGCTGGGACAGAGATAATACAAGATAAGCCTAGAACATCCTCTTACTCCAGAAAGTAAGGAAGTCCTTCAAAAAATGAGGGAAACATGTCAAAAAAACATAGAAGCAGCTTGAAAAATCTCCCCACGGGTCACTGATCATTTGAGCATCAAAATGAATAACAGATTATAATCCACTGTAAAAAGTAAAAATTCATGAGTCCATATTGATTATAAATAGAAGAATATACATATAAAAGAAAAGGGAGGGCTTTTTCTTACAATAGAATGCTGACTGATCAATTTGAAGGACATGTTAGAGATGAAAAGTCACCATATTAAACCATCAATGAGCAGGAATTATAAATGGCTGTTAAATTTTGGGTTCAAAATTTGATGAGTCATAAACTGTGATCTTAAAGTGTGTCCCCACAGATTGTTTAATCATTACAAGGCTTTTTTTTAAAAAAACTCACTACACAGTGCAGAAACCAGACAATATTTTGATCCGGTTATCAAAATTAACCTCAACAATAAGGATCAGACAGATCATGTGTCTCTACTTGAGTTACTCTGAGAAGCACACAATATCACACATATAGAATTCTGGCCAAGAATTCTGCATAACCTTTATCTCCTCATGGAAAATTATCAGATAAACCTGAACTGAAGAATGTTCTATAAAATAACTGGTCTGTGTTTTACAAAAATATCAGTATAATGAAAGACAAAGAAAGGTTAAAGAAATACTGCATTCACAACTAAAAGAGAAAAAACACACAACTAAATACAATACATAAGGCTGGATTGGGTCTTGTACTTAAGGAAAAAATAATATTATAAAGAATGTTATTGGTATAATTGACAAAATTAAAATAAGGACTATCAAGTAAATAAAAGCATTATGTCACTGTTAGGTTTCCTATTATTTGATAACTATATTCTGGTTACATAAGAAAATATCCTTGCCTTTAGGAAATACACACTGAAGTATTAAGGCACAAAGAATATGACACCTTCTTTCAAATGATTCAGAAAACAATACAATAGATAAAACAAATGTGCCAAAACATTAAAAATTGTTGAATCTTGGTAAAAGGTGTATAAGTGTTCTCTGCATTATTCTTGCAACTTTCCTCTAAGATTGAAATTATTTCAAAATAAGATTTTTTTTAAATAACATACGAAAGTGAGGAAAGAGAAAAGAAAATGGTGCCCTCTACAGCCCCATGTCAGAGTTAGCAATACTGAATTTCAGCACTACATTCCCCTTAGGGCACCTTGCACAATCCGCAGGAGTAGAATAAAAGGGGTGGGTTAGCATCTTTAAAGATCCCTATACTCAAATGATTGCTGCCCCTATAATTACAAGGGGAGGAGGACTCCACTTACCATAGACAATCAAAAATTTCCCATATCCAAATCCAAGAGTTCAGAATGTGTGAGTCTTTCAGATTGTCACTCTGAACAGATCTGATCAGTCCATGTTAAGAGTCTGAACTCAAACACAACCATATTGACAACTGCTCTCTTGGTCCCTTAGAAACCTCATAGACAAGGTAGAGAAAATCCAATAATAGACCACAGTAGTAAACTTCTCTATCCAACTGAGACCTTTTCTTGAGATTTCTTCCCAGGTCCCTAGTCTTGGGCAATGTACAAGTTAATTAAAACAATGAGCATTTGGAGGGAAGAAATCTTGGAGTAGAATCTAGACCCAGCAAAACTGGAAATAAGCCTGGTCTACTCTATTTCAGTAAGAACATGTCACTGCAAATCTTACTGGATCAAAGATAGCTAATCTACCTCCTAAGAATAGATAAAAGACAAGCAAGTCTTGAGTCAAAACTCTCTTGGGTGAAGCCAAAATATGCTTTGTTTAAATATTATTTTAATTATCTTGAGGTTACAAAGGAGTTAATACTTGTGTAACTAGATAAAGAAACTTCATTGAACAGTTTTGTAATCTACCTGCATGATAATTGGATGTTTTGCAAAGCCTAGAACCCAACAAGTGAATCCAAATGAGAAGGACATTATAGTGGTCTTTCTTGAAAAGTTGAGCTATTTAGGGAGCTCTGTCAAAACTACAGGGATAGTTTTAGGGGAAATTTTTAATTGGATGGAGGAAAATATATGTCCACGGAGTATTTAATAGAGCTAAAACCTCCTTGGAATCCCTCACCCACCCACTCTAGCTTGTCACCTATGGGGGACGAAAGCCTCAACAGAATAAAGGAACAAATAGACACTAACAGTGATTTTGATGAAAAACTAATTAGGAATATAACAAGGAGGTTGTCAATTCCTGCCAGAATTAAAATTACAGACCTTATCATGTTGGAAATATGAATACTAGAAAAGAACAATTCTCAGCTCACGCTTTGAATACTGCCACCTGGAAGAGAAAGAATGATGAATTAAAATACCCTGAAGGGAATCAGAGACTTGGGAAAACATGAAGTTTAGTGGTAAAGAGTACATATGCGGATATTCTGAAATAGATGCAAGAATGAGAGGCTGTAATGCCCTGTGTGTGACTCTTAGAGAGTCAGAGTGGGTGATGGAGCACATAGAACCAGAGCTGGAGCTAAGGCAACTGCTGACTCAAGGCAGAGTATCGAGAAGAAATGAAATGTATGTGGACACAGGGAGGGGAACATCACACACCAGGGCTTGTCAGTGGGTGGAGGGCAAGGGAACATTGGGACAAATACCTAATGCATGTGGAGCTTAAAACCTGGATGATAGGTCGATAGGTGCAGCAAACCACCATGGCACATGTATACCTATGTAACAAACCTGCACATTCAGCACATGTATCCCAGAACTTAAAGTAAAATTAAAAAAAAGAAATAAAATGTATATAGAGGTAAATGGGAAGAAGAACTTCAACACTGAAAGGAAAATGAACTGTGTTCTACAGGCCATAAGAAAAGTAGGCTTTTAATTCTGTCTTCGTGTTTTCCCAGAGTTAAACCAAATAGGTTTTAAGATTTTTTCTTTTTTTTTTTAACTGTAAGGAAATGTTGCAATTATATGCTAAATGAGACCTATGGTCAACTTTCTGTGCTTTATTTCTAAGATGGTAGAAACTTTGGCTGATTTGATTATATCCTTAGCCCAGGGACAGGAACCATAAGAGAATTCCCATTTTTTAGAGGAGAAGGGTAAATTCTAAGACAAGATTTAATGGCTACTTATTTAGCCACAGAAAGCTAATTCAAAGCCTTTTTGAAAATTGGGCTTCACATTGAGAAATCTTGCATTGGGGCTGGGCTCTACTGGGCAGCCCCTTCTCTATTCTCTGTCCTCACATGCCTCGGAAAAATGTATCTCTATTTTCTAAGATCATTTGTAGTTTTCTCTCCTCCCAAGTCCCCCATCAAGAGCTGGACGATGTTATAATTTTCTGTTACTAAAATTTTTATTTCTTTAAAGTGGTCATAAATGCTGGCTTGATGACAATCCAGAAATACTTCATATACTAAACACAAAAACTCACTATGAAAATTGCTTGGTTTATTTTTGTTTATGTTATTGAGTTCTTGCAAATGACACAGCTGAATGTTTATCCTACCATAGGGAAATGCATTTTGTTATTTGTATTTGTAGATTTTGGGTTTTTTTTTCCTAGTTTTGCTTTAAAAGATAAGGGCAATAAGGAGGCAACTTAAACAGACAGCCAGACCCTTCCCTAGCACCCCCTCCCACACACACAAATTTCAAATTTAGGAAAAAGTTACTTAACAACTTTTCAAAAATTTTTTTTTCATCAAGGTTTAAATAGCTCAAATTCAGTAATATTGAAACACAATTTGAGATAAACTAGACCTTCACCATTTTTTTCTATGCTGCCCCAAGACCTTTTCCTGGGATGGCTCTAGGAGGCCCATGAGCCTTCACCCCACCCTCGTGAAATAGGTCTCCTTGGATGTGGATGTCAGAGCAGGACGTGGATGTCAGAATGGACAGAGACAAAGAGGCCCAGTGAGAAGCAAAACAATGAGACCACAAGAGAAGGGCAGCTCTTGTTAATACCATTAGCGTATATAAGGCTTCTGAAATTATAGCGGCAATAGGCAATCTAACCAGATTTCAGGGAGACTGCTGTGAAATGGCAATTAAATCTACATGAATGAGTAAAGCAAATAATGGAGTCATAAGGGACAAGACATATGCATGTACAATCCCTTATTTTGCAATTAGATATAATAAATTAGAGTTTTGGGAGTTGTGCTAATAATTGGAATTACATACTTCTTGGCCACTGTTGGAAGGCATGTCTGCTCCAGACCTCAATTGAACCATTGTTGAGGCCTCACCTTGTCTTCTCCTTGATGGGAAGGGGGAATGTGTGAGCACCTGCATCATCATTTTATCCTTCTCTCTTTTCCATGACTCTGTCGGGTGAGAAGGTTGTGTTTTTCTAAAAGATGGCCGTTAGTCTCTAGCCCTCCAAACCTCATGACATTGAATGTTATAAAGAGGTGGCTGCTGGGCTTCCAAAAGTTGGCAAAGCCCACAGAGGAAACAAAAAATCCCAGTTGTATGTTTCTTCCTGGGGAGCAACATGCAATCAACTCATGGCAATCTCTTTTGAACACTTCCTTAGTGACAAAAATGTTTTAGATCATGAAAACATACATTCTTAGAAAGAAAAAAAAGCCTCACTGACCATAGATCCCAAAGAAAAACATCAGCAACAGATGACCTCATGCACCCCTTGGGCAGTTTCCATCCTTATGGTTGCTGAGACTGTAGTCACATGTCATTTTGGTAACATAAATCTAGAGAGGCCATAGACTGAACAGCAACATGTAGATTATAAAGAGTATGGGCTTTGGATGGAACTGGGTTCAAATCCTGTCTCCTCTCCCTGGTGACTGTGGGGTTTATCTCTCTCCAGTGCCAATCTCTATAAATAGGGATAAGAGTGCCTACATCACGAAGTCGTGAGGATTAAATAAAACCATGCATGCAGTAGGCACTCAGTAAACATATTCCCCTTGCATTTAGTGTACAGTGCTTGTCTCCAGGAGGATCCCAAGTTTCCGGCGACGACATTCATACAAATGCTCCACTCAGTACTTGCTCACACACTAAGGAAAGGCATCAGGAAGGAACCTTTGCACAAAATAGAAATTGAAGCCCAAATTGTGGAATTAAAACCCAGATATTGAATCCTTTCCAATCATGGGACTGTGTCGGCTCCCTCAAACGAAGCTCTGTGCCATAAATTTGATGCTGGGAATGAACATGAGATGATACATGGTTTCTCTGTTTGTTTCTTAAAATGTTTTCTAATGCTATATCATATTTAAAATAAAAACTAGGGAATCTCATGTTTAAAGTAGTTATTTTATACAAAATGCTAGAGCAGCACCACATTTTTCTCCTATACAGCAATCTGGTAACTTAACTTAACTTACACCAGATTACCTGTGTAACAATATCAAACAGCGCCCTGTAGTTTTTACAGTGAGTTCAGTGGAGCCATGAGGATCTGCATAGTTAGGGGTGGAGGCTGCTGAGTTGACAGGGATCTGGACCTCCACTTCCAGATCACTAGAGATCACCCCTACTTGAGATCACCAGATAGGGCTAGCCATGGTAGCTCATTGTGTCCTTGGTAAAGTATTTAACCACATGTGGCCTATGTTTCCTCATCTGCAAAGTGAGGAGGATGGACCATGATTTGCAAGGTCGCTCAAAGCCCAGATATCTTCTAGTCAGACAATTAAAAGAGAAACAAACTCAACTTTACCCTTTCCACTCAGTAACACAGATCTAAATTGATAAATTAAGCTACAAAAAGGTAATGCTTTCAAAATTCCAAAGCATTCGCATTATAAGTTAAATGATTTTTTACTACTTTTTTTCCTGATTTACTAAAGAGTTGAAAATACACTGCAACTATGTGTGACAGGCACTGGACCAGGTGCTTTACCTATAGCGTCTCAGTTAATCTGAGCACCTGGATAGACAGAGGCAGGAACCAACACAAGATGAAGGCTGTAGGTGCCACATACTGGGCTGGATGAGTTACTCGAATTACCTCGCAAGGAGTGTATCAACATCCAGTGTACACGCTAAGATGTCAAGTACGAAGCAAGCACAGTCACAATTCAAAGGCAGGTCTGACAGTTTCAAAAGCCCATAATCTTTTCTTAAACTGCCTGCACCAAGTCAGAAGAGTTGGCCCATAGTGAGAGCTTTGCAGAAACAACATAACATTGAGCAGAAACTTCCTGTCTGCAGGCCTCGATGTTCTCACAATGAAATCCTTTAGGCTAAGCCTCAAAGTTCTCCAAGGGCCTTACAGCTCTAAAATTCAATGATTATCTGGTCAGTGCAACAACCAAAGAAAGAAAACATACTAAGTATCTGTGAAGCAGGGTTCATCTCTATGTCTAATTGGATTTCATTGCTATCTGAGTTCTTATCTCCTGGTTCATTCCCTTGTCCACACCCCCACCCCACAATAACAGATGATCACCAGGGATTTGGATACTGCAGAATAATTCAAATTAGTGGAATAGATATTGCATGGTAATATACTTCACCATAAAAAAGGTGAGCAACCAGCTTATGGAAGCTTCCAAATCAAATGACTTATTTCTCTTCTCACAGCTAATCAACAAGGGCTCAAGGGACAGTTATTTGTTGATCTTTGAGTGTAGGGTGATGTCCTATCTGACCCTTTCAATTCAGACATCTACCAAAAGACTTGAGAAGTTATTGTATTTCTGGGACTTTTCTTTGTTTAAAAAAAAGTGCAGGAAGATATTCAGCGGAATAAAAGAGAAGCATTGACGTTTCCATTGGTAATCTGGTCCGTGTGTTCCCTGCTACTGAGCATTTTCAGAAGGCCTGACTGTCTGGGTTAATTGTTTAATGCTTTTAGTTAGAATTAAACTTTGCACCTGCTCTGACAGTGATAAATTAAATGTGCTCCTTTTCCAATACTGTTGCCCTCTTTAAGTAGAGACCAAGAAGTGTATCTCCCTTCTTCCCCTGCGTTTGAGGAATCTCTGCTACACTGGAGTGTAAACCAGCATAATTTGTCACCAGAGCTAGCGCCAATTAAATTGATTGCGTCGGACTGAACTCTGGGACCCCTAATGCAAGCACTAAGGGAAAAATGGGCTCTTTTCTGCCCATTCCCCCATGTGGCACTTAGGCATAGCTCAACAGTGGAAGGCTTTCAAGGTTCAAAAGGGTTTTATTTTCAAAAGAAATGGGCATTGATCAGCTGCATTTAAAGGCAAAGATAATTCCAGAGCTTGAAGGCTGGATTTGTGTTTAAGGTCTAAATCTCTTTCTTTAACCTTGGGGGGCCAGTATAACATAAAAGCAACAAAGAGATTAAGATTACAAAGGGTTTGCAAGTGTAAATGATGCGGTGGTATTCTCCAAACATAACACAGTCCCCATTCACAAGCCCAGGCACAGGCCAGCATTTGATCTGTTGGTTTTACACCTGTAAAAACAACTTGTGTTTATTTGTCACTCAGCAAACCGTTTTGGGCAAGAGGGGAGAAAAAAGGAAAGTGGAGGAGGAGTGAACTTGCTCATACCACAGAGTTCAAACGCCTTCCCCAAACCAACTGAAAAATAAACATGGTAAAGGTCAGCGTGGCAGACAAAATCAGAAAATCCCCACTCTTTGTCAGCGTAGCACACACCACACAGGAATACGAGAAGTGGGACACTGTTTCAAACCTCAGTTGTTTTCCTCATTATCCCAGCTCCTGATGCTTGGGTCTGTTATGCCACATCCTTCCAAGGGAGGTTGTAAACAAGCTGTAAGCTAATTCCAGCCCCTTCTTGTTCCTTTATTTATAGGCTACCAACTATGCATTCCTCCCTCTTGCCTTTTAGTTCAGTTTCCCACAATCAGTCCTGTAGAATGGCACCATTTGAATAATCTCACATATAAATCAAGTCTACCAAGTTAGTGACTCGGACTTCAAGTTAGTTGATTCTATCACCACACATGGTGAAACCAACACAAGTGTGCCAATTCTCTCAAGTTCATATATCATTCTTCATCTATTCTTTCATAACGTGTATCTCCCTCGGCAACATAGATCTTCTCACATTCACTCTATCCCCTAGTTCTTCTTTTCACAAACTGAAGCCTTCTCAGGGACCTCAAGCCTTCATTGCTAAACCAGGTGGCAACAATGGAGTCTTCTACTTTAAAGAAAGGAGAAAGGAACTGATGCTTATGGAGGTTTCCAAAGCCAGATTACACATCTGAGAACTCTGAGAAGGTTGGCAGTTTGGCATGAATACAGGTGGTTAAGAATTCAAGGCTCCTTTAAACTCATAGTCTTTAAAAGCAAACAAATAAGAGTTCATCATTTATTTAGGAGAGAAGCTATGCACCAATCAGAAGGAAATAGAAAGGGATGATTCAAGTGGCAGTTCCCTATTCTCCCTAGCTTCTTGAGGAGTTCAGCTCTGGTCCCAAACTTGCATACTCTACCCAAAAAACAAAAGACCTATAAGGTAGTGACATCTAGTAATTATTGAATATGATTTTTGACAGTCTGATTCTCTTTCCAATAATTTGGTCATATTTCTCCTAACCCTATTATTGCATAATCTCCTCTGATAATTCTCCGTTTTTATAAAGTCCTATCTTCTTACATTTTCAAGGATGCTTTGCTATGCCAGTGATGTATTAGAGTCTTCTATTAGTTTTCTATATTGTGTAATAAATTATGATCAACAGCGTGGTTCAAAACAATACCCATTTGTTATCTCACAGTTCCTGTCCAACAGAAGTCTGAGTATGGGTTAGCTGAGTCCTCTGCTCAGGGTCTCATCAGACTAAAATCAAGGCTTCAACAGGGCTGCAATCTTATCCAAGCCTCGAGGTACTCTTTCAGGCTCACTAGTTTACTGGCAGGATTCACTTACTTCAGTTTCTGGTTTCTTACTGGCTGTTGGATTGGTCTCACTCTCAGCTACCAGAGCCACCCTCCTATTCTTGCTCTGTGGCCTTTTCATAGGCAGTTCACAGTGCTGTTTGCTTCCTGAAAACAACAAGAGAATCTCTCTGACTCCTTTTAAGAGTCTGCCTGTTTAGGTCAAAGCCACCCAGGATAATATCCCTTTTGATTAGCTCAAACTCAACTGATTAGGGACCTTAATTGCATCTGCCAAACATCTTCACCTTTGCCATATAGCATAACCTAATCATGAGAGTGATGCCTTTTATATTCATATTTCCTGCCTACACTCAGGAGAGGCTTATACGTTGCATGTACACCAGGGGTAAAGAATCTTGGGGCCATTTTAGAATTGTGCCTATCACAGGCACCCTTAAAAAGAGATACCCCAGGCTGGCTGTTGACCTAGCTGTTGCTCCAAGCATTGTATTGGAAGTGCTACATACCTGGCACTTCTCTCTAGAAATTCTGCTCTGCTAAGATTTTCATTTGTTTATGAATTCACAAAAGAGCCACTGGCATGGGAGAGTTTTGTGAATGATAAAGGCACCTAAAAGCCAGACAGAGAAAGAAAAAGAAAGGAAGGAAGGAAGGAAGGGAGGGAGGGAGGGAGGGAGGGAGGGAGGGAAAGTTTTCTCTTTTCTAGTTTACTGTGTTTTTATTGAGTTATAAGAGAAAATATGTGACATGTCTGTTAATGACAAAAAAGAAACGCATCCCTCTGATATGAAGGAATGTTGGTCCTTATTACTGCTACCAGATTATCCTTCCCAAAACACAACTTTCAACCAGTCAGTCTCCTATTCAGTGACTGCCAATAGCATCCCATATTATACCACATCAAGCCAAATTGCCACATCAATTTTATTTTTCTCAGCCTGGCACTCAAAAGCCTTCTATAGACTGACCCTACTACTTAACAAACTAGATTTCCCAAAACTGCTTAACACAATTCCTATAAGTTTTTCCTGTTCCACAAGCAAAAATGCTGATTTCTTCTGCCATAGTTAGCCTATGTACATGCTTTACCTACCTTCTTACCTACCAACACCATTCTGCTTAATTCTCTTATTGCATTCCCCCATCTACAGTAGACTAGGAACTCAAGGCAGATTCATTCTCACGTGCTCCAGGAAAATTTTGCAAACCAACTTGAACCTCCTAGCTTTATCCTCCAAATTACTGATTTTACAGTCCAAATTGAATTTAGCCCTCATTGTGTATCTTTTCTAGTTTTTTGCTCCATATATCTTGTATCCTAAGATAGTTCTTTGTGTGCTCCAGAACAGGTTTTTTGTTTTTGTTTTTCCAACCATCTGAGTAATATTTTCTTTTATTTACTTTTTAGTTGTATAAAGTTATGGGGTACATGTGCAATTTTGTTACATGTATAGATCACATACATCTTTTAATAGTAAGATTTGAAATCAATTTAGTAGACTGAACCAGAATTTGTTAATTGAAATAGTTGAACAGGAAAGGGGAGGGAAGGTCAGTATTTTAGATATAGCAAGGATGTCTGGTTTTGTGAAATTTTTGGTTTTAATATGTATTTGTGTCCATGTATAAACTAAAACATAAATGTGTGATGTTACTGTGTGGTATTGTATAATTACATAAAATGTATTGGTATTTTGTAATATTGAAAGACAGTTTTTAAAGCACTTGAATGCCTTGAAAAAAAGCAAAACTTCATGGCTGAAGTTCATGCAAAAATCAGGCAGGGTCAGAAAGACACCAAAGGTTTCCACAGGAAATCAGACACCCAGAAGCCCTAAACCAAATAAAGTACAGTGCCTTTGCCATCATGGAGGCAGATCTTGTGTCCGTACAGTCTACTGATACAAGGAATGATAATTAGTAATATTGACATCATTTTCTCATTTGCAAAGGGGTTTCACATTTTTTATGTCACCAGCACTTCCATAGGGCCAGCGAAGCAGACATTTCTTATGATTCCCATTTTTGAAATGGGAAGCTTGTGACTGGGCACGGTAGCTAATTCCTGTAATCCCAGTGCTTTGGGAGGCCAAGGTGGGAGAATCACTTGAGCCCAGGAGATTGAGGCCAACCTGGACAACATAGTGAGACTTCATCTCTACAAAAAACTTGAAAATTAGCCCGGAGTGGTGGCATGCACCTGTAGTCCTAGCTACTCAGAAGGCTGAGGTGAGGGGATCACTTGAGCCCAGGAGTTTGAGGCTGCACTGAGCTGTGATTGCACCACTGCCCTCTAGCCTGGGTGACAGAGTAAGAGCTCAAAAACTTAAAAAAAAATAAGAGTTTGAGAGGTTAGGTGGCTTGACCAAGGCCATATAGTAGGTAGGTCAATGTTAGAAAATGAACTCAAATCTTCTGACATGCACCCCAAGTTCTTTCCTCTATGTACTTGGAAAATCATAGACCGATCCATCTAAATCCTTCCCACTGTTTTGTTGTGGTTGTTGTTGTTGTTTTGTTTTTTTAATTATACTTTAAGTTCTAGGGTACATGTGCACAACTTGCAGGTTTGTTACGTACGTATACATGTGCTATGTTGGTTTGCTGCACCCATTAACTCGTCATTTACATTACGTATTTCTCCTAATGCTATCCGTCCCCCATCCCCCCACCCCATGACAGGCCCCAGTGTGTGATGTTCCCCTTCCTGTGTCCAGTTGTTCTCATTTTTCAATTCCTACCTGAGTGAGAACATGCGGTGTTTGGTTTTCTGTCCTTGCAATAGTTTGCTGAGAATCATGGTTTCCAGCTTCATCCATGTCCCTACAAAGGGCATGAATTCATCCTTTTTTATGGCTGCATAGTATTCTATGGTGTGTATGTGCCACATTTTCTTAATCCAGTCTATCATTGATGGACATTTGGGTTGGTTCCAAGTCTTTGCTCTTGTGAATAATGCCACAATAAACATACATGTGCATGTGTCTTTATAGTAGCATGATTTATAATCCTTTGGGTATATACCCAGTAATGGGATGGCTGGGTCAAATGATATTTCTAGTTCTAGATCCCTGAGGAATGGCCACACTGACTTCCACAAGGGTTGAACTAGTTTACAGTCCCACCAACAGTGTAAAAGTGTTCCTATTTCTCCACATCCTCTCCAGCACCTGTTGTTTCCTGACTTTTTAATGATTGCCATTCTAACTGGTGTGAGATGGTATCTCATTGTGGTTTTGATTTGCATTTCTCTGATGACCACTGATGATGAGCATTTTTCATGTGTCTTTTGGCTGCATAAATGTCTTCTTTTGAGAAGTGTCTGTTCATATCCTTTGCCCACTTTTTGATGGGGTTATTTGATATTTTCTTGTAAATTCGTTTAAGTTCTTTGGAGATTCTGGTTATTAGCACATTGTCAGATGGGTAGATTGCAAAAATTTTCTCCCATTCTGTAGATTGCTTGTTCACCCTGATGGTAGTTTCTTTTGCTGTGCAGAAGCTCTTTAGTTTAATTAGATCCCATTTGTCAGTTTTGGCTTTTGTTGCCATTGCTTTTGGTGTTTTATTCATGAAGCCCTTGCCCATGCCTATGTCCTGAATGGTATTGCCTACGTTTTCTTCTAGGGTTTTTATGGTTTAGGTCTAACATTTAGGACTTTAATCCATCTTGAATTAATTTTTGTATAAGGTGGAAGTAAGGGATCCAGTTTCAGCTTTCTGCATATGGCTAGCCAGTTTTCCCAGCACCTTTATTTATTTAAAGGGAATTTAGTAAATAGGGAATCCTTTCCCCATTTCTTGTTTTTGTCAGGTTTGTCAGAGATCAGATGGTTGTAGATGTGTTGTGTTATTTCTGAGGGCTCTGTTCTGTTCCATTGGTCTATCTCTCTGTTTTGGTACCAGTACCATGCTGTTTTGGTTACTGTAGCCTTGTAGTATAGTTTGAAGTCAGGTAGTGTGATGCCTCCAGCTTTGTTCCTTTGGCTTAGGATTGTCTTGGCAATGCAGGCTCTTTTTTGGTTCCATATGAACTTTAAAGTAGTTTTTTCCAATTCTGTGAAGAAAGTCATTGGCAGCTTGATGGGGATGGCATTGAATCCATAAATTACCTTGGGCAGTATGGCCATTTTCAAGCTCTTCATTCTTCCTACCCATGAGCATGGAATTTTCTTCCATTTGTTTGTGTCCTCTTTTACTTCGTTGAGCAGTGGTTTGTAGTTCTCCTTGAAGAGGTCCTTCACATCCCTTGTAGGTTGGATTCCTAGGTATTTTATTCTCTTTGAAGCAATTGTGAATGGGAGTTCACTCATGATTTGACTCTCTGTTTGTCTGTTATTGGTGTATAAGAATGCTTGTGATTTTTGCACATTGATTTTTGTCTCCTGAGATTTTGCTGAGGTTGCTTATCAGCTTAAGGAGATTTTGGGCTGAGACGATGGGTTTTCTAAATATACAATCATGTCATCTGCAAACAGGGACAATTTGACGTCCTCTTTTCCGAATTAAATACTCTTTATTTCTTTCTCTTGCCTGATTGCCCTGGCCAGAACTTCCAACACTACATTTAATAGGAGTGGTGAGAGAGGGCATCCCTGTCTTGTGCCGGTTTTCAAAGGGAATGCTTCCAGTTTTTACCCATTCAGTATGATATTGGTTGTGGGTGTGTCATAAATAGCTCTTGTTATTTTGAGATACATTCCATCAATACCTAGTTTATTCAGAGTTTTTAGCATGAAGCGCTGTTGAATTTTGTCGAAGGCCTTTTCTGCATCTATTAAGATAATCATGTGGTTTTTGTCATTGGTTCTGTTTATGTAATGGATTATGTTTATTGATTTGCATATGTTGAACCAGCCTTGCATCCCAGGGGTGAAGCCAATTTGATCTTGGCGGATAAGCTTTTTGATGTGCTGCTGGATTCGTTTTGCCAGTATTTTATTGAGGATTTTCGCATTGATGTTCATCAGGGATATTGGTCTAAAATTCTCTTTTTTTATTGTGTCCCTGCCAGGCTTTGGTATCAGGATGATGCTGGCCTCATACAATGAGTTAGGGAGGATTCCCTCTTTTCCTATTGATTGGAATAGTTTCAGAAGGAATGGTATCAGCTCCTCTTTGTACCTCTGGTAGAATTTGGCTGTGAATCCGTTTGATCCTGGGATTTTTTTGGTTGGTAAGCTATTAATTATCGCCTCAATTTCAGAGCCTGTTATTGGTCTATTCAGAGATTCAACTTCTTCCTGGTTTAGTCTTGGGAGGGTGTATGTGTCAAAGAATTTATCCATTTCTTCTAGATTTTCTAGTTTACTTGCATAGAGGTGTTTACAGTATTCTCTGATGGTAGTTTGTATTTCTGTGGGATCAGTGGTGATATCCCCTTTATCATTTTTTATTGCATCTATTTGATTCTTCTCTGTTTTCTTCTTTATTAGTCTTGCTATCAGTCTATCAATTTTGTTGATCTTTTCAAAAAATAAACCAGCTCCTGGATTCACTGATTTTTTGAAGCGTTTGTATCTCTATCTCCTTCAGTTCTGCTCTAATCTTAGTTATTTCTTGCCTTCTGCTAGCTTTTGAATTTGTTTGCTCTTGCTTCTCTAGTTCTTTTAATTGTAATGTTAGGGTGTCAATTTTAGATCTTTCCTGCTTTCTCTTGTGGGCATTTAGTGCTATAAATTTCCCTCTACACACTGCTTTAAATGTGTCCCAGAGATTCTGGTATGTTGTGTCTTTGTTCACATTGGTTTCAAAGAACATCTTTATTTCTGCCTTCATTTCGTTATGTACCCACTAGTCATTCAGGAGCAGGTTGTTCAGTTTCCATGTAGTTGTGCAGTTTTGAGTGAGTTTCTTTATCCTGAGTTCTAATTTGATTTCACTGTAGTCTGAGAGACAGTTTGTTGTGATTTCTGTTCTTTTACATTTGCTGAGGAGAGCTTTACTTCAAACTACGTGGTCAATTTTGGAATAAGTGTGATGTGGTGCTGAGAAGAATGTATATTCTGTTGATTTGGGGTGGAGAGTTCTGTAGATTTCTATTAGGTCTGCTTGGTGCAGAGCTGAGTTCAAGTCCTGGATATCCTTGTTAACCTTCTGTCTCATTGATCTGCCTAATATTGACAGTGGGGTATTAAAGTCTCCCAATATTATTGTGTGGGAGTCTAAGTCTCTTTGTAGGTCTCTAAGGACTTCCTTTATGACTCTGGATGCTCCTGTATTGGGTGCATACATATTTAGGATAGTTAGCTCTTCTTGTTTAATTGATCCCTTTACCATTATGTAATGGCCTTCTTTGTCTCTTTTGATCTTTGTTTGTTTAAAGTCTGCTTTATCAGAGATTAGGATTGCAACCCCTACTTTTTTTTTGCTTTCCATTTGCTTGGTAGATCTTCCCCCATCCCTTTATTATGAGTCTAGGTGTGTCTCTGCATGTGAGATGGGCCTCCTGAATACAGCATGGTGATGGGTCTTGACTCTTTATCCAATTTGCCAGTCTGTGTCTTTTAATTGGGGCATTTAGCCCATTTATATTTAAGGTTAATATTGTTATGTGTGAATTTGATCCTGTCATGATGATGTTAGCTGGTTATTTTGCCCGTTAGTTGATGCAGTTTCTTCCTAGCCTCGATTGTCTTTACAATTTGGCATGTTTTTGCAGTGGCTGGTACTGGTTGTTCCTTTCCATGTTTAGTGCCTCCTTCAGGAGCTCTTGTAAGGCAGGCCTGGTGGTGACAAAATCCCCCAGCATTTGCTTGTCTGTAAAGTATTTTATTTCTCCTTCACTTATGAAGCTTAGTTTGGCGGGACATGAAATTCTGGGTTGAAAGTTCTTTTCTTTAAGAATGTTGAATATTGGCCCCCACTCTCTGCTGGCTTGTAGAGTTTCTGCCGAGAGATCCACTGTTAGTCTGATGGGCTTCCTTTTGAAGGTAACCTGACCTTTCTTTCTGGCTGCCCTTAACATGTTTTCCTTCATTTCAACCTCAGTGAATCTGATAATTATGTGTCTTGGGGTTGCTCTTCTTGAGGAGTACCTTTGTGGTGTTCTCTGTATTTCCTGAATTGGAATATTGGCCTGCCTTGCTAGGTTGGGGAAGTTCTCCTGGATAATATCCTGAAGAGTGTTTTCTAACTTGGTTCCATTCTCCCCATCACTTCCAGGTACACCAATCAAACGTAAATTCGGTCTTTTCACATAGTCCCATATTTCTTGGAGGTTTTGTTCATTTCTTTTTACTCCTTTTTCTCTAAACTTCTCTTCTCATTTCATTTCATTAATTTGATCTTCAATCACTGATACCCTTTCTTCCACTTGATCAAATTGGCTACTGAAGCTTGTGCATGCATCATGTAGTTCTTGTGCCGTGGTTTTCAGCTCCATCAGGTCGTTTAAGGTCTTCTCTACACTGTTTATTCTAGTTAGCCATTTGTCTAATGTTTTTTCAAGGTTTTTAGCTTCCTTGCGATGGGTTCAAACATCCTCCTTTAGCTCAGAGAAGTTCATTATTACCGACCTTCTGAAGCCTACTTCTGTCAACTCGATAAAGTCAATCTCCATCCAGCTTTGTTCTGTTGCTGGTGAGGAGCTGCGTTCCTTTGGAGGAGAAGAGGCACTCTGGTTTTTAGAATTTTCACCTTTTCTGCTCTGGTTTCTCCCTATCTTTGTGGTTTTATCTACCTTTGGTCTTTGATGTTGGCGACCTACAGATGGGGTTTTGTTGTAGATGACCTTTTTGTTGATTTTGATGCTATTCCTTTCTGTTTGTTAGTTTTCCTTCTATCAGTCAGGTCCCTCAGCTGCAGGTCTGTTCGAGTCTGCTGGAGGTCCACTCCAGACCCTGTTTTCCTGGTTATCACTAGTGGAGGCTGCAGAACAGCAAATATTGCTGCCTGATCCTTCCTCTGGAAGCTTCGTCTCAGAGGGGCACCCAGCTCTATGTGGTGTCAGTCAGCCCGTACTGGGAGGTGTTTCCCAGTTAGGCTACACGGGGGTTAGGGACCCACTTGAGGAGGCAGTCTGTCTGTTCTCAGAGCTCAAACACCATGCTGGGAGAACCACTACTCTCTTCAGAGCTGTCAGACAGGGACTTTTAAGTCTGCAGAAGTTTCTGCTGCCTTTTGTTCAGCTATGCCCTGCCCCCAGAGGTAGAGTCTACAGAGGCCGGCAGGCCTCCTTGAGCTGCGGTGGGCTCCACCCAGTTTGAGCTTCCCAGTGGCTTTGTTTACCTACTCAAGCTTCAGCAATGGCGGATGCCGCTCCCCCAGCCAGGCTGCCACCTCACAGTTAGATCTCAGACTTCTGTGCTAGCTGTGAGCAAGGCTCCGTGGGTGTGAGACCTGCTGAGCCAGGTGCAGGATATAATCTCCTGGTGTGCCATTTGCTAAGATTGTTGGAAAAGCACAATATTTGGGCAAAAGTGCCCCCATTTTCCAGGTACAGTTGTCATGGCTTCCCTTGGCTAGGAAAGGGAAATCCCCTGACCCCTTGTGCTTCCCAGGTGAGGTGATGCCCCACCCTGCTTTGGCTCACCCTCCATGGGCTGTACCCACTGTCCAACCAGTCCCAGTGAGATGAACCAGGTACCTCAGTTGGAAATACAGAAATCACCCATCTTCTGGTCAATCACGCTGGGAGCTGAAGACTGGAGCTGTTCCTATTTGGCCACCTCAGAACCCCCTTCCCAAATCCGCCCCATTGTTAAGGCTCCAAGGCAAATCCTACCTCCTCCAGAAAGGCCGCTCTGATGGTCTCCATGACCTAAACCTGGACTACTAGCACTGTCTCACCTGGTTCTTGGGTTCTTCCAGATAAGTAATGCTTTCTCTCTAGCTCCATTCCAAGTCCCTAAAAGGTGGGGTCCATTACATATTACTCTTGCTAAATTCTCATTTATTGCTTAACTGCTTCAGCCTGCCATAGTCAGGTTAGGCATTTCAGAAAAGTGAATAAACAGTATGGGACCAGGAATGTGTCAAAGCAATTGGCAAAGCTGAAGTCCAGCACCATGAAGCCCCAGCCTTTTATTTCAAACCGTCAAGCATTTATAGGATGCCTACACCAGGAAAACACAGTAAAAAGTGATATGGAGCTTACAGCTTAATGGTGCAGACAGACAAGTAGGCAATCAACTAAAGCGCCTGGCAGAAAGGAATGAGGGTTAACTCAGGTATGAGATACAGGCTGTGGATATAGGAAAGGGTGATGAAGAAAGGGTAAGAGAGGGCTTCACTGTGAAAGTAGCAACTGAGTTGAGCCATGAAAATCAGTGAGGATGTCACCAGCAAAAGCCTTCAAGGCATGTCGTTAGCTCCATTTGCAAGACTCCTTTCAGATTATCTGGGGCAGCAGGATCAGGAGCAACAGAGATTAAAGCAGGAGATCACAGGCAGTCCAGAAGGCCCTGCCCCGCTTGGCTTCAAGACCTCTGCCAATGTCTAGGCTTGAAAGAGGGCTGAGCAGCCAGAGGTCAGAGATTTATCCTGGAGGCCCACTGCCTAAGTCATTCTGGTGGTCAGCTGCAAGTTGCAATGGAAGAGGCCTTGCCCCTGGCTCCTGGGAGCATGTAAAACCAATTGTAATCAGGTTGCTATTTTCCAGAGTGTAGATTGTATCAACTAGCAGCCCTAATCTGTGAATGTCTGGAATAGGAATGAGTGGATTAGCATTTCAAACCCTCTTGGATCAGGTCAAAGTCTTGCTGGGGCCAGTGCCCAGAGCCAGGTTGATCTACCCCTGAGGAAGGCTTGTATTTTTACATTGTTTGATCAATGGGAGGGAGATCTCTCTTCCCTTAATTGACAGTTTGTCTGGTTGCAAGACAATTTCACATTTCTCCTGGGGCTCAGGAAACCCCAGAGAGCCAAGGAGAAGAACCTATTAACTGAATTTTGGTCCACATGGAACCCCCTGCAGGGGTAAGGCCCATGACGCCAGGAACCTCAGACTTCCCACAAGTCCTCTGATCAGTTTTTTGAAGGCAAAGCCTGTTCGATTAAAGATTATTCCACACAAAGTTGCCAAGAACGAGCTGGGGGGATTTCCACACCTCACTTCCAACCCAGCAGAGGAATGCTGCATAACAGGATGCAGTCCTATCTTTCTCTTACAACCCAGAAGCCTGTCCTAAGGGTCTCTTCAGTCATTACCACCGACTCCCTCTGGGCTCTTTATGGCCAAAGGCTTAAGATTTCTTACGTGCTTATGAGTGTGAATTATAACTCCTTCCCACACCTATCTTCCTCCCTCTCCCCACAGAGGGCAGATGAATTATACCCATATGAGAGATGAGAAGACTGAGAGCAGAGAGAGATTAAATGTGCTGGCTCATTCTAGACTCACCTTCTCTAATCAGAATTCCCATTTCCCAGAGCCAGCGTTCAAGCCACGTGAAGATTGGAGTGTGTGCTGCAGGAGAGCACGTGTTCCCAAGAGACTTGTTGGGAGGACTGTGTATAAATCTTACCAATACAGACTCCCTTCTTAAAAATAACATCTTTTGTTTCTCACTGATATAAAAGTAATAAATCTCCATTGAAAAAAATGGAAAATATAGAAAAGAAGAAAATAAAGATCACTCCACAATTCAATACCCAGCGACAACAATTGTTAACATTTGGTATCCTTCAAATATTTTTGGTATGCATGAATTTCTTTTCTCCAAACTAAAGTTACACTTCAATATACTTGAGCATTCTGTTGCTTTACACATAACAGTCTCTTGCATGTCTCTGTGTTGATAACTATTATTCTACTACGGCATTTTAAGTAACTGCATGATCCTGCACTGTGGGGATGTGTCGTAATTTATCTTACCAATCCCCATTTTTGGACATTTGAGTTGCTTCCAAATATTCTCAAATATAGATAAGGCTGTGGTGGAAATACCAGCTATATTAAGGAAGGATGATACAATACGGCAAAAGCCCCAGGCAGGGCTTCATCTCTATAATTAATCTATTTTTTTTTTTTTTGAGATGTAGTATCACTCTGTTGCCCAGGCTGGAGTGCAGTGGCACAATCTCAGCTCACTGCAACCTCCACCTCCCAGGTTCAAGTTATTCTCCTGCCTCAGCCTCCTGAGTAGCTGGGACTATAGGCAAGCGCCACTGCGCCCGGCTAATTTTTGCATTTTTAGTAGAGACAGGGTCTTACCATGTTGGCCAGGCTGGTCTGGAACTCCTGACATAGGGTGACTGGCCCACCTCAGTCTCCCAAAGTGCTGGGATTACAGGTGTGAGCCACCACGCCTGGCCAATTAATCTATTTTTTTATGGAAAGGGTATTCAACTGAGGCTTGGTATCTCCTTCCCTGGGTCCTTTTATAAATAGGACATATGGCCAGCACATTTTGATGGTACAGGTGGCCTCAGAAAGGGGAACACTAAACTAAGAGTTTGGAATGTGGATTCTATTACCAACTCGTAATTCACTGTGTGACCTTGAACAAGTCACTTTATCTCTCTGAATACACTTTCCTCAACCATAAAATAAAGGGATTGGGTTAGATGACTTTAGTATTCTTTCTAGCCCTAATACCATGGTTCTACAATATTTTTAGAAAGACAACACTCAAAGCCAACTTAGTGAATTTTATAGGACTATCTATTATCAAAGGTCTTTTGTGTGAGTCAGAAAAGCAGTTCTCAGCCTGTGTTGGAATGCAACTGTGTGTCCCTATCAAAAATGATGCACATCACAGGCAAATTGTTCCTCATAATCATTTATGATTTGAAAATAATCTATTTTGTTTTAATAATTGAGATTCAAGATTTCCCCCATGATAAGGTCCCTGTCACTCCCACTCTGGCATGTTTTTGAGAGGGCAAGAGAACTGAGTGGATTTGGAGTTCATGTGCCCAGAAAGGCACAGCACTTGGTATATATATTATTGGGTGGACTCCTTAGGACCAATCATCATGGTTTCCAAAGAGCCATAAAAGGGCATTACTGCTCCTGCCCACCCGCTTCACCCTCATTCCCAGGGGAAAGCAGACCAATTGACTCCATCTGAGAGACGAGGAGCCTGAAATAAAAATGTTTCTTCTCTAGACAACAATAAAAGAGACTCTCATGGTTCAGGCTCCTGGGCCTAAGCCTGCAGCACTCGTCTAACCTCAGCCCTTTGCTGCCTGATCTGGGCATGCCCGTGGCAGTACCTTGCACAACGCTGGGGAAACTGGTGGTCACATCCACTGGGCAACAGGATCACCACTACCCTGTGAGAAAGGGGCTCCTCAGGGGAGCCGGTGAATAGACTGGACCCCAAGGGAAAACAGGGTGTGGACCAGCAGAGAGGAGAAGGGAAAAGAAATTCCCTGCAGGGTGAGCCAAAACCTCTGGGATCTGCATTCCTTCCCCATGGGCTCTCACCCAGTGCCATGCAGCCCTCGTCGGGCAGCCTGGGTTTCAGGGGCTGTCCCTGGCTCTGCCTCCATTTTCTCAGGCAACTACCAACAAAGTGGCCACTTGGCTCACATCCAAACTTGTCTCTGCTTACAGCAATCACATTCACTGTGTCGGGGAGGGGGTCATCTCCTTGAAGTTCTCGGTAGGCTCTGTGCCTGAGGGGCTCCCACCCTGTCTTTGAAATATGCAAGGGACACGAAGGCCAACATGAAGCTCATCTTCACTCCTGTGTCAGGAAACTATTCCTGAAGGGTACAGCCTCTGGTGAATCATCCCCTCCAAGCCAGTGAGTATAGAGTGTAGTTTATCCCTAGCTGAGAATGCAATACAGAACAAACTAAGAGAATTGGCAGTAACAACCAAGAGCAAGAAAAGGCCTCCGGTGCAGAATGACACAGACTGACTCAAACACTCAAAATTACTACCAGGGCCATGTTCCCAGAGGGAGCTCAGCTTAGGAGGGAGAAAAATTCAGTCAATCCCAAAGTAGCCATAAATAGATGGATATATATCCATATATATCCAGATATATATGTGTGTGTGTGTGTGTGTGTGTGTGTGTGTGTGTGTGTATCTGGAGACAGAGAAAGAGAGAGAGAGTGAGAGTAGTGGGCAGGGGAAAAGAGCAAGATTTTTCTGTCCAGGGACTGCCACCCTCATTCAAAGCCCAGCTCTTGTTGGCTAGTCCAGAGACCTGAGATTCTGTAAGGCTACATTCCTCCTCCCTGTCCTCCTCCCCCCGCTCCTCCTCCCTCCTCTTCCTCCCCCCTCCCCCCTCCCCCTCCTTCTCCTCCTCTTCTCCCTCCTCCTCTTCCCCCTCCTCCTCTTCCCCCTCCTCCTCTTCCCCCTCTTCCTCTTCCCCCTCCTCCTCTTCCCCCTCCTCCTCCCCCCTCTCTCCTCCTCCAGAAGCTGGGTGACCCCAGGAAGTTCCCTGATCCTTTCTGAAGGACCTGGATACTTGAGAAAGAATAACTCATGGTTGGCCAGCCAAAGATTAGGAAGACTTTGAGGCAACTATCGGTGGAAGTTAGATTAGTCCCAGCTTTTTACCCCACTAGCCCATGTCCCAGGGAGACAACGTATGGAGGGAAGCACAGAAGACTGGGCTCTTGACTCACAGGGGAGGAGCCAAGATGGCCGAATAGGAACAGCTCCTGTCTACAGCTCCCAGCGTGAGCGACGCAGAAGACGGGTGATTTCTGCATTTCCATCTGAGGTACCAGGTTCATCTCACTAGGGAGTGCCAGACAGTGGGCGCAGGCCAGTGGGTGCGCGCACCTTGCGCGAGCCGAAGCAGGGCGAGGCATTGCCTCACCTGGGAAGCGCAAGGGGTCAGGGAGTTCCCTTTCCTAGTCAAAGAAAGGGGTGACGGACTCACCTGGAAAATCGGGTCACTCCCACCCGAATATTGCCCTTTTCAGACCGGCTTAAAAAACGGCGCACCACGAGACTATATCCCACACCTGGCTCGGAGGGTCCTACACCCACGGAATCTCACTGATTGCTAGCACAGCAGTCTGAGATCAAACTGCAAGGCGGCAGCGAGGCTGGGGGAGGGGCGCCCGCCATTGCCCAGGCTTGCTTAGGTAAACAAAGCAGCCAGGAAGCTCGAACTGGGTGGAGCCCACCACAGCTCAAGGAGGCCTGCCTGCCTCTGTAGGCTCCACCTCTGGGGGCAGGGCACAGACAAACAAAAAGACAGCAGTAACCTCTGCAGACTTAAATGTCCCTGTCTGACAGCTTTGAAGAGAGCAGTGGTTCTCCCAGCATGCAGCTGGAAATCTGAGAATCGGCAGACTGCCTCCTCAAGTGGGTCCCTGACCCCTGACCCCCGAGCAGCCTAACTGGGAGGCACCCCCCAGCAGGGGCACACTGACACCTCACACGGCAGGGTATTCCAACAGACCTGCAGCTGAGGGTCCTGTCTGTTAGAAGGAAAACTAACAAACAGAAAGGACATCCACACTGAAAACCCATCTGTACATCACCATCATCAAAGACCAAAAGTAGATAAAACCACAAAGATGGGGAAAAAACAGAACAGAAAAACTGGAAACTCTAAAACGCAGAGCGCCTCTCCTCCTCCAAAGGAACGCAGTTCCTCACCAGCAATGGAACAAAGCTGGATGGAGAATGACTTTGACAAGCTGAGAGAAGAAGGCTTCAGACGATCAAATTACTCTGAGCTACGGGAGGACATTCAAACCAAAGGCAAAGAAGTTGAAAACTTTGAAAAAAATTTAGAAGAATGTATAACTAGAATAATCAATACAGAGAAGTGCTTAAAGGAGCTGATGGAGCTGAAAACCAAGGCTCGAGAACTACGTGAAGAATGCAGAAGCCTCAGGAGCCGATGCGATCAACTGGAAGAAAGGGTATCAGCGATGGAAGATGAAATGAATGAAATGAAGCGAGAAGGGAAGTTTAGAGAAAAAAGAATAAAAAGAAATGAGCAAAGCCTCCAAGAAATATGGGACTATGTGAAAAGACCAAATCTACGTCTGATTAGTGTACCTGAAAGTGATGGGGAGAATGGAACCAAGTTGGAAAACACTCTGCAGGATATTATCCAGGAGAACTTCCCCAATCTAGCAAGGCAGGCCAACGTTCAGATTTAGGAAATACAGAGAATGCCACAAAGATACTCCTCAAGAAGAGCAACTCCAAGACACATAATTGTCAGATTCACCAAAGTTGAAATGAAGGAAAAAATGTTAAGGGCAGCCAGAGAGAAAGGTCAGGTTACCCTCAAAGGGAAGCCCATCAGACTAACAGCGGATCTCTCAGCAGAAACCCTACAAGCCAGAAGAGAGTGGGGGCCAATATTCAACATTCTTAAAGAAAAGAATTTTCAACCCAGAATTTCATATCCAGCCAAACTAAGCTTCATAAGTGAAGGAGAAATAAAATACTTTACAGACAAGCAAATGCTGAGAAATTTTGTCACCACCAGGCCTGCCCTAAAAGAGCTCCTGAAGGAAGCACTAAACATGGAAAGGAACAATCAGTACCAGCCGCTGCAAAATCATGCCAAAATGTAAAGACCATCAAGACTAGGAAGAATCTGCATCAACTAACGAGCAAAATCACCAGCTAACATCATCAGGACAGGATCAAATTCACACATAACAATATTAACTTTAAAGGTAAATGGACTAAATTCTCCAATTAAAAGACACAGACTGGCAAATTGGATAAAGAGTCAAGACCCATCAGTGTGCTGTATTCAGGACACCCATCTCACGTGCAGAGACACACATAGGCTCAAAATAAAAGGATGGAGGAAGATCTACCAAGCAAATGGAAAACAAAAAAAGGCAGGGGTTGCAATCCTAGTCTCTGATAAAACAGACTTTAAACCAACAAAGATCAAAAGAGACAAAGAAGGCCATTACATAATGGTAAAGGGATCAATTCAACAAGAAGAGCTAACTATCCTAAATATATATGCACCCAATACAGGAGCACCCAGATTCATAAAGCAAGTCCTGAGTGACCTACAAAGAGACTTAGACTCCCACACATTAATAATGGGAGACTTTAACACCCCACTGTCAACATTAGACAGATCAACGAGACAGAAAGTCAACAAGGATACCCAGGAATTGAACTCAGCTCTGCACCAAGCAGACCTAATAGACATCTACAGAACTCTCCACCCCAAATCAACAGAATACACATTTTTTTTCAGCACCACATCAAACCTATTCCAAAATTGACCACATAGTTGGAAGTAAAGCTCTCCTCAGCAAATGTAAAAGAACAGAAATTATAACAAACTATCTCTCAGACCACAGTGCAATCAAACTAGAACTCAGGATTAAGAATCTCACTCAAAGCCGCTCAACTACATGGAAACTGAACAACCTGCTCTTGAATGACTACTGGGTACATAACGAAATGAAGGCAGAAATAAAGATGTTCTTTGAAACCAACGAGAACAAAGACACAACATACCAGAATCTCTGGGATGCATTCAAAGCAGTGTGTAGAGGGAAATTTATAGCACTAAATGCCCACAAGAGAAAGCAGGAAAGATCCAAAATTGACACCCTAACATCACAATTAAAAGAACTAGAAAAGCAAGAGCAAACACATTCAAAAGCTAGCAGAAGGCAAGAAATAACTAAAATCAGAGCAGAACTGAACGAAATAGAGACACAAAAAACCCTTCAAAAAATCAATGAATCCAGGAGCTGGTTTTTTGAAAGGATCAACAAAATTGATAGACCGCTAACAAGACTAACAAAGAAAAAAAGAGAGAAGAATCAAATAGACACAATAAAAAATGATAAAGGGGATATCACCACCGATCCCACAGAAATACAAACTACCATCAGAGAATGCTACAAACACCTCTACGCAAATAAACTAGAAAATCTAGAAGAAATGGAGAAATTCCTCGACACATACACTCTCCCAAGACTAAACCAGGAAGAAGTTGAATCTCTGAATAGACCAATAACAGGAGCTGAAATTGTGACAATAATCAATAGTTTACCAACCAAAAAGAGTCCAGGACCAGATGGATTCACAGCCGAATTCTACCAGAGGTACAAGGAGGAACTGGTACCATTCCTTCTGAAACTACTCCAATCAATAGAAAAATAGGGAATCCTCCCTAACTCATTTTATGAGGCCAGCGTCATTCTGATACCAAAGCCGGGCAGAGACACAACCAAAAAAGAGAATTTTAGACCAATATCCTTGATGAACATTGATGCAAAAATCCTCAATAAAATACTGGCAAACCGAATCCAGCAGCACATCAAAAAGCTTATCCACCATGATCAAGTGGGCTTCATCCCTGGGATGCAAGGCTGGTTCAATATACGCAAATCAATAAATGTAATCCAGCATATAAACAGAGCCAAAGACAAAAACCACATGATTATCTCAATAGATGCAGAAAAAGCCTTTGACAAAATTCAACAACCCTTCATGCCAAAAACTCTCAATAAATTAGGTATTGATGGTATGTATTTCAAAATAATAAGAGCGATCTATGACAAACCCACAGCCAATATCATACTGAATGGGCAAAAACTGGAAGCATTCCCTTTGAAAACTGGCACAAGACAGGGATGCCCTCTCTCACCGCTCCTATTCAACATAGTGTTGGAAGTTCTGGCCAGGGCAATTAGGCAGGAGAAGGAAATAAAGGGTATTCAATTAGGAAAAGAGGAAGTCAAATTGTCCCTGTTTGCAGATGAAATGATTGTATATCTAGAAAACCCCATTGTCTCAGCCCAAAATCTCCTTAAGCTGATCAGCAACTTCAGCAAAGTCTCAGGATACAAAATCAATGTATAAAAATCACAAGCATTCTTATACACCAACAACAGACAAACAGAGAGCCAAATCATGAGTGAACTCCCATTCACAATTGCTTCAAAGAGAATAAAATACCTAGGAATCCAACTTACAAGGGATGTGAAGGACCTCTTCAAGGAGAACTACAAACCACTGCTCAAGGAAATAAAAGAGGATACAAACAAATGGAAGAACATTCCATGTCCATGGGTAGGAAGAATCAATATCGTGAAAATGGCCATACTGCCCAAGGTAATTTACAGATTCAATGCCATCCCCATCAAGCTACCAATGACTTTCTTCACAGAATTGGAAAAAACTACTTTAAAGTTCATATGGAACCAAAAAAGAGCGCGCATCGCCAAGTCAATCCTAAGCCAAAAGAACAAAGCTGGAGGCATCACACTACCTGACTTCAAACTATACTACAAGGCTACAGTAACCAAAACAGCATGGTACTGGTACCAAAACAGAGATATAGATCAATGGAACAGAACAGAGCCCTCAGAAATAACGCCGCATACCTACAACTATCTGATCTTTGACAAACCTGAGAAAAACAAGCAATGGGGAAAGGATTCCCTATTTAATAAATGGTGCTGGGAAAACTGGCTAGCCATATGCAGAAAGCTGAAACTGGATCCCTTCCTTACACCTTATACAAAAATCAATTCAAGATGGATTAAAGATTTAAACGTTAGACCTAAAACCATAGAAACCCTAGAAGAAAACCTAGGCATTACCATTCAGGACATAGGCACGGGCAAGGACTTCATGTCTAAAACACCAAAAGCAATGGCAACAAAAGCCAAAATTGACAAATGGGATCTCATTAAACTAAAGAGCTTCTGCACAGCAAAAGAAACTACCATCAGAGTGAACAGGCAACCTACAGAATGGGAGAAAATTTTCGCAACCTACTCATCTGACAAAGGGCTAATATCCAGAATCTACAATGAACTCAAACAAATTGATAAGAAAAAAACAAACAACCCCATCAAAAAGTGGGCAAAGGACATGAACAGACACTTCTCAAAAGAAGACATTTATGCAGCCAAAAGACACATGAAAAAATGCTCACCATCACTGGCCATCAGAGAAATGCAAATCAAAACCACTATGAGATACCATCTCACACCAGTTAGAATGGCAATCATTAAAAAGTCAGGAAACAACAGGTGCTGGAGAGGATGTGGAGAAATAGGAACACTTTTACACTGTTGGTGGGACTGTAAACTAGTTCAACCATTGTGGAAGTCAGTGTGGCGATACCTCAGGGCTCTAGAACTAGAAATACCATTTGACCCAGCCATCCCATTACTGGGTATATACCCCAATGACTATAAATCATGCTGCTATAAAGACACATGTACACGTATGTTTATTGCGGCATTATTCACAATAGCAAAGACTTGGAACCAACCCAAATGTCCAACAATGATAGACTGGATTAAGAAAATGTGGCACATATACACCATGGAATACTATGCAGCCATAAAAAATGATGAGTTCATGTTCTTTGTAGGGACATGGATGAAATTGGAAATCATCATTCTCAGTAAACTATCGCAAGAACAAAAAACCAAACACTGCATATTCTCACTCATAGGTGGGAATTGAACAATGAGATCACACGGACACAGGAAGGGGGATATCACACTCTGGGGACTGTGGTGGGGTGGGGGGAGGGGGCAGGGATAGCATTGGGAGATATACCTAATGCTAGATGACGAGTTAGTGGGTGCAGCGCACCAGCATGGCACATGTATACATATGTAAGTAACCTGCACAATGTGCACATGTACCCTAAAACTTAAAGTATAATAAAAAAAATAAAAAAAAAGAACAGGAAAAAAAAAAACAACAACAACAACAAAAAAAAAAGAAGACTGGGCTCTTGTTGAACTTCTAGCAGGAACCCGCTATGGGACTTGGGGACCACGGAGCTTCAGCCACCTCAGTCCTCTTGCCTCTCAGTCTGGGGATTTCAATACACGCCCAGCCCCTCTTGCCAGGTTCTCATGAGGCTGTGTGGGAATAGATCCAGTTCAGCCAGCACGGAGTCTCCTTCCACGGGATGCTCCTGGAGTACAGACGTGGGGACTGTAGGGTCCCCACCTGGCATTCCAATAGAGGTAACCCTTGTGTGAGCCAACAAGTTACAATGTAAGGCAACAAGCTTTTGCACCTGCAAAAGCAAGAAAGGATACGAATGAGGGAAAAAAAGAAAAAGACAAAATGCCTATGTACAAGGAACGCAGATGTATTGAAGCACAGGCTTCATTCTGGGGAGGCCAAACAAGGCTCTGTGGGAGAGCAAGACCTGGACTGGCTGCAGGTGGAACATGGAAGGGCATTCCAGCTAGAAAGAAATGTGTCTGCGAAAGCCCAAATGTGGGGTCTGTGGAGAATCCAAATCCCTTTTCCCAACAGTACCTCCCAGTCTGCAGTGCTTCACAGGCTCAAAGGGTGCTCACATGTTTTCCATTTTAGTCTTCAAAATTCTGTGAAGTAAGTGATTCCTCATTTCACAGGAACTGAACTTGTCAAAACTTAAACATTCATTGAGCACCAACTACATGATAGGCAGAAAAGCATAGTGGTCAGTAGCTCATTCACCAATTACATTGCCCAGCTCCTCGTTCACTAGCTACATGACTGAGGCAAGGCATTTACCCCCCAGGGCCTCACGTTTTGCACGTGCAAAATGAAAACAATAATTGTCTGACCTCATTGGGTTGTTCTGAGAATTAATTGAGATAACCAAGAGATAATGCAGAGAATTCAATGAAAGCATATAGTGTTCAGATTGGTGTCCAGCACATACAAAACAACTGCTCAATTAACATTGGTGAGATAATTAGCACATAGTAGTTGAGTATAAGACCTGCTAGCTGCTGTGTGATCTTGGGCAATTTTGTGTGATCTAATGCCCTTGGTCTTTCTGAACTTCAGTTTTCCTGTCTGTAGAACAACCTGGTTGGATTAGGTCATCTCTGAATTTCCCATCAGCTCTAACATTCTGTAATTCTAAACAGATCAAAGCCTGTTATAAAGCATCTCAAATATAATCCTTCAACAAAATATTTCTGAACACTCTCTACCTGCCCAGCACTGTCCTGGAAACAGAGAAATTCCCTCAAGGACCACAGAGTTTGAAGGGGTAGACAGACATGTCAATGGATATTATGTTGCAATGGAATGTGTATCTATGGAGGTCTCAGATTGAGTTATGCAGTGGGGCAGAGCTTGCCCCAAGCTTCCATGGCTCTCCAAGCAGGGTCCCTGAAACAGCAAAATCAGCATCGCCTGGGAGCTTGTTAGAGATGAAGATCACCAGGCCCACCTCAGGCCTATGGAATCAGAAAGTCTGAAAGCGGGGCCCAGAAATCTGAGTTTTAACAAACCATCTAGGCAACTTGGACACAAGCTAAAGTATGAGAACTGCTGCTGTAGAACTACAGAGGAAGTCTCTGTGGCTAGGAGTCAGCCCTTGCTATCACTCAGCTTTCCTCATCTCAAATCATGAAAATCTAAGCAGAGGCAGCATGGGGAAGTTCCCCCAGCCTCCCCACCATGCCGTGTTTCCTTGCCTTTGGTCTCAAAAGTGACCAGTTATAAACAATCAGTCGGAGGCTGAGGCCAAGTCAAACCCAAGGAGAGTGCCATTTCTGCATTCCCACCCTCCATCCCTCACCAGGTGATTCCCAAGGCCCGACAATGCTACATCCAGAAAACATTACTCCGCAGCTCCACAGAAAGGGTCTGAAAACCACATGAATTGCTGAGGAGACCAGAGGAAATGTGAGGCCGCCTTGAGGGAGAGCCCTGGAGGGAAGGGAGTGTTTGTGAGGAGCTAACAGGAGGCCCCATGTCCCCAACTTCAGGTGTTTGGTGTCTCCCAAACTCACACCTCAACAGCAGGCAGTCTCAGGCCCCCAGCCCTGGGCCTCCACCCTGGATCCTGGAAACATCAGTCTAAGAAGGCTGCCCTACCACCCTCCTTCATTCCATCCTCTGTGGTCTCCTTTGTGGGTAACTAGAAGGAACAAAGCAAAAGTGTGTGTTTGGGTTTTGTTTAAGATTGGGCAGGACATGTTTTTTTCTAACTTAGGAGAATCTTTTTTACATCTGGATAGATTTCTAACAGGCTGCAAGCCCTATCAGGAACATAGAACAATCACAAGGATCCTGGGCCCAGATAATATCCTACGCAGGCCAGGCACACTGTGGCAGAATGAAAGCGCTCTAGAGGTCTTCAAAGTGAAACCTTCTTCCTTCATCTCAACTCTCAAATTCTCCTGCTAATTCATTTCTTGCTTCTTCTGTTTCACAGCCTTCAAGGAAAGCCAGTGAGCACATTTCAGGCCCTTTTCTGGGCACAAGGCAGCCCCCTGGCTGATGGTTCCACACAGTGGGTTCAGGTACTTTCATAGTGAGGCCGGGATCACCTCCCTGCCTTCCCAGCACAGTCTGACTTTCAGGAACTTCTAAACGTGGTGGCGTGGGAACCCATGGACCCCGCCGCTCTTATCTACCTGTGCCTTTCGTTCCCCTCGTCTACAATTCAGGAGAAAAGACAGAGACTAGGAAAGATAACCAAAGAGTGAATACTGAGATGACAAAGTATTAGTAAACAAAGAGAAAGAACACTTGGGGATTCAGGACTGGGAGAGGGTACCAGGTGAGAAAAGAACCTCGATTTGGCTTCCTATGCTGTGACCAAATGGCATGGCACCACATTTTCTTTTTGAAAAGTTGATGAGTCTGTCTTTAGATTTATAGACAAAATGGTTGTTAATACAGAAAAACAGTCAATGTAAGCTTTCCCACCACCCGTTGGTGGGAAATTTTACCTTCAACATTTTACCTTTCCTCTATCCCCTGGACAACTGTTGGATGAGCTGATCTCAACCTCTAGAGAGTAAAAGTAGGCAAGGACTTTAGACCTGTGACTAAATGATCAGCTTAGGCCATTAATAACTCATTACTCCAGCCAAACAGACTGTTAAAGCCACTTTTCTATCACCTGTCATCTGATGTCATCTTAATTCGCTTCGAATGTTTAAAGACATTTGTGTTAAAAATATGACCATCCAGCCATCTTCCCAGGCAAAGACAAAGTCTTCCCCACAGACAATTAAGGAATGACATTGTTGTTTACTAACATTATGCTCTAAATGTGAGCTATCTAGGTTGGTGAAAAAGTCATTGCTGGTTTTGCCATTGAACGTAATAGCAAAAACCACAGTTACTTTTGCATCAACCTAATATTTCTGATAGAGTTTATAAACTTGGAAGGGTAGGTAGCCATGGAAGTTTGAAAATTATCTCAGCCTCATTGACATAATAATATTACCTTGATGTTTTACTTTTTCAAAAGAAAGTTTGTTCCTGAGTTCTTTTCTCTTCCTCCTTTTCCTCCTCCTTTTTCTCTTCTTCCCTCCCTTTCACCATTCCTCCCTTTATTTATGTTCTCCCTTTCATATCTCCTTTCTCAAACTAAAGTGATATATGACTTTGGCTAGGAAGAGTGATTACACACAGATTCAAGTGGAAGAACTTTTATGCATTCTTTTCTCTTAAAGAAAAAAAAAAGACATCCCTAAGAGAGAAGAGCTAATAAAGTCCTATATCGTTGATGATGGTGATGCAGCAGCACAAACAAATTATAGTGTTCAGAAAGTTTGAGAGACTGAAAAGAAATGCACAACGTGTAACACCAAATTTGCCTGTCAAGGGTTTTTTTTTATTATTATTACTGCTTGTTTCATTTTATTATATTCTTAAAGCTGATGTTTGCAGCGATTTGCTTCACTATAGGAAATTCCAGATTCAAGAATACTGATTTACAACTTCAATCATCACCTGACAAATACAGCCCTTGCTAAGTGAGAGCTGATCCATAACAGGTATTTCAAATTTTCATAAGTCACAACATATCAACCCCAAAGTGAAGAGTTTCATTCACAGGAAACAATTTTCTGAAATCAGCAAATATTTTCTATAAAGAAAGAAAAAGTAAAGAATAAAGGGCAAAAAAAAAACCCTCCTCTCAAGATAACTTTATCCCTGAACATAAGAATCCATATGCTGAAATATGGTGAGCTCTGTGGATTTTATTTTTATTATACCTCTCTCCTACACCCCAGGTTTAACTCTTGTCTTCCTCTGCCCAAGTAGCTTTCCAGAAACTGACATAGATGGGCTAGTAGCCTTAATGGAACACCCAGAGTTAACCTGTAAGTCTCACAGCTTCTGCCAAGAGCTGTTGGCTGCTTACTGTCACAAAACATTGTGTCTGAGCCACTCTGACATCCTTCTTCAAGTTTTCATGGAACATGAGACCATTTCAGCATTGAATCATTGCCTCTGATCTATTGTGTAGGTGACCAAAAAAAAAAAAAGTGCTGCTGCAGCCGCCAAAACTGTTAATCCCTAGTCTGATATAGAAGTACAAAGATTAGAAATGCCACCCTTTTAGTAAAAGTTCTTTCTTCTCTATAGCTCTTTCTACTATTCGGTTTTGGAAAATACATAATATTTTTACTTCTCCCAAAAAATTCAAAAAATTAATTGTGTCTGGAAAACTTACGCAGTTACTAGTGAAATCAAAATGTCCAGATAATTTCTAGATTAATCAGAAAAATGAGACTGAAAATTTCAACAATAAAAAAATTATTTCAAAGATACTTGCCAAGTTTTTCATTTTTAGTATATTTAATATATTTTCTTTTTGAAAATACCTTTTTTTAAAAAAAGAAAACGTTATTCTGTAAAAGTGAAGTCTTTTAGCATTGCTAGAATGGCTCACTAATTTCTTTACAAAAACTCAATTAACAAACTTGGGAAATTTTCAGGCTAGCGCTATGGCTTCTAATTTGTCTAGAGAGCAAATATTTCTTCAGTGCAAACTTATCAAAAGACCAATATACAAAATTTAAAAACCATTGAGGCTTCTGTGCCCTCAAATTACTTTGGGGGAAAAATAATCCATGGTGCTCCATATCATATGTTAAAGAGCAACACCTAATGGTAGAATTAGGTATTGCAGGCCAGCTCTCTTAGGCATTGGAAATATGCCTGGCAAAAGAAGCCTAAGAAGTGAGGACATTCTCCAGAGTAAAACGTATTCCTTCATCTAGAACAGGTAGAGATAAAGGAGGCAATGATAGAAAAGTGTTGCCAAGAATCTTGTCGTTCTACAGTAATTGCAAAAGTATACTCAATATATCTTGAGGAACCCACAGACCTGGCTACCAAATTAGCATTGTTTTCATATAATATTTTCAACTCATTACTTGGTAACTTTTAGGAATATCCAAGTAACTTTTTATAGAATCAGCTGGAAAAATTAGATTCGACATAAAGCCAATTTTATTAAACAACAAATGATTTTGTAAAGTAAAATATAATGATATCATCAATTACTCATGAAAATAGTGGGATAGGACAAGGACGATGCAAAATTACACATAATCTATTTTATTTCTATTTGGCTTTGAAATGAAAAGCACAATTTCACTGCACAAAGAAACTGTCAAACCCATAAAATTTAGTGATAAAAATCAGTAAGATCATTTAGACTCAAAAAATCATTTGACTGCCTTTATTTTTTTTAAAGGCTTTGTCAACCCTTACTAACACACATAGTCGACAAAAACAAACCATTTTAAATAAAGAGGACTGTTTAATGAGTGGCACTTTTGTTGCTCACCTACTGCTTGATTTGTAATATGGAATTTAAGTAGCCAAATTGCCAGTCAAAATGTTGAGAGCCATTTTTGGATATAAACAAAGATAGGGAGCATATCTGAGAATGCTCCCACTCTGACTCCATGCCCAGGCTCTCTTCTGAATTAGTTTGAATGCTGGCAAAAGTAAAGAGCATTAGTTTGAATGCTGAGCAGAAGTAAAGAGAAGAGAACTCTAACCTCCATGAATAAGCATCAGTAGATTAAAAAGAGCTAAACACAATAGCCTTATGGAGTCAACAGAACACACACTGAAACTAAACCTTTTTCACCTTCAAAACAGCTTTATTTCTCCTAAATTATGATGTTAAATTTAGAGTACTCCAAACCTGGTTTAGATTGCTATTTTGTGAATGTTCAAACGAAAAAAAAATGCATCTAGATAAGGGATAGTAAATAGATTATATATTACTTACATGTTATTAGATTACAAATTACAACCGCAGCTTAAAATAACATACGTTTACCATCTCACAGTTTCTGTGAATCAGGACAAGCATGGTTTACCTTAGCTGGATCCTCTATAAGGCTGCCATCAAGGGACTGTCAGGGCTGGGGTCTCATCTGAGGCTCAACTGGAGAAGGATTCACTTCCAAGTTCAAACAGTTGTTAACAGCACTAAGTTCCTTAGACTGAACACTATGGAACTGAGTCCTCATCTGTTTGTCATCCAGATAGGTTCCTTGGCAAGTGAACCTCTCCACAGGCAACTCTCAACATGGCAGCTTATTTCTTCAAAGTCACCAAAAGAGAATGATGAAAGACAGCTATCACAATCTTACGTAATGAAATCATGGACACGCAATTACACACCTTTGCTGTATTCTGTTAGTAGAAGCAAATTCCAGATCATTTCCACTCTCAAGGGGAGAGGATTACTCAAAGGTGTGAAAAGTAAGAGGTGAGGATTATGGGGGGAAGCCTTGGAATATGTCCACCACAGGTTTTTAGAAAGCTAGTGGCAATTAATTGGCAACAGCTACCTACAATGTCAAGTCGGCAAAGATTCTGAACCTCAGCTCAGCTCATTCATTCAACATCTGTTTTTTTTAAACATGCACTATTTCTTCAATAAATGAGAAGAATATAGTAGAGAACAAGACAGATACAGACCTAACCATCACAGAGTTTCCATTCTCGTAAGTGGGGACAAAAATAAATTGCAACATCAGAGAGTTCATGAGGAGTTACAGAGAAACATCATCCCTTAGAGTTGAAGAGATTTTGAAATCTACTCACTCCGTGCCCTCATTACAGAGGCTGTGGTGATATGAGTGGGAAGGCCAACAAAGGCTGCAGCAATTTCACCAGCTCCACTGCTACCAGTTATGAGCTTTGTGAACTTAGGTGAATTCATTCACTACTCTGAGCCTTAGTTTTTACAGCTGTAAAATGGGGAGAAGATTGGAATAAGTGGTATCAATGGTTCTTTCTAGTTTTAATCTTTCATGGGTAAATTTTACATAAAACAGGAACCAATCTGTTAAATGATTTTGGTTTAAGGTTTTTAAGTAAATTTTTGTAAATTCTTATTATGTTCCTATTAGATTCAAAACATTAAATGATCATCCTCAACAACTTACATCAAAAGCAAGTGTTTTCCTTACAGTTCCTCTCAGGGGAGTCCAATTTACCATCTTCAGTTAATACCAAGAAAGTTATTGATTTATCAGGGTACATTTCTATTCATTGTTATTTATAGAGTTCTCCTCTTACAGTTGATAATTATGAGATCTCCTAATTTTGCCAATCTCTTGCTCTTTTGCAAACTCAAACCAATAACTCAGTGACAAAAGTCTGCCATGGGGAAGGAGGGCTGAGTCTCATGTGGTGTTTACCATTTTTCTTGTACATGCTTCAACTTTCAGACCCTAACAAGACTAATTGAGCAGAAGAAATACAAACACCAAATCCATGCAGAAAACTTAGCTGAGAAATTTACTCTTGCAAATGTCCATCTACACTACCTGAACTAGTGTAGACAGAACTCATCTCGCATTACCACCATCGCAAAAGTAAACCACATCAAGGTATAAAATATTCGCACCCCATCAATGTGATCAGGATCTTATGCTAACCTTCTTGTCCTCAACTGTAGTCATTTAGCAGAGATCTTGCTTTAACTTTTTTATCTATGTCCTGCCATAATTTGATCCCCTATGTGAGCTTATACTAACAACTGTACTAATGTAAGCCTGATGATCCACTAATTTTGCAGACAAGAGTTGATAAGGAATCATTTCAAAGAGGCATGTCTGTTCACCTTCTCTTAGAAAATATTGACAAATAGCAATAGTGTTCAAATCAGAAAACATTAGGTCCCCTGGCTATTTAAAAAATATCAGATAAGAACCTCCTCAACTCCTCAGCCCAATTGGAGTGTGATGCATTTTTTAAACTTTTTATTTTTTTTAATTCTTCAGTACTTTTTTAATGGAAAAAAATTATTCATGTTTAGAATATTAGTCTGTTTGGTTAATTGAGTCTAAAAATAAACACTGTTCCATTTGCCTACATGTTCTGAAAAACAGGTCTTTTATCGCTTCTTTAGATGAGATTATTCTTCTTGCCTTTTCCTTTGTTTTCATTTAAACATTTGTTAGCTTTTCAGCCTTGCAACTCAACAGGGATGCAAAATTTTAAAACATGTTATGTCAGGCCAGTACTAAAATCTAAATAAGTTTTAGGTAATGTAGTAACATAAAACTCAGTAGTCCATTACTTATGAAATAAGCATAAAATATATTCTAAAAATGTCACATTCTCATATACAAAAATCTTTTTAATATACTGTAGCTACAGATATTTTTTCATAATCATTCATTTATTTAATAAACTTTAATTGAGTTTCCTCTGTACTAGATCCCAGGTTTGGTGTTGGAGATAAGACTGTCTCTATTCCTGCCTTCAAGAAGTTTACAATCCAGTGTGATTGTTTCCAACACACACACATTTTCAAATGTACATTTCCCATTACCCAACACATGTGTCTCCAAAATTCATGTTAAAACTCATTTTGATAAAGTTAGTCAGTTTGCTTATGCCATTTAAGTAATCCTATGACATGGTTGATTCTTTCGTAATACAAACAATTTTTCTAATTTGGCATTTCAATTTTTGTATCTTGGGTTTATCAAAGCTATATGTAATTTATTCAGTTAGTCATACAGTTATGATATATTGGAAAGTACACTTAACTTGGAAGGAAAAAACTTTGTTTAAGTACAGGTTAAGACCTTAGGCAATTCACTGACAGCCTCAGTTTTCTCATCTGTAAAATAAGGGTAGTATCTCACAGGCTTGATGGGAAGAGGAGATGTAAAATGGTATGTGTGATAACCAGTCTGTACTAGGGACCCCAGTGATCCCTGCCTCCTGTCATCCATGTCGTTGTAAACTTTCCCCTCACACTGAATCAGCATTGGTCTATGTGACCCATAGGATATGATGGTGTGTGACTTCCAAGAAGAATCACGGGAGGCATTGCAGTACCACCATGTTCAGTTACATCACTCATTCTAGGTGAAGCCAGACACCATGTCATCAAGAACTCCAGCAGTCCTGTGAAGGGGCTCGTGTGGAAAGAAATTGAGGCCCCCCAACAACAGTCATGGGAGTGCATCATCTTGGAAGTGGATCCTCCAGCCTCCACCAAGCCTTCAGATGACTGCAGTCCCCACTAACATCTGACTCTAACCTCATGGAAGACCCTGAACCAGAGTACACAGACATTTTAAGAGTTAATAAGTCACTGGCTTTTGAAGTAATTTATTATGCTGCAATAGATAACTAATACAGAATGAGGGGCTTTTTACATTTTATTTATTTATTTATTTATTCAGGCGGGGATCTCACTCTGTCACCCAGGCTGGACTGCAGTGGCACAATCTCAGCTCACTGCAACCTCTGCCTCCCCAGCTCAAACCACTCTCCCACTTCAGCCTAGGGAATGTGAAAGTTCTGTGTAAATAACAAGTAGAAAAGTAAGTTGAAAGGAGTATCCTCTTTCAATCATTTATTAAACAATTATCCACAAACAGACCTCTTCATGCCCAGTTCAATGCTGAGCCTATAGTCACAGTGGTGAGCAAAACACAGACCTTGCCCTTATAGAGATTACAATGTAGCCAGGAAAAGAGGCAACTAAACAAATCATTAAAATAATGTGTGAAAATTGCCATGGTCAAGGGAATGCAGTATACATTTGGATCCTATATCAAGGGCAACTAACCTATTTGAAGAGGTCAAGGAAGGTGCTCTGGAGAAAAGAAATTTTGAAGCTAAGAGATTGCTGAGATGACCAGAGGTTAAAATAGACAAAGAGTTGCCTTTCTTCTTTAGTCAGCAAATTTGTAGTAAATGAGTTTGGCATTGAAAAATTCAGAATTGCCATACCAACTTCCATTCATTCTTTCAGCCAAAATTTATTGACAGCCTACTATGTGCCAGAAACTGTTCTAGTCTCTAGAGAGTCATTAGTAAATAAGGTAGACTAAAATTCCTGCCCTCGTCATTGGTGTTGAATGAAGTAAGAAACTATCCCTAGAGAGGAAGTCAAGTAATAATAATTAGGAGTATAGGCCTGGTGCAGTGGCTCACGCCTGTAATCCCAGCACTTTGGGAAGCCAAGGCGGGAAGATCACGAGGTCGGGAGATTGAGACCATCCTGGCTAGCACGATGAAACCCCATCTCTACTAAAAATAAAAAAAATTAGCCAGGCATGGTGGTGGGCCCCTGTAGTCCCAGCTACTTGGGAGGCTGAGGCAGGAGAATGGCGTGAACCTGGGAGGCGGAGCTTGCAGTGAGCCGAGATCGCACCACTGCACTCCAGCCTGGCAACACAGCAAGACTCCATCTCAAATAATAATAATAATAATAATAATAATAATAATAATAATAATAATAATGATTAGGAATATAAGTTTTGCACTCAGACCACCTGTTCAACTCCATACTCTGCATCTGACTGGCTTTGCGACCTTCGACAACATTTTTCACTGCTCTGTGCCTCAGTTTCCTCAAATGTAATAATAGCGCCTACCTCCTGGGTTGATGCAAGAAACGAAATAAGTTAATGCACATGGAGCCTGTGAACAATGTACAGCATATAGTAAGAGCTCAATAGACTTTAGCTCCTTTTGGCTTCCTTGTGATCATGCTTAAGAAGCTCAGGGCTTCACCATCTTAACTTACTTTCTCCTGTTCCCAGTTGAAGAAAAGGCACAAGGTTAAATTTAAAATACACAAGATCCTCACAAAGTAGGTCATTTCTGTTTCAGCATAAGGTTGACATCCTGAGTAATTTATTGCCTGAATAATTCTGAAACACAGAAATGCAAATGTACGAGAGTTCTAACCATGTTGCAGATGGAACAATGCTTCTTATCCAAGAACTCATTTCATCTGTTAAACAACCTCTAAAACAGGCTCTTTCTATACAATACTGCAACAACCTGTTGAGAAATAAGAAATTTAGTACAGTGCAGTCCCAAAGAAACTGTCTTTATATTTAAACACAATCTTTGAGAATAGTTTTGCAAGGCCAGGCTCAGTGGCTCATGCCTGTAATCCCAGCACTTTGGGAGGCTGAGGCAGATGGAGCACCTGAGGTCAGAAGTTCAAGACCAGCCTAATCAACATGGTGAAACCCCGTCTCCACTAAAAATACAAAAATTAGCCAGGCATGGTGGCATGCACCTGTAGTCCCAGCAACTCCGGAGGCTGAGACAGGAGAATTACTTGAACCCGTGATGTGGAGGTTGCAGTGAGCCGACATTGCACCACTGCACTCCAGCCTGGGTGACAGAGCAAGATTCCAAAAAAAAAAAAGGAAAAAAAAAGAATAGTTTTGCATTTGATAAAATATTTTGAGTGAATAAATAGAGACAAAAAAATAAAGTTGGCTTTGATAACAATAAACTCCAATTTCTTTCTTGTTTCCTTTATCCCATTTGTTTCTCTCCAGCCAGTTTTGAATGGAAAAAGATGGCCAGGAATGGAGGGTTCCTCAAAAATATTTCATCGCCATGTATTTTACTAACAAAGATTTCATGTCTCAGGCCCCAGAGAGTAGCCATAGCTATAGCACTTCAGTAAAAAGCAGACAATCATGAAATCATAGACACTAAAGGTGGAAAAGACCTTCGAGGTCATCCTGTCCACTCTCTTGTCAACTCATTCCTGTTCCCCGCAGCATATTCTCAGGGGCTTTTCAGCAGCCAACTTGTAAATGATTCCAGCACCACCAGCCCTGCCACTGTCCCCCTGGAGAGACTACTCCACTATCTAATAGACCTGTTAGGTAATTTTTTTTCCTTGATATTCAGTCCAATTTTGCCTTCTCTTAGTTTCATCCCATTATTCATCGATGTACCCCATTGGACCAAACTAAGCATCCCTTCTCTTTTAGTAAAGATGCCTTGTCAGATTAATTATGGCATCAGCAGCTTCAGGGAGCCACGTTCACAAGGTCCAGTACTGTAACATTTAGGGAGACAGATCCTGGCACGAATGCCTCATCTAGATATTTACAGAAACAATGCCACTGACTGCAAGATCTTTTCTTCTCTGTCCCTCATTATCTATTTCCACAGCTTGCTCAGGGTTCATGTGTTAAGGGCAGTAGTGTTTGATACTTTCACTTTCCCCTAAAATCCTTTCCTTTCTCTGGCTTCCTTTTTCTGGCTCCAGGATGATGAGAAGGGGGCTCAAGAATGCCCCCCCTTTAGATAGCAGTTTACCAGGCCACAGTCTTTTACATCCCAATAATGGATTCCAATATTCACTCCAGCCTTTAGCCCTGGGACATAACAGCCCTATTCTAACTCTCTAATTGTCTTGGATTTATAAAACTGAAGAGGACTTAGTTTCAACTTGGCTTTATTCATATTTGCAACTTAAGATGCCTGGTTTGTGTGTTGCTTTGGGGCAAGGCAGTTAACCCTATGTGTGTGCATACATGTGCATGTGTGTATCTTTGTAAAATCACTTTGTGGTATATACATTTTGTCATTGTTCCTTAGGCGTAAAAAGTAGTGACTATCAAACATAGTTTTGCCATAGTCTAAAAAAAAGCATTTTATATCACAACTCAATACATCATATTTGTGTGTATATACATATGGATATACAAAATGTATACATATATAGAGAACTAAAATAAAATTTCAAGAAACAATATTTATCCTCACCATGTGTGATGCACTCTATTTCCTATTCTCATCCTTTTCAGTTATTTTTAAATGCTGGCTCAACCCATTAAGGTGATTTTACAACCCAGACCAGCAGTCTGGAAAGCCTATGGAGAGGTCCCACCTTCAACTCTGACCCTAGAAGTGGTTGGTGTTCAGTGCAGCCTCTGCCTTTCCTCCAATCCTCACTGTGACCAGTGGCCAGACTCCCAGGAAGCCTCATCCCACTTGGAAACCAGCAGGCTTAGCCCCCCTGCCACAGGCAGTTTCTGGTTCCCTGACCTCAGCTCCCAGAGCAGAGGAGGACACAGGTTGATATCATTCAGAAGCATGCCCAGCCGAGTCGCCAAGCCAACTTTCTCCCAAGAGGCTCAATGCCCATCAAACACACTGTGGATCAGGAGTGGCACCAGCAGATACAGGTGCAGAGACCAAAAGTCTTTCTGAGATTGTTTTTATAATCAAGCTCTGAGGTGTAAGCTTCATGGAGTGGCCAGATTTGCCCATTTTGTCAAACCCATCAATAGCAGTATCAAGGGACATGAAAAGACACATCTCAAAAAGGGTTTTCAATGACATAATATTATTAGTATAATTACTGCAGTTCTTGGGGTCCCTTTTAAAATATTTTCTTTATCCTCAGGACTTTTCTGTTCCCTTGGTGTTTATTTATATTAACTACATTATATGTGAGACTCAGGGAGGTTATTTAAAAGCTTTAAATATAATACATTTCTCTGAAGCTTTTTTTTTTTTTGCTTTTATAGTTAGTTTCATATTTGGCTCTTCTTAAACAAGTTAAATAATAAATCTTCTCTAAAATGACGATTCCCCTCTCTAAAAAGTAAAAAACATCCCATGCCACTCATACCTGCATGGAGTGGAAGATGCCTATTCCTGTCTTGGACCACCTATCCAAGGATAACCCTGAGTGCCGGAACCAGAGCTCCCACAACATTGGTATACAAATCAACCTCCCTTCATGGACATCTGGTTTACAGAGGCCTGCATTACATGGCAGCTTCAACCAAGTCACAGGGATCTGATTAGTGCCATTTTGCAGCTGAAGCATCCAAGGCTCAGGGAGATGGAGCAATGGGACCAAAGAACCTAAGAAAGAACTAGAATTTAACTCAGTGCTTCTGAATCCAATGCCTACTCTCCTTTGTCTCCAAAAAGAGTGCCTCCTATGAATGCTCATGGGTTTCTGTGTTAAAAAAAAAAAAAAGCAATTTTTTTACCTAATAAAAAATCTATTACTTAAACATTTTTTTTCATGAAGACATACTTGAAAAATAAAAATTGAAGTCAAGGTTGAAATATGATTTGGGGCTGGGCATGGTGGCTCACGCCTGTAATTCCAGCACTTTGGGAGGCCAAGGCAGGTGGATCACAAGAGGTCAGGAGTTTGAGATCAGCCAGGCCAACATGGTGAAACCCCATCTCTGCTAAAAATACAAAAATTAGCCGGGTGTGGTGGTGGGTGCCTGTAATCCCAGCTACTCAGGAGGGTGAGGCATGAGAATCACTTGAACCCGGGAGGCGGAGGTTGCAGTGAGCTGAGATCGTGCAACTGCACTCCAGCCTGGGGGATGAAGTGAGACTCTGTCTTCAAATATATATATATATATATACACACACACACACACACACACACACACACACACACATATATAAAATATATCTAATAAATCATATATATTTTATATCTAATAAATCATATATATTATATACATACGATTTGATGAACACAGTTTCATTTTAACCCCCAAATATATGTAGTAATATATATATACACATATACACATATATAGAAAGACTATCATACATTTTGTGAAGGCAAAATAGAATACTAGAGAGGAGGCATGACTCACCCTTTTAAAAATAGCAAAAAAAGATTATTTTTCAAAAAATAAATAAGGAAATGGCTATATTTTTTAAATGGACTATGAAAAAGCAAGCTTACTGTACATTCAAAAATGTATTTGATTTTATCTTTAAAGACTTTCTATACCATTTAAGAAACATCTATTAGATTAAGTGTGGTTAACCAGTATCTTAGCTCTACCAAACTGCACAAGAAAGCAACCAGAAGTTTTATCCATATTTAAAATTGGGCTATCTGAACTGGCCTCAGCACTGGTAACAATGATTAGGATGAACACATTTCTGTAACCCTCTAAGTTTATGATTAAAGCCAGAGCCCCTGTATTGACTCTGGGAGGCTCACCCTCCTGGCATGTAGTAAGCGGCACTCCCTCTGGACATAAGGTGGTACTCACTGGCTCCCTGCCTTTCCAAAGCAGTCTTTTTTTTTTTTTTTTTTTTTTGACACCATCTCGCTCTGTAGTCCAAGCTGCAGTGCAGTGAACACGACCACGATTAACCGAAGCCTCCACCTCCCAGGCTCAATCAGTCCTCCCACTTCGGCCTCATGACTATAGGTGCACACCACCACACCCAGCTAATTTTTGTATTTTTCCGTAGAGACGGAGTTTCACCATGTTTTCCAGGTTGGTCTCAAACTCCTGAGCTCCAGCGATCCACCCACCTCAGCCTCCCAAAGTGCTGGGACTACAGGCGTGAGCCACCAAAAGCAGTCCTCAACCTTGTTTTGGTTTCACACTTGTGAGAGCCGCATAAGAGAAACCTCTGTCCAACTTTCACCTTTCTACTAAAGCCAACATGCACATGTGTTTATACACTCAAAAGGCCTCATCAGTCATTTCTGCTTCAATGGAAACCCAGATGAGGAGACAAACTAGGAATACAGAATGAAGAGGAAAATGAGTGGCCAAGGAAATCTTCAATGGAATGTGTCTTTCAGACATTTCACATACGTTCAGAAGAAGCTGCACTCCAGCACAGTCCAGGCATTCTCCAGCCAAAGATATTGACTTGAGATTTATATGATACAGTGCCTCTGATCATTTAAAAATAATTCTGACCTCCATCCCTGAATCTTTTAAGCCTTAAGATATATGTGGGTAATAAAAAATGTAAATGGATTGAGAGTTTGGTTCTCGTGAAATAAGATGGTTAGCTTCAAGTTAACTTGTCTAGACATGTGAATAAAGTGTTTTGCAACTGGAGGGCCCACTAGGGTCAAGATAGGTTTTTCTGGGCCTGTCCTGTGGCTGCATAATTTTCCATGAGCTCAACTCACCTCACGGAACAACTCTAAAAATACGAAAGAAATAATTAAAACTCAACATATGGGAATGCCTGTGGTCTCTGCTTCATTTTCTGCCTCCTTTCTTTTTGTATCACAGCTTTCCGGAGGTGGTATGCAGGGAGTGTTTGGTTATCTGAATCCTCCCAACCTGCAAAGACTGGATCCCAGACCATCTTTCTGCTTCAGCTCACTGAGGCTGTATTGGTCTAAATCAATAGGAATGGTATCACCCTAGGAATCCACAGGTGCAATTTAGGGCAGCGTAATACTGGGAAGGGCACTGCAGGCATGAGTGGACGGGACCAGCAATCAGGACTCCTGAGGGCAGACCATGCCATTGGTACACACGTCCTTAGGCTCCAGAGGGGTGGCCAAGAGGCAGTGTTAGCAGGGGATGTGGACAAAGTGGGGATATGTGGATTAGGATATTCACCCCATACACGAGTCCCTCGCAGTGTAGGTCAGCACTGGAGAATGAGAACAGAGGCCTATGCCACCCAGGACCTCTACACAAGAACTGGGACCATGGACCGCCTAGATCCCACTCCACCCCAGGAGAATCTGAGAGTCCGTGGAAAAGAACTAGGAGGAAAACATCTTGGAAGTCGACAGAAATAAGTAATTAATAGCCACGACCTTGGGCTTTACAATGTGTGAACTTGTGTGAAATAGAAAGGAGGATGAAGATAGAGATAATAGACTCCGGGAAAACTATGTATAGCTGAGAACTAACAAAGTAAAAAAAGAAAAAATGAAAATACCGGGTTGCTTCATACCAATCATAGTCATTTATATGAACTGTTTACCATTTGTACTTACATACATCACAATCATGATTTTATATATATATAATATGCATATGTATATAAGATGTAAAAATTGCAGTTTCAACAGAGATACCAAAATACCATAGATGTGAAAATCCAAAATGTGGACTGGACCATTCCAAGGAAATGAACTGTAACTAGTTTCACAACCCTTGAGCCCCTTACTCACTTGGAGAATATAAAAGAACAGAAAGAGAGAAAAAAAATCTGTCAGAAAAAATTTCCTCTAGAAGAAAACATGGACTGCCCACCCCCAACTCAAACCTTGACATTGAGGCAGGACAGGGGATACTTCAATAAGCTGGTATTGAGACCTTGGGGTTTGGAAACAGAGTGGATGCCACCCAAATCTAGAATCCAGGAGCCTGACCAAGGAGCTGCTTTTGCAGAGGAGGGTAACACGCAGGTTAAAGAGCTCACCACATTTCCTACAGAGACTGGTGGCTGCCTTAAAAGAGTGCACTTCAGAGCCTGAATGCCTAGGTCTGAAACTCTGACACTTAACAGCTGTCGGTATTGAGAAAGTTGTTTAGCCTCTCTGGGACTCAGTTTCCTCATATGTAAAACAGAGATAATAAAAGTACCTACCTCATAAAATCGTTGTGAGAATTAAATGGGCCAATATATGTAAAATGGTACCTGGCACAAGGTCAGTGCCATGTCACTGCATGTTATTAACCAGATGGAGACTCCCCCCAGGAGGCTGAGCCACCTAGAGCCATTTTAAGTCCCAGAGGACTGGGGTCCTTTGTGGACTGGATCCCCGGAGAACAGCGACCTCCAGGGAGCAGTCTCCCAAAGGAAAAGCATCATGCACATCAGGGCCGTTCAAGCCACAGGATCTGGAACCTCTGGAGCCCGCATGGAAGTGCCCACAAAAGAAAGAAGCAGAAGAAACAGCAGCCAGGATCAAAGGATCCAACCCTGACTTACAACAGTGTCCTTCACTCCAGGACTTTTCATGCCCTGTTCCCTCCTACTTCCCCATTGAGGGGTCAATTACTGCAGTCAGCCAGAGGGCAGAGAAAGTGACCCCAAAAGAGGGAAATGAGTCCAGGAATCTTCCCAACCCCCACCCCACCTTAAGCATGCAACCCACAAGGGGCCTCACTCCATACGGAGCTATGTGACCTTATATTATATTGGGACTCTAGATTATTACATAAGACTGGGCGTTCTAAGGACAGTGGGAGAATGTATGAGTCAGGATTCTCCAAAGAAACAGAGCCAACAGGAGTATGTATGTGTATATATAGAGAGAAAGAGGGAAGGAGAGGGAGATTTTAAGGAATTGGCTCACATGATTGTGGAGGCTAACAAGTCCAAAATCTGCAGGGCAGGACAGCAGGCTGGAGACCCAGGGAAGAGTTGACATTGCAGCTTAAGGCTGAAAGCAGACTGCTGGCAGTGTCTCCTCTTCCTCAGAGGAAATCGGTCTTTTTTCCATTAAGGCCATCAATTGACTGGCTGAGGCCCACCCACATTGTGAAAGGTAATCTGCTTTACTCAGTCTACCGATTTAAGTGTTAATCTAAATACCTTCAAAGAAACATCTAATGTTTGACCAAATAACCAGATAGCATGACCTAGCCAAGTTGACACATAAAATTAACCAGCACTTAGAAAAATATGCTTCATGTTAACATTGATCACATCCCACAAACAGGTATGTTTCATGTACCCCTTCTACACACACACACACGTACGCACACACACACACACACAATTTGTTGTGTGCTTTATATTAAAATAGTGAAGGACATGGATATGGACTTTGTTTTTTTGTTATTAATGGTATAACAAATGCTGGAGTGGGGTGGGGTGGGATCTAGGCAGTCTGTGGTCCCAGTCCTCGTGTAGAGGTCCTGGGTGGCATAGGCCTCTGTTCTCATTCTCCAGTGCTGACCCACACTGCAGGGGACTCGTGTACGGGGTGAATATCCTAATCCACATATCTCCACTTTGTCCACATCCCCTGCTAACACTGCCTCTCGGCCACCCCTCTGGAGCCTAAGGATGTGTGTACCAATGGCATGGTCTGCCCTCAGGAGATAAAGGGTCTTGGAAACAGGCTTGTGGCTTTTCAGGCAGGAAATCTGGGATCCTGGGGAGCTGTGGGGAAGGACAAGCCAGTGGAGCGACAGATCTGCCCCGAAGCGTGTGTCCCAGCGTTGGGACCTCTTGTTCTGTCTGAAGGCAGTCCTGATTGCTGGTCCCGCCCACTCATGCCTGCAGTGCCCTTCCCAGTATTGTGCTGCCCTAAATTGCACCTGTGGATTCCTAGGGTGATACCATTCCTATTGATTTAGACTAATACAGCCTCAGTGAGCTGAAGCAGAAAGATAGTCTGGGATCCAGTCTTTGCGGGTTGGGAGGATTCAGATAACCAAATACTCCCTGCATTTCTCTATTCCTCACTCAATTAAAATGAACATTGCCTGTCTTCCAAAGAGATCGTGAGTTATACATGGAAAAGTACAAAGCTGTCTTCTGTATCTTTGCACTTCTAGCCTGGGGGACAAGGAGTATTGGTCTATGTTCAACGTGGACTTGCTTCCTGATTAGGCCTCCTTTTTGTAAAAGGAATGTCAAGTCTCCATCTAAATCATGTGACTGGATTTTTAGAGAATCAAGTTGACAAATGTAGCCCCCTAAGTAGAGAATTCCTCCTCTGCCTTTACTTGGAGGTAAAGTCAGCAGTGTGGGGGAAAAAAAAAGCCAACAAGGAAAGCAAAGGCATACCCCATGTTAGCTGTTGAAGGTTTTCTCAACCACAGTTATGGCAGCTTTACTTACAAACATCTGTTGGGCACCTACAATTTGATAATGGCTATCCCCTTTTAAAAGTTTTCATCCTTTTTCTAAGCAATGCACAGATGTACTTCATTCCCTGGGACAAGATGTACTTGTCTCCCTGGCCGAGGCCACGCTGAGAGTTCTAGACCAGAAGTGACATCATCTGGCTTCCAGCTTCAGCTGCACCACTATCTTATTTTGTGACGTCAAGTTAGTCACTAATCTTCCTGGCCCCTTTTTGCTTCCTCTCCTATTATAGGATGGCAATTATAATGGCTTGATTACTCACGGACTTGTTATAAGGATTAGTGAGATAGTATATTTGAGAGCACTTTTTAAAGAATAAAAGTAAATACAAATATAAGGTGTTCTGGAGATTTTTCCTACTGGCCTTCTTTTAGGAGAAGCTGACAGAACCAACTGGTAATAATATAAGATAATAGCCTCATTAGGGTGGCTTTCTATCTGCTTGATACCCCACCAGGGCTCCTCAAAGGGAAGATGCCAGCAAGGCTGGCCTTACGACTTTCTACTCCCAAAGAGTTCTTCCCTCGGCCTATTATTTATATCTGATATTCAATCACTAGAGGGTCATTCCTTTGAGCTAAACTGTTCCCTCAAAAAGCAGCTCAGTAAGTTATTAGGTTATTTAGAGCCTTCTCTGTTTTAATGTGTATTGGTTTATTAGGCCCAGTCTAACAAAACAGCTAGAAGAAAAGATGTAGTTGGAAGGTAGGAAAGAGGGATCAGGAGGGATCAGTGAAAAACTTTCTTTTACAGATTGGGAAACTGAGGCTTAAAAGAATGAAGGTAATTGTTCACTATCACACAGCAAATTAGGGAAAGAACTGCAGCAGTCTTTAAGCTGTGTGTCTTCTCTACTGTTTGAACTCCACGCTGACAATTTCTCTGTACCAAATGGATTAGAAAAAATACTTTGTTATTAGAAATCTACTCAACTAATGGGCTCTATTTAGAACCTCACCAAATTCTAGGTGCACAGTAAATAATCAGTAAATACTTTTTAATTGTTAAAAAGCTTTATTATAGGGCATTGGAGTTATTTCTCCAACTGCTTTCAACTTTACAATCACATTTTTATCTGCATAGCTTATAGGGTGGTTATTATCTAGCCCAAGAACAGGAAACTAAGGTTCTGAAAGGTTTCATACCCATCCACAGTAGGCAGGGAGCCTGGCTAGAACTTTGGTGTCCTAACTTGCTGCCTGGTGTTCTTCCATGGCCTGGAATCAGCACCACTGCGGGAGCCAAAAGAGTGAATGTGGGTGCTGCGGCAGCAGATGGCTCCTTGCTGCCTTGGGAGGTGACTTTGTGTCCTCAGGAAGCTTTCTCCACCCTCATGGTGATGGCAGACAGGCAGGCACCGCTTTCATGAGTTCAGTTTATAGTGGGGAAATACTGGGCTTGCCAACATGCCCTGTGCTCCCACACAGGGCAAAAGAAGTGGCCCAGCCTTTGCCTTCAGGGTTCCCAGGTTGCCACCCTCAGAGATTCAGTTCTAGCTGCCATGCATCATAATTTTTCCCTGGGTCATCTAAAAGTCCTTCAGGCAAAATTAATGCCTTTTCTTTTTGCAGTGCACACACACACTTTTTACACAGTTTTGAAGTTATTTACATATGACTATTTTCTCCCACTTGACTTTTAGACAACAGTGTCAGAACTTTCTGCTGTGTTTTTATCTTTGTATCTCCAGTGCCCAGCTTGAGTAACATGGAGGTTTGACAAATATTTGTTTACATGAAATTAGGGTGGCCACGATGCCCCCTGGCAGGGGTAAAACATTAAATCATGAACTCTTCAGTCTCAATGAGCTTGTCTTGGGTCTTTAATGAAGACAGGTGCCCTGGGACAGCAGGTGCCCTGGGACAGCAGGAGCCTCAGTCTCTTGAACGTATGGGGGAAAGAAGGAGGAGGTAGCTGAGAAGGAGGCCCAGAATAGACAAGGAAGTCTTGATTCCAGAATCCCAGGTCCCAGAACTCTCTTCATTTTATTGCAGGTCCTTTCAGTTCCACCTGAGGAGCAAACTTGCTCAAATATCTGTGATTCGGGACAGGAAAGCTGCAAATGCTGATACCAACTAAGCCCGTGTGGATTGTTAAGACAGTGACTCTCGGGCATTTCTACACCTCCACAGGCCTCCTCTTCCACTCCCAGAAATTTACATATGACTATTTACATAGGACTATCCTTCTTTCCTCCATACATTCAAGAGACTGGGGCTCCAGGCTGAGCACGGTGGCCATGCCCGTAATCCCAGAACTTTGGGCAGCTGATGCAGGCAGATCACCAGAGGTCAGGAGTTCGAGACCAGCCTGACCAACATGGAGAAACCCCATCTCTAATAAAAATATAAAATTAACCGGGTGTGGTGGTGCGTGCCTGTAATCCCAGCTACTCAGGAGGCTGCATCAGGAGAATCGCTTGAACCCGGGAAGCGGAGGTTGCGGTGAGTCGAGATCGCACCATTGCACTCCAGCCTGGGCAAAAAGAGAGAAACTCCATCTGAAAAAAAAAAAAGACTGGTGCTCCTGCTATCCCTGAGCACTTGTCCTCCCAGAAATGTGGGCTCAAGGAGTAGATCTGGTTGTCATTGTTCAAAGAAGAGAACTCAGACAGAAACAACTGGTGCTGCCTAGGTGGGCCATTATCATCTTTTCCAGGAATGACTGGGAGTTCTTGTTTCCCTCACCCCCAGGTAGATTTCCCAAAAGTTCGGGCGTGTGCCTGTAGTAGGATGAAGCGGAATGTCCAGATATGGATGCAGGGCCATAGGGGAGTCTGATGGGGTTGCTCAGTACTGCGGGGAAAGATAGAGGAAGAAATCCCCCTGTGCAACAAGAGGAAATAAAATCAAGTTCTGAATAAATCAAAATCGTCTAGATTTTGTTTCATAGACATAGGCAACATTCCTTTAGACTGGGGAATATAGAGTTACTGTTCTTATCTCTATAGCGCATTGTGGCATTTTCAGATTCTATTTGTTGTTGATTTTTAGGCAGTCCAGTGCTAATTATATGCCCAACACTGCTCATGGGTTAATCTATTAAGATTTTTCATCAGGTCTATGGGCTAGATATTATTGTGCCCAATTCACATGTATGGACATTGAGAGAGATGAATTCGCTTCTCTAAGATCACACAGCCAGTAACCAGCAAAACAAAGTGATTCATATTCAGGCCTTGTTGATTCCAAAGCTCTGGCATCTTTCCATATCCCAGGCCATTTCTTTATCCTACCATCCCCCTGCCCTGCTTCAGTGAGGCTTTTCTGGGGACCAAGAAGGTGCAGAACATTGTGTTAGTTCATGTGGAAGTAATGAAAGAAGTAGAAGCCCTGCCTCTCTATCCTCTACAGTGTCATCGACAATGAATAAAGTACCCAGCAAAAGCTGATGACTAAGAGGTATACCTCCCTTTGTGTGATCTAAGATGTGATAAGTCAAATGCATCGGTCCTACTCAAGATGAAGCTGAGAAGCCCTCATCATGCCACCCAGAAGAACTTGGAGATTACTCAGTTTACACAGCATTACCACTCATGGCTAACATTTTGCTTTTGACCATTTATTCTTGCATAATTTTTAAACCCAGGAATTAGGAGAATTTGTTGGGAAATCAAGGTATGCAGTAGTAAATTTAAGCAAAGTCCATTTCTTCTCCATATGTTATTATTCTTAGAATCTTATCATGAAGTTTTAAAAACATAAAACTCACGCATTGAAAGAAATGTATTTAAGAGAAGGAATCTATACTAAGAATAAATCTGGAAATGTAATGAAACCTGAATCATGGCATAAAGTCAGGCATTTTAAATCCAAAATATATGCTTGACTATTTTGCCATGGAGTCCAGACCTCCAAAGTCCAAATGCTTTACACTGGGCTAGAAGAGCCTTTACAGTCTGGTTGCAACTTAACCTCCCACCCTCAGTTCCTCTCTTTTCCTAAAACACAGCCACGGGCTGCATCATCTCATGCTCTTCCAGAACTTTATGCCTTTGAGCACACTGCTCTTTTTGCCTGAGTTGCCTCTTCACCGTCTAGTGATTCATCCTTCTAATCCTTCTAAACCTTCTGTTACCTCCTCTTTAACTTTTTCTTCTGTCCTTGCAGGAAATATTCTTACTCCACTTCTCATAACGCTATAACCAAAGTAGCCAAGAACTCTGAGCAGTGCCCAGACTGAGTCCACTGCTGAGAATAAGATCTGTTTGGGGATGTCCAATGAGTGGGTGGAACCTCCTGGGTTAGAACTTCTAAGAGAAAAGGGACTCATGCAAAACAGTCTTCTTCATAGGAGAAAGAATCACAGAGCGGGGTGAGATATCCCCATCCAGGCCCTGATGAACTTATGTCTGCTTCCCAGGGAGCGAGATCGCTGTGAGTAAAACCCAATAGTTCTATTTCTCCTTAAACCTCTGTAAGATGTTGGGGAACAACTACCTTGGGTTTCGCCATCTATGCACATTGTATGCACACAAGAAGGCTGCAGTTGAAGCAGAAGTTGTGGCTAAAGGAGGCAGGGAAGAAAAGGATGTCTGCAGAAGGATAGTGCCCAGCAGCAGGGGCAGCAGAGCCCAGAGGGGGAAGCCCACCCAGTGGCCAGGACAGAACCATGAGAAGAAGAGGAATAAGGAGTGGTTGCCATATTAGCTGACTGGCCTCGGATGTGAGCACATAGAAGACAACTGGGTGCCACAGGAATGCCAGGAAGGGGCATTCCAGGAAGCTAGGTAGGAACAGAAAACAGTGACTGACATACAGGTTACATCACTACAGCACTTATAGACTTGTTTTGGTGTTGAATGAGTGTCCATCTCCCATCCTGCCCCTTCTAGCCAGAAAAAATCCACAGGGAGTGACCCTGCCTTTAGTCTATTATATCCCTCTCCCCACAAGGAAACTTGCACTACATCTGGAACATGGTGCCTTGTGGTCAAGACATCAATGAATGAATGATTGGATGGATGGATGGATGGATGGATGGATGGATGGATGGATGGATGGTTAGGGACACTGGTAGGGACATTGCTCATTTCAGGAAAAGCAAACAACATAAACAAGAGCATGGCAATGGAAATAAGCAAGCGTGAGGAGGACATAGGGAGAAAACACCAGCCTGACTCTCAAGTTACAGGTGAATATTAGGGAGTGGTGAGAAATTAGATAGACAGTAGAGAGGGAAGGTAGGGCCTTGTGATGAGGAGCCTTAAAAGCCAAAGAGGTTAGACTCAGGGCAACAGGGAACTCAGAGTCTTTGTGAGCCAAAGAGTGTATATGTGTGTGTGTGTGTGTGTGTGTGTGTGTGTGTGTGTGTGTGTGTATCTGTATACCAACCAACTTGTCAGCAATGGGGAAAAAAAATTGAACTTCAGTCAAACCTTTGTTCCTTAGGATCTATATGATGTTAAATGACAAGTTGAAATTGGTTCTCTCATCCAGTTAATTTGCTCAGTTGGTTTTCAGGTTTGGTTCCAGTTGGTTTTCAGTTGCTTTTAGGTTTGGTTTCAGGGAATATTTTGAGGGCTGAGTACAGGTACTTTTTTGTTGACTTGTTTAATTGTAGACACAATGTGCATGTTAAGCCTGCTTTCCAGGTGAGAACACTGAATATCAGATAAATGAAAGGAGCTTTTAATAAAGCTTGACAACAAATAGACCCCCATATACTTGGTCTGTTTGTTGGACGAAGAGTTTTTACCAAGTCTGTTCCTTTCTATGGGTGTTTGAGAGAATAGCCTGCCTCTAACTGCACCATCTCTGCAGCCCTCAGAGCCTTTGATAACTGAACTGCGCTGCTTCTGGCTCCACTCTCTGCGCAAGCACCCAGATACTGAAACCACCAGCTTGATCTTCAGACATTCCAGAACTACCACACTTTCACAGAATGTGCTTTAAGCCCCAAAGAATCCTCTGCCACCTGCTTTATTCTATTCTTTCTTTGCTTGTGAGCAAAGCCCAGTGGAGCTGAAGAAGAAAGAAGAGGGAGGGAGGAGAGGAGAAAGACAACTTTGTTTCATTTTTTAGTGAGGCAGCCCACTTTCCTTAGTTTCCCTACCTTCAGTGTAGGGGGCAGATATAATTATGTTTATTGGGGAATTTTACTTCTAAATTCCTTTAAAACCCCTGCAAATCAGTGGGTGTCTTAGTGCACACCTGTAGTCCCAGCTACTCAGGAGGCTGAGGCAGGACGATTGCTTGAGCTCAGTAGGTCGAGGCTGCAGTGAGCCATGATTGAGCCACCACACTCCAGCCTCAGTGACAGAGTGAGAACCTATCTTTAGGAAAAAAAAAAAATCAATTAAAATGGAAGAAAAAAGAGAAAAAGTCAAAGTAGGAAGGAAAAGAAAAAGAAAAAAGTAGTGGGAAAAGAAAAAAGAAAGAAGGGATGAAGGGAAGGAAAGAAACAATCCCATGGTTTTAGGTCTTCTCCTTGCCCCTATACAGATCACTCCCAAATAATTTCATGACCACTCAGCACATCTGCCCCACCTGCTCCACACACCCTTTAAGTTGGCTTAGAATTTTACTAAGTTTTCAGCTAATAAAATTATCCTTATTCATAGGACGTGCTCTCCAGGTACGGCATGAGTGGCCCAACCTTCACTTCTTTGGGAATTTGCACATTGTTGGTAGGTGTGCCTTTATAGGCTGATTATATTTTATAGATGATTCCTTTTTCAAAAACAGATGTCTCCAATGTCTTATCTCCAAGACAAAGTGCCAAAGGCCTGGTCTTCATAAGCCACTGAATAGGAGCCAGTGAGAACATGTACAATGAAAAAAGGCAGTATGCACCTCTATGTGGGTCCTGGACAAAACTTTTAAGGTGCTTTAATTATTGTCATAATGACTCAATGGTCAGATTTCTAAAGGTAGGAAAATAAAGATTTTTAGATACTTTTATGGTCATGTGTTATTTATTACACTATGAGAAGTCGTCTTTTTATCTAGGTGTCTGTACCTGATTATAGTTATGATAAAAATAATATGTCGTATTTTTATAGGCCTCAAATTCCAAAGGCCCTTGAGCACCTCATATCATCATCATCATCATTATTGTTACTCATAGCTAATTATACACTGACAGTCTCAGCATGCAAGTAAGAACACTTGTCTATTATCTGACTCATTTGCAATGGTAAGGTCAATGGTTCAAATCCTGGGAAGGATGCTGATGAGCAAAGGTGGTTGCTGCCTCACAGGTGCTCCATGTCAACAGGACTGGAGGCTGTAGTCTCTGAGGTATGGCTGCAGTGTCAAAGTTGCTGTCATAGCTCAGGTCTGGGAATGAGCCATCACCTGAATTGGCCTGGGCTGGCTGATGATCACATGGTTAGGATTTTCTGAGGCTTTCTCAGTTTCAAATACATTTCTCTTTTAACAGCATATTAGTTTGCTAAGGCTTCCATAACAAAAAAAAAAACACACAGTCCAGGTGGCTGAAATAACAGAAATGTATTTCTTCAGAGGTCTGGAGGCTAGAAGTCCAAGATCAAGGGATCAGCAAAGCTGGTTTCTTCTGAGGCCTCTCATTTTGGCTTGTAGATGGCCGTCTTCTCAAGAAGTCCTCCCTCTGTGTAAGTCTGCGTTCTGATCTCCCCTTCTTATAAGGATGCAGGTCATTTGGCCCACCCTAATGACCTCATTTTAACTTAATTACCTCTTTGAAGATCCTGTTTTCAAATACAGTCACATTCTAACGTATTGGGGTTAGAACTTCAACATATAAAATTTAAGGGGGACATAATTCAGTCCATAGCAGACAATATCTCAACTTGAGGTTCAGAAAATATGTATTGTATGATTCATATTGTCCCTTTCACCCAATCTTCAACCAAAATCTGACATTCCAGTTAGGGGCAAGAGATAAAACTCTTCCCCGTGATTTTCCAAGAGATAAAACTCCTCCCCATAGTTCCCACTCAAGGTCAAGCCTAAAGTCATCTCCTCAAAGAGGCCTTCCCTGACTCTGGAAACTAATGTTGTCATGTACCCAACCCCTGTATCACATTACCCGACTTACTTTTTTCATAGCATTTATCACTATCTGAAATTACCCTGTTCCTCAATTTGTTTACTTGTACACAGTTTATCTTTCCCACTAGACTAAATTCCAAAGCAACAGAAGCCTATTCAGGGTTTGTAGCTGGATCCCAGGACCTAGGAAAGAACTCAGCACATAGTAGGGTTCAAAATATGTTTATAAAATAAGGTGCTTGAAAGGGTAGCAAGTAGAAAGATGATTTTCTTAAGTGAATGTAGTCCTCCTGGGGGGAAAGTTAGCAGCCTGTTTCCTAAGAGTTTCACAAAAGGACCTTTGCTCCCTGATGAATGTACCTAGATCCAGTCACAAAGGTTCAGAAACCAGGTTTTGTCATCACTCAAAAGACAAGTCTATCACTCAGAGGAAGATGCACATTATACCAAGCTCACCAGGCTGATGTACTAAAGTGGATGCCATTTTAGTTAATTGCACTGAGCAATATCTGTCCAAGCACTGAATACCTAAAGTGCATGTGACCAGCACATCCTACCCATGTAGGTAGACCTACAGGGGAGGCCAAACACAGTCCCAAGGCTATGCAGTACACACGGACTTTGTGTGGAACGGAGTCTGATTAATTGAACATTTAATTACAACTAGCTAAATGCTCTAATCTCACAGAAGTTCTTGCCAATGGTCCTAGAGGACCCATCTTTCAGTGTTAGAGGCTCCTGGTCAGTGTTCGCAAGGGGTAATGCTGGCTTCAAAGACTTTCCCTGTAGGTTTCTGGGGGCTGGCCAATCACCTCTCTCATTGATGTACTCTTGCTTGAAGTATGTGAATTTAGTCCCTCACAGTCAAGTCTTGGTCTGGGAACTAATCTGTCTGTTAGAAGAGAGTTCCCACATCCCTGCCTTGATTTATTTCAAACACTTCCATCTCAGAGAGCAAGCATTTCTCTCATTCCAAGCCTTAAGTATTAGCAAAATCAGAAATATTGGACTCTATGTAGTTAGCATATATTCATTCAAAAATATGCATTAAGCACTTTTTACGTGTGGGGGGGAATGAAAATACAATGATGAATAAGATAAAGATCTCTCTCCTCAAAGTGCCCACTTTTTAGTGGAAGAAAAGGACAATACACAAGTAAACAAAGGAACAAACAAGAAAGTATCAGGGAATGACGCAGGCTATGATGAAAACTCAGAGAGGGCAATGTGGAAAATGACCTCCCTTCTCAAAAGAAGGGACAATGAAGTTGAAAACAATGACAGGAAGGCACAGCGTGTACAGATCTAGAGGAAGAGCATCTTCAGAAGAGGATACAACAAGTGCAAAGGCCCCTGAGCAGAGCACACATGGGGGGCAACAGGCTCCGAGGAGCAGCAAGCAGCTGGCAGAGGCATTAGCAGGGTATGCGGTGGGGAGCATGACGCATTGGGAGGCTGCAGGCACAAAGAAGCCAGGCCTCCCTAGGCTGGTAGCAAGAGTGCAATGGGAAGCTGTTGAAGAGTTTTGACCAGAGAAGACACATGATCCGATTTACTTTTTAAAATATCACTCTGGGTGCTGTGTGGAGAGTGGATTACAAGAGACAAAGATGAGAGCAGAGAGACCAGTTAGGAGGCCACAGCTGTAGACCAGGAGAGAGATGATGGCAGTGGGGACCAGTGGGAAGCAATGAAGATGAGAAGTGGCCAATTCAGATCTGCTTTGGAGGTAGAGCTGGCAGTTAGGTTTGAGACGCCTATCAGTCAAGTGGAAATGCCAAGTTGGTCATTGTAGAAAAGAATCTAGAGTTAAAGAAAGAGTTTAAAGTTAGAGTTATAAATGTTTAAGTCATCAGCATATATATTGTAGTTAAAGCTGTTTGCCTGGCTGGAATCACCCAAGAAAACAGTATGATTGAGAACAGAAGCAACCCTGGTACATTGTAACATTCCCATCTGTGATGGTTAATTTTAGGTGTCAACTTGACTGGGTTGAGGGATACCCTGATAGCTGGCGAAGTATTATTTCTGGGTATGTCTGTGAGGGTGTTCCCGGAAGAGATTGGCATTTGAATCAGTAGGCTGAGTAAGGAAGATCCACCCTCACCCAATGTGGGCAGGCACCATCCAATCAGTTGAAAGCCCAGATAGAACAAAAAGGCAGAAAAACGGCAATTTTTTTCTCTCTCTGCTGAAGCTGGGACATTCATCTTCTCCTACCCCTGGATATCAGAACTCCAAATTCTCTGGGCTTCAGACTCCAGGACTTGAACCACAGTCCCTCTGCTTCTCAGGCCTTCAGCCTCAGGCTGGAAATTATCAGGCCTTCGGACTTGGACTGAGCTATGCCACAGCTTCCCTGGTTCTCCAGCTTGCAGATGGCAGATCATAGGACTTTTCAGCCTCCATCATCAAATGCACCAATTCCCGTAATAAATCCCCTCTCATATATCTACATGTATATATCCTATTGCCTCTGTTTCTTTGGAGAAACCTGACTAATATACCATCAGAGAAGAAAGAACCAGAAAAGGGTTTCAAGCAGAAGTGGACAAGAGGTGGGAGAAAAACCATGAGAATGAGGTGTTATGAAAGCCAAGAGATGAAGGTGTTCCTAGGAGAGGGCATGGTCAACTAGCATATTTGCAGGAAACTGAGTCAGATGAGGATGGAGAAGCAATATTGAGATCAGTGATGAACTTGAAAAGTGCAGTTTGGGTTTAATAGGTTGGAGCCCAGTTGAGGTGTGCAGAGGAGAAAAGTACAGTAAGGAAGTATAAATAGTCATTATAGACAGAGTTTTCTTAATTTGCTGGAGAATTTGATGGAAGGAGTAGCCTCAAGAGGCAGGTATTGTTTTAAGTGGTTTCAAAAGTATGTTTGTTTGCTAATAAGAATGACCCCATAAACAAGAAGAAATCAATGATGCAGCTCTTAAGGTCAAAGAGATAAGATCTGGAGCACAGGGGAAGGTCAGCCTTTGTGAGGGGCAGGGACTCACTGCCCAAGGGGAGGGAAGATAGAGTATAGCTACAGAAGCAGTTCAGTGGGTCCAGCAGAAGAGGGACATGAGGATTTCTTCTATCTTCTCTGGGAAGTATGAGACCAAGTTGCCAGTGAAAAAGAGGTAGGAAGGAAAGGAGGTGGGGGGGATGACTGAGTAGAGAAGAAAAACATAATAGGATGCTTACACATTGTTGAAGGTGTGTTCGTGATTTTGGCTTGTGAATTTAGAGTTAACCCAGATGGTCCCAAATTAATGATAGACATCTGGTGGCTATGGTGACTCCAGGGAAGGAAAGAGAACAGCGAGCCGGCACAGTTAGTGAACGCTTCACAGAAGAGGCTGTACTGGGGGACTTGATCGATTTGTGTAATTTAGATACACAGGCCATGCCCTCCAGGTAAAAGTACTCGGTAGCACAGAGCAAAGCACAGGAGTGGGGATGAACAAGGTCAGCCAGTCCAGCTGCAGAGGAGTAATGGAGATGGAACAGGCCTTATGCAACAGTGGACACTTCTGAAAAAAGGGCTACTAGCAAAGATAAGGTATCATTTGGGAAGATTAACACAGTATTTGGTATATTGAATGGGTTGGAAAGAGATTTCTGGCCAAGAGAGGTGGCCATAGTTAAGCCCAAGAGACTAAGATTGTATCCTACTCGGGAGGAAGAGGGCACAAATGAGAGACCCCCATCCTTAGGATGACATCTTCAGCCCTTCACTTCATTCTTGGAGATTTTATATTCCTTTGGGAAGTACGAAAATTCGAGAATATTTTTCAGGATCTTGTTACTTTTGAAGTTTCTGAATGACTTCTAATGCCCATCCTTCCTAAAGAAAACAGTCCGTCCACTGAATGTTCAAGGACAAACCCACATGGTCATAGTGGTGGCCATGGTTAATACATTGAGTGCTTAAAATATCACCAGTAATGTGCTAAGTCCTACGCATGCATTATTTCATTCAATCCTCAGAACAACCCTTTGAAGCAGATGTCTTTACTATCCCCATTTTATAACAAGAAAACTGAGCCACACATAAGTGGAGTAAGTTGCCCAAAGTCACACAACTGGTGATAGGAGGGGCCAGGTTCAAACCCAGGCTACAGGCCTGCCCAAAGTCACACAACTGGTGACAGAAGGGGCCAGGTTCAAACCCAGGCTACAGTCGGGGCCATGCAGCCACTGCCCACAAGATCCATAACTAGACAGTGTCCTTGTAAAGGGAAACACCAAGAGACTTTAGCCTCAGGCTCAGCTGAGAAAAACTAGGGCCCAAATCATTTGTGGCCAAAGTGGAATGCAGAGGAAATACATGGAGGAGATCACAGACCCTGGGCTTCTCCTGTGAGGCCAGGTGGACACCTGTCACCTTCAGAGGCCCGAAGAGAAAAGCAGAGAGAAAAATGCCTCACTGTTCCTGATACAGCACCTGCCCCCAAAATAATTCCACAGGAAAGCACCAAATCAAGGAATTACGGTGCTATCCTGACACCCAGCTTTTGAGAAGAGATTATAATTTATCAGTGAGAAATAGAAACAGGATACATAGCCTCTGGGGCCAAAAGATTTAATATTTCAATTTGTTTGGGGTTTATTTTTTTCGTGATTTTACCTATTTCTTCTATGTTTGGCTCCTGACCCACCCATAGCTGAAGAAGGTATCTGTGTGGCAAGGACACACTGCGGGGCCTTCCCAGAACGTGTAACCGATAATGCACTTATGTTAGTTGTTATCACCCTGGAACCAGCAAGCTTGATGATAGGTGTATAAAGTCAGATCATTTCCAAATACGTTTGGAGAAAGAGAAGCTGGAATGGAAGAGTTTATTTTGTTTTTCCCAGTAGGTCAGTTTTAGAATCACAAAGTGTTCTGGGGTCACTTGGAAAATAAAGAAAACAGAATGTATCCAATTGCTGCCCAGGCTGGGGAAGCAAATCTCCAAATCACACAGAACTAGGAAGGATTTGGTTTCATTAAAAGCAGCCACTAGCATTTGGCCCTTGAAGATGAAAGTAAAAGCCCCTTAAACAGGCTCGAACACAAGCTGAATTTGCGGACAAGTCCCTGGGGTGCTAGGATTGTTTCAAAGGAAGGCATGAACGTCCACAGCTTCCCAGAGATTTGAAAAAGGAGAACAGTTCCAAACACATTTATGCCAACCTCGTGGAAGAGACTGTGGAATGAGGAGCCAACATTTCGGGTGCTAAAGAAATGCTTTGATTTAATACTTATAATAGCCATATGTATATTACTATTCCCATTTTACTGATGAGGAAACTGAGGCCTCGGTGAGGATCAGTGGCCTGCTGAAGTTCATGTAATAAGTGATGGTCTCAGAAATGCAACAGAAGTCTTTTTTCTTTTCTTTTCTTTTCTTTTTTTTTTTTTTGAGACAGTCTCACTCTGTCACCCGGGCTGGAATGCAGCAGTATGATCTCAACTCACTGCAACCACTGCCTCCCGAGTTCAAGCAAATCTCCTGCCTCAGCCTCCCAAAAAGCAGGGATTACAGGCGTGTGCCACCACACCTGGCTAATTTTTGTATTTTTAGTAATGACGGGGTTTCAGCATGTTGATCAAGCTGGTCTCGAACACCTGACCTCAAGTGATCCACCCGACTCAGCCTCCCAAAGTGCTGGGATTACAGGTGTGAGCCACCATTCCTGGCTCAAGAAGTCTTTTGAACATCAAAGTCCATGTTCTTGTTACTGCTTAACAGAAAAATTCATGTTTTCAAGTCAGTGGGTCAGATTCTTTCCAGGCCTAAATTTTCAGGTCATCATAAATCAGGCCCTTTGGCCTTTTCCTTTGAGTCCACCAGTTTATATTCTACTCTAGCCTGGTTCTCAGGCAATTACTAGAAGTCTGTGTCCCAGGCTCAATGTTTGGGTTACTATGCTCATTTACTAATTGGTGTGTTCATACCAGCCTTCCTTCAAAAAGAACAAAAGGTAGTTATGCAGGCTCTGTAAACTCCACAAGAGAACAAAAGGAGTCAGAAATGAAGCCCAAAAAATGCATGTCCTAATTGCCATATACTTTTATGTCTGATAGGCCACAGATCTGTGGTTCTGAGTTAACACTGATCTTAAAAAGGAAATAAAGAACGAGAGAAATAATGGAGGAGAGAAGGAAGAGAGGAAGGGAGGAAAGACATCAGATTCACTATGTCCAAAAAATGTTTGAAAACAAAACACCAGATGAAATAATAACACTATCTCTGACATTTTTATAATCATAAACTAAGGACACACTATATAGAGCTAAATCATAAATCAGCTTTTATCCTACAGAACATTTCAATGAAAGCCGTTCTGCAGAAAGTCGGTGCAACACTGTCTCCTAAGCATCCTTCTTGGCTTTCTGCTAAGACAGCACCAGGGTCTCAGTTTCAAAAGCCTCAGACTACACTCTTTCTGGGGACAACTCATACTGGCTCTTGGTCACAAGAAAGGTCACAACAGAATGTGCATGGATCCCTACAAAGCCTACCCCAGGTGAAAAACATCTGCCCTCTGGAAGTTAGACATCTTCCCTATAGGTGCATGTCAAAGCTGATTTGGGCAATCTTCCTAAAGGCCCAGAGTCACATCTAAGAGAGTGAAAGCACCTTCCTTTTCTTCAAGATTAGCTCTGGTCCTGGGAAAACCTACTTCTCTAGAGTCTGTCTCACGTTTCCAGCTAAAATAATTCTAAATGCCCATCAAGACCCAACTTCTGGTTTAAAGAATTTTAGACATTTCATTTTTTCCTCAATGTTCTCTCTCTTGTGAGAGCTCCTGAATCCCAAGGAACAATCCAGTTTGTCAGATTTCCAGCCTGAGTTTGCCATCCCAAGTCTACATACAAGCTTCATTTTCTGTTCTGAAATCACTCACTCTCCTCCCTCTCCCATCATGAAACCCCATCAGGAACAGCAAGGGGGCAGAGAGACACTCACTATCCCTCCAGCAGCCTCTGCCTGTGGATGGCCAGGTCAGGGAGGGACAGGAGCGCAAAGCACTGGGGACAAGGAGTGTCACCATGCACGACTCCTCCAGCCTGTTGTCTGACAAGGCTTAAAAGAACCCTCTCCGGGTCTGGTTCTCCTGCATGGTGCACACTTCAGGAGGTGAATCCAAGGGCCTTTTCCAGCCAGGGTTTCTGAATGTCTCCATGCTGAGAGGTGAAGTACTTGACATTTGGCTGCCATGCTGTTGTGAGCACGTCTGATTTTGCACAAGGCATGTGGAAATCAGAATGTACCTGTCACAGGTGTCAACCTCTGTCTGACGGGTACAGATCTGGAGAGTGGTCACAACTTGCTGTTCCTCGTTGCAAATATCTTCTTTGTGACCTTTCATCTGCAGATGAGCAGGCACCAGGCTTTACATGCTAATGTGTCCCTTTGCATTCCATGGTTTTCCTTCCAGTTTTAAGGCTGTATGAAGGGAATTCATGAGACAAAGTAGCTGGGGGTGAGAAGAGTTGTCACTAAGACCACAGGAAGCATGCTTGGAAATGGCATTGATTTTTTCTGGCCACCAGGATACCAGTGGAGAGTTACAGCTTTTATATAATAAGTGAACTTACCAATCTTGTGCACATTTAAGAATATATGATTTGATACCCCTTTACATTTATTTAGGCATACCCTGTCTCGTTTGACAAAAGATTACAGATAACTATTACATCTTATAGAGCATAGGCAATTTTCCCATTGTCTTAAATTTTCATAATATACATTAGACCCAGTTAACTAATTACTTTTTAGGGAACATGATTTTTCATTAAGCACACCACTGTTGGTAATAACATGGTTGCCATTGGGAACTAGTACTGCTCAAGGTGGAAAAAAAAATTTGTTATTTTGTTTGAGTCGCTGGCTACTCAAGTAACACCATGTTCTTTCATTGATGGATGGTGGCTGGAAATTTCTTCTAGTTTTATGAGTGTTTCAACTCTTCTTATTGAGTTTGTAAGATAATCTTTCTTTCAATTTTTGTTTACTGTATTATCACCTTCATGTATCAAAACAAAATATATTTACAGCCATTAAATTTCTTATTGAAATTCCTAACCAAAAAATTATGTCGAATGTGTATTTTTTTTTGTACCTCTGAAACTCTGTAAACCCAAAACTTCACAAAGAGTCATGGCCAAGATCTGCTTCCCTGGAACAGAAACCACTGGAGCCAGAAACTGGAAGAAACACTTAAGCAGTAATTTTGATGAATTGTTTCTGGCTGAATATGGACTAGCAGGAGAGTGAAAAACTCCTAGAGGCCACGATGTTAGCGGGGTCACTACACTTTTATGAGTTTACCTCCAGGAACCCTACCAGGTTTTCACAGTGCAAAACCAAGAAAGATCTCATGGCTATAAAAGAAGGTGGGAAAAAATAATCATTTTAAAATACATCAAGAACATTATCCATGTAAAGTCCTGTGCTGTAGGGAAAACAAACTTTCCCAGATCCTCATTCCATATATGAGAAGGGACATTTACCCAACATTTACAGCACACCGTAGCCTTCCTGTCTCACCTAAGGAGAGAAGCACCTAAGTAACATTTGCGTGAGTCACAGCCTAGGTCCACTAAAACACTAAGCTTTTATCATAAGATTATAGAACATTTTTCCTCCTCCACATCTACATCACACCACATCAATAGGACTCTAGTATAATAACAGTACATTACTGCTATAAGAACTGCAGGGTACAGACTTTACTTAAGGAGGAATCCTTAAAGAAGCCCCTCAAAGAAAACATTGGAGGCAAACAGAAGGACACTAGAGATAATAGAAGCCCCTGGCACATAAAGCTACTGAACACATCAAGCAAGCCCAGCTTCAAGCCAGATTAACTTAGAATCTCATACTAAAGGACTTTTACCTCATTTCTTATTACCCAATACATCACGCCCAGCTTTTAACAAAAAATTATAAGACATGCTGGAAAAGCAGGAAAAAACACAGTCTGAGGAGCAAAGCAAGAATTAGAACCATACTCAGTTATGACACAGATTGTGGAAGTATCAGATAGAAAATGTAAAACAACTACAATTGGTGTTTTAAGGGTATCAATGAAAAAAGTAAACAAAATGCAAAAACAGATGAGCAAGCTAAGCAAAGAGGTGAAAACTCTAAGAAAGAATAAAAAATAATGCTAGAAATAAAAAGCACTGTAACAGAAATGAAGAATGCTTTTGATGAGCTCATTGATAGAATGATCATGGCCAAGGAAAACCTTCTAGGTTGAAATACAAAGAGAAAAAGAATAATAAAAATGGAACAAAACATCAAAAAAACTGTGGAATAATTTTTTAAAGTATAACATAAGCATAACTGGAAGATCAGAATGACAAGAAAGAGAGATGAGAAGAAAATATATATGAGGTAACAATGGCCAAGAATTTAACAAAATTAATGACGAATTGTAGATCAAGGAAGCTCAGCAAACACCAAGCAGGGCAAGTCCCCCACAAAAAAAATCTACACCTGGCCGGGCGCGGTGGCTCACGCCTGTAATCCCAGCACTTTGGGAGGCCGAGGCGGGCGGATCACGAGGTCAGGAGATCGAGACCATCCCGGCTAAAACGGTGAAACCCCGTCTCTACTAAAAATACAAAAAATTAGCCGGGCGTAGTGGCGGGCGCCTGTAGTCCCAGCTACTCGGGAGGCTGAGGCAGGAGAATGGCGTGAACCCGGGAGGCGGAGCTTGCAGTGAGCCGAGATCCCGCCACTGCACTCCAGCCTGGGCGACAGAGCGAGACTCCGTCTCAAAAAAAAAAAAAAGAAAAAAAAAAAATCTACACCTAGGCATATCATATTTGAACTGAATAAAAACAGAAACATCTTACCTATAAAGGAACAAAGATAAAAATTACAACAGACTTCTCATCAGAAGCCATGAAGGCAGGAGAGAGTGGAGCAAAATATTTAAAGTATTAAATGAAAGAAAAACAACAAAATAGATTTATAAGTCCAACAAAAAAAACTTTAAGTGAAGGAGAAATGGTCATTCAGATAAACAAACACAGAGAATTTATCTCCCGACTTGTTCTATGAGAAAAGATAAAAGAAGTTCTTCAAGGAAATGGAAAGTGATAAAAGTCAGAAACTTCAATCTACATAAAGAAAGGAAAAGTATAAGATAAAGAATAAATAAAGGTAAAACCTCTTTATTTTCCTTATTCTTAGTTAATCTAAAAGATAACTGTTTAATACTACTGATAGTGTATTGGTGATTGTAGCATATGAATAAATGGAATGAATGATAGCAATGTCATAAGAAATGGTAGAGAATAATTGGTTTGGAATACTTTATTATAAGGTACTTGAACTTCATCTGAAACAATATAGTTATTTGAGGTAGACCTAGATTACTATCATTGTAAATGTGCATTGCAAACTCTAGGAGAAAAAAAAATAAGTATAATCAATATGTTAAGAGAGGAGATAAAACTAATTGTATAAAATGCTCAATGAAAACCAGGGAGTGCATAAAGAGAGGTAAAAGAAAAAAAAACAATAAACAAGTGAAACAAATAGAAATTACAACATAGGTATTTAATCCAACTCTATCAATAATCCCTTTAAGTGTGAATATTGATCTAAATACATCAATTAAAAGACAGACAGTATCAGAGTGGTTTAAAAAATAAACAACACAAAAATGTAGGTTGTCTATAAGGGGCTCATTTTTAATATAAAAACTCACATAGGTTAAAAGTTAAATGATAGAAAAATATGTGCCATGACAATACTGATAAAAGAAGGCTAGAGTAGCTATATTAATCTTAGACAAACTAGACCTCAGAACAAGGAAAATTATCAGGGATAAAGAGAATACTATATAATGATGGAGTTAATTCTCTAAGAAAACATAAACTTTTTTAACATCTATGTACCCAACAACAGAGTGTCAAAATATATGAGGCAAAAATTGATAAAACTTCAAGGAGAAATAAACAAATCTACTATTATTGTTGGAGATGTTTAACACTCCTCTTTCAATAATTGACAGACCAAGCAACCAGAAAACAAGTAAGGATATGGTTGGCCTGAATGGCACTTTAATAAATTTGATTTTATTGACATTTATAGAAAATTGACTCCAAAACAGCATATCATAGTCTGTTTGAACTATTAGGTTGGTGGAAAAGTAATTGTGGTTTGCCATTATTTTCAAAGGCAAATTACTTTTTCACCAACCTAATTATAACACAATACCATAGACTGGATGACTTATAAACAACAGAAATTTGTTTTCACAGTTCTGGGGCCTGAAAAGTTCAAGATCAAGATGGCATCAGATTCAACGTCTGGTGAGGACCCACTTCCTGGCTCACAGATGGCCACCTTTCTTCTGTGTCCTCACATGGCAGAAGGGGCAAAAGAGCTAAGACTTTTTTTTTAAGGGAACTAATTCCATTCATGAGGGCTCCACCCTCGGGACTTAATCACCTCCCAGAGGCTTTACCTCCTAATATCACTACCTTGGAGGTCAGGATTTTAATACCTGAATTTGGAAAGGTACACAAATGTAAGTCTATAGCACAGCAGAATGCACCTTCTTCTCAAATTCACATGGAAAATTCACCAAGATAAACCACATTCTGGTCATAAAACATACCTTCACAAATTTAAAATAATAGAAATCATACAAAGTATGTTCTTAGGCCATGACAGGATTAAACTATATAAATTAAATCAGAAAGATAGCTAGAAAAAACACAAATACTGAGCATCTTAATAACTCACTTCTAAATAACATATGAGTCAACAAGAAAGATAAATTACAACATATTTTGAACTAAAGAAAGTAAAAATACAATTTATCAAAATGTGTGGGCTGCAGCAAAAGCAGTACTTAGAGGCAAATTTATGGCATTGAATGAATATATCAGAAAAGAAGAAATATTTAAAGATAATAATCTAAGATTCTACCTTAAGAAACTAGAGAAATAAGAGTAATTTATGTAAGCAGAAGCAAATTAGAGCAAAATTCAATAAAACTGAAAACAGGAAAACAATAGAGAAAAATAACAAAACCAAAAGCTGGTTCTTTGAGAAGATTAATACAATGTATAAGCCTCTAGCCAGATTAACTAAGAAAAAGACACAAACTACCAATATGATAGACATAAAAGAAGGCTATCATTAATGATTCCATAAGTATTAAAGGAAGACTAGAAACAGCTTTATGCCAACACATTTTATACCTTAAATAAAAGAGACCAATTCCTTGAAAGACACAAGCTAGCAAAACCCACACAAAGAGAAATAATCTCAGTAGGCCTATATCTACTAAAGGAATTGTTAACAACCTTCCAAAAAGGAAAGCACTAGATCCAGATGATTTTGCTTGTGAATTCTACTAGACATCAAAGAAGAAATTATACCAATTCTCTACAACCTCTTCAGAAAAATAGAAGCAGAGTAAAGGCAGAAAGAGTTAGCCATAATTCATTCTCTTAAGCCAATATTACTTTAATACCAAAACCAAATAAAAGACACTCCAAAAAAGGAGGACTACAGATCTATATCTCTCATAAACCTAAATACAAAAGTCCTCAATAAAATGCTAACAAATAAAATCCAACAACTGTCAGGCATGGTGGCTCATGCCTATAATCCCAGATCTTTGGGAGGCTGAGGCAGGTCGATCACCTGGTCAGGAGTTCAAGACCAGCCTGGCCAACATCGTGAAACCTCAGAACAAGGTTCTGAAAAGTTGAAACCTCAGAACTAGGTGAAATCTCAGAGCAAGGTGAAACCACCTGGTCAGGAGTTCAAGACCAGCCTGGCCAATATGGTTAAACTTCAGAATAAGGTCATGAAAGGTAAAACCTCAGAACAACATCCTACTAAAATTACAAAAATTAGCTGGGCATGGTGGCATGCACCTGTAGTCCCAGCTAATCGGGAAGCTGATGCGGGAGAATCACTTGAGCCAGGGAGGTCAAGGCTGCAGTGAGCTGAGATCGTGCCACTGTACTCCAGCTGGGGTGAAAGAGTGAGACTCTGTCTTAAAAAAAAAATCCAATGATGTATAAAACAATACACCACAATCAAGTAGGATTTATTCCAGATATGCAAGGCTGGTCCAACATTCGAAAATCAATTAATGTAATCTCCCGCATGAACAGACAAAAAAGAATATTCACACAATCATAAGACTAGATGCAGAAAACGTGTTTGACAAAAATTCAACACCCATTCATGATTTAAAAAAAAAAAATCTTAGCAAACTAGGAATAGAGGGAAAGTTTCTCAACTGGACAAAGAACATCTACCAGCTTGCTGGGTGCCACAGCTTATGCCTGTAATCACAGCACTTTGCGGGGTCAAGGGAGGAGGAATGCTTGTGCCCAGGAGTACAAGAGGAGCCTGGGTAACACAATAAGACCTCGTCTCTTCAAATATAAAAATGAAAAAAACTAGCCAAGTGTAGTGGCGTGTACCTGTAGTCCTAGCTACTCATGAGGCTGAGACTGGGGGATCTTTCGAGCCCAGTGGGAAAATAAAGAACATCTATCAACAAATATACAGCTAGCATCATACTTAATGATGAGAAACTAGATGTTTTCCTCCTAAGACAAGGAACAAGGCAAGGATGTCCCCTCTCACCACTCTATTCAACATCATACTAGAAGTCCTAGCTAACACAGGAAGAGAAGAAAAAAAAATGTTATACATATTGACAAAGAAAAACTGTTTTTGTTCTCAGGTGACATGATTGCCAATGTATAAATACTAAGAATTGACCCCAATACAATATTTTAAACTAATAAATGTTCACAGCAAGTTTGCTATACAAGCAATATGAGATAAATATACAAAACTCAATTGCTTTTCTATACACCAACAATAAACAATTGGAATTTGAAATTTATAAAAAAGGGGGGAGGAGCCAAGATGGCCGAATAGGAACAGCTCCGGTCTACAGCTCCCAGCGTGAGTGACGCAGAAGATGAGTGATTTCTGCATTTCCATCTGAGGTACCGGGTTCATCTCACTAGGGAGTGCCAGACAGTGGGCGCGGGTCAGTGGGAGCACTCACTGTGCGCGAGCCGAAGCAGGGCGAGGCTCTTGCCTCACTCGGGAAGTGCAAGGGGTCAGGGAGTTTCCTTTCCTAGTCAAAGAAAGGGCTGACAGACGGCACCTGGAAATCAGGTCACTCCCAACCGAATACTGCACTTTTCCAACAAGCTTAAAAAACGACGCACCAGGAGATTATATCCCGCACCTGGCTCAGAGGGTCCTACGCCCACGGAGTCTCACTGATTGCTAGCACAGCAGTCTGAGATCAAACTGCAAGGTGGCAGTGAGGCTGGGGGAGGGGCGCCCGCCATTGCCCAGGCTTGCTTAGGTAAACAAAGCAGCCAGGAAGCTCGAACTGGGTGGAGCCCACATCAGCTCAAGGAGGCCTGCCTGCCTCTGTAGGCTCCACCTCTGGGGGCAGGGCACAGACAAACAAAAAGACAGCATTAACCTCTGCAGACTTAAATGTCCCTGTCTGACAGCTTTGAAGAGAGCAGGGGTTCTCCCAGCATGCAGCTGGAGATCTGAGAATGGGCAGACTGCCTCCTCAAGTGGGTCTCTGACCCCTGACCCCTGAGTAGCCTAACTGGGAGGCACCCCCCAGCAAGGGCACACTGACACCTCACACGGCGGGGTACTCCAACAGACCTGCAGCTGAGGGTCCTGTCTGTTAGAAAGAAAACTAACAAACAGAAAGGACATCCACACCAAAAACCCATCTGTACATCACCATCATCAAAGACCAAAAGTAGATAAAACCACAAAGATGGGGAAAAAACAGAGCAGAAAAACTGGAAACTCTAAAAAGCAGAGCGCCTCTCCTCCTCCAAAGGAACGCAGTTCCTCACCAGCAACGGAACAAAGCCGGACAGAGAACAACTTTGACGAGCTGAGAGAAGAAGGCTTCAGACGATCAAATTACTCTGAGCTACGGGAGGACATTCAAACCAAAGGCAGAGAAGTTGGAAACTTTGAAAAAAATTTAGAAGAATGTATAACTAGAATAACCAATACAGAGAAGTGCTTAAAGGAGCTGATGGAGCTGAAAATCAAGGCTCGAGAACTACGTGAAGAATGCAGAAGCCTCAGAAGCCGAGGCGATCAACTGGAAGAAAGGGTATCAGCGATGGAAGATGAAATGAATGAAATGAAGCGAGAAGGGAAGTTTAGAGAAAAAAGAATAAAAAG